>NC_000004.12:183769865-184072896 GCF_000001405.40 Homo sapiens | reverse complement strand
TGTTCTTGTGTTGCCAGTTCTGCCACTCAAGTATCCACCTACTGCTGCCATTGCTTAGAGCAAAAGAGGAAGGATGACCCAGACAGGAGAAGTCTCCTTTGGAGGAACACTGACTTTTGATACCAGAGTGGTCACAGTGATCCTTTGACACTCTCTGCCATTTTCCTTTAGATTGTACCCACTGGGACAGGAACAGGTATATTTGGGAAAGCAATCATTAATCTGTGGTGCTGGAAGGTGTGGGTATTCAAATCCTCTGTTCTCTATGTCTTCTTCATGCACATCTTTATCTGATGGCTTCACATCAATTTTTACAAGTTCATGAAAGATAATATAGTCTTGGGCATCAGTAAGGTTGTTAACTAGAGTGGACAGCCCCAATCCAGTGAATTTACTAGCACCATAG
Source organism: Homo sapiens (assembly GCF_000001405.40). Classification (NCBI taxonomy): domain Eukaryota; kingdom Metazoa; phylum Chordata; class Mammalia; order Primates; family Hominidae; genus Homo; species Homo sapiens. Next base: position 184,072,490 of record NC_000004.12, on the reverse strand, counting down.
GCTTCTTTATTTTCTCCATCTATCCAGATGATCCTCAAATATTGTTAGTACAAGAAAATGAGCTGGGAAGCCAACAAAGCAAGAAAACTTTCCTGAAATTAAAAAGAAAAAACCTGAGACTACACACTAAAAGAACATGCCACATACCTGTGAATATCAACCAGAACCACAAATACCAAAACCAAACTAGACTTGAATTTAAGACAAGGAAAAATCTTTTTTGGGCATCTAAGCAAAAACAGGAAGCAATTTATAATGAAAAGTCTTTTCAAACACAATGCTTTATGGCAGAAGAAAATGGACTAACATGTTTGAGATACTAATGGAAAGAAAATGTGAACCAAGAATTTTATGACCAGCAAAATGGATTTTCTCAAGAATAAAAGGTACATACTGGTATCAACATGAAAGAATTTAGAAAATATTGTCCTCATGGATCCTTTCTGAAGAATCTACTAGAGAACAAGATTCAGACAATAAAAATGACCAGAGAAACATTGATATGAGTTCTGGTAATGAACAGTAAACGTACAGTCCACACAGAACAGAGGTGAGCATACATCATGCAGTGGTTGTGTCTTGACAGTGTAGACATAGTACAATCATTTTAAAATGGGGGAAGGATAAATAGGGAAAATATATGTAGTAAAAACACTGTTTTCAGTAATCACATTGGTGATGGGAGTATTTGTACTGTTATTCTGAGATGATTGTATAAGTAATATAGAATAAAGCATATGAATTAATATGGAATATTCTAATTATATTAATATGGTTTGGCTGTGTCCTCACCCATTTCATCTTGAATTGTAGCTCCCATAATTCCATGTGTTGTGGGAGGGACCCAGTGGGAGATAATTGAATGAGGGGGCAGTTTTCCCCATTCTGTTCTCATGTTCATGAGATCTGATGGTTTTATAAGGGGAAACCCCTTTCAATTCTCTCAATTGAAACCCAATTGAGAGAATTGGGTCTCAATCCTCTCTTGTCTGCCACCATGTAGGACATGCCTTTTGCCTTCTGCCATGATTGTGAGGCCTCCCCAGCCACATGGAACTGCGAGTCCATTAAACTTCTTCTGCTTTATAAACTACCCAGTCTCGGGTATGTCTTTATCAGCAGCATGAGAATGGACTAATACATATATCATTCCTGTGTCATTGAGAACCAGACTTCTCAGTGTGAAAGAAAGGAGATGCAGATATAAAATAGAAGAGGTTAAGTAAAAAAGTAAAAGAATAAGAGTAAAAACTCATGGAGATTTTATATTTAAATATCTATTTTCTAGCTGTCTTCACCAAAAAGACCTAGAAACAATTACATACCCATTGACATTCTCAAACACCAGGTCTGTGAATAAACATCACTGTCCAAGAAATGAACCAAGGTTTCTAGAAGAAAAAGCTGGTTTTTAGTCATATTGGTCATGTCAAATATGTTTTTTAAAAAGCAAGGAAAAAACTAAAGAAAACACACCAAAATAGTAGTGGTTATCTCTGTGGATGGTAAGACTGTAGGTAATTTTAATTTTCACCATTATACCTTCTGTATTTTACAAATTTCTATAATGAACTTACGATCAAAATGAACCTACAATTAAAAAAGAAGAGCTTTAAAACAAAAAGACAGAGAAGGAAATTATAGTATGAAAACACACATATAAAATACCTGCATTAAAGTATATGTTTTGAAAAAGGATCATCCAGCAGCCAAACAAAACACAGCAATTCAAACATTGCTGAAAGGCATCCTTCTCTGGGGTCGCTCTGCACACACTCCTCTCTCTTGACAGAAAGATTCCTCAAGTCTACAGGCAGCAATGGCTTTGGACTACATTAAGAAACGACAGCCCAGCATCCCCGTGTGAGACTCGATGCCCTCCCTGTGGCTGCCATGGCCCTGAGTGAGAAATGCTCTGTCAGCCCTGCTGGGAAGCAGAGGTAGAGAGAAAGGACAAGACCTCCACGCTTTCATTTCAAATGCTCATCACTGGGCTGCAGGGACTTGGGAGCTATAGATAACTTCTTTCCAGAAGACACGGTATCCCAAAGAAGTATCCTGTTAGCCTATTCTCACCTTGCTATAAAGAAGTACCTGAGATTGGGTAATTTATAAAGAAAAGAGGTTGAATTGGCTCATGGTTCTGCAGAGTGTATGGGAAGCATGATGCTGGCATCTGCTTGGCCTCAGAGGAGGCCTCAGGGAACCTTCGATCATGGCAGGAGGTGAAGGGAGAGCATACACATTACACAGCCAGAGCAGGGGCAAGAGAGTGAGTGAGGACGGTGCCATACACTTTTCAACAACCAGATCTCACAAGAACTCACTCAGTGCCCTGAGGACAGTGCTAAGGGGGATGGTGCCAAACCATTCATGAGACACTCATCCCCATGACCCAGTTGCCTCCCACCAGGCCCCACCTCCAACACTGGGGATTACAATTCAACATGAGATTTGGGCAGGGACCCAGATCCAAACCACAGCAAGTATGAAATGGAACAGCACACCTCCTGCCTCAAGTCTTCCAGCATAGCCCGGAAACAACCATCTTGTCACCTGAGGCAAGATGCTGACACATGCAGCATCTTCAGGAAAATGCTTTTATCAGAAGTTCTTCCCCATGGGTTTCAGTGACCACAAGAGTTTAGTGGTCAGGGAAGGGGCACACACGGGCATGGCTGCCAAAAAGAAAAGTGATTTAATCACTTATTTTGGCCCCCCAAAGTGTCTTCACAAGTCAACTATCTGATGCCTCGATTTCCCTCCTGCAAAACGAAGGCAATCTCACTTGTTATTTATTTTACAGGAGTGCAATGAAGATTAACGAGAAGGTGTTTATAAATATCCTAAAAGCCCTTGACAGAAAAGTGGCTAAGTTTCAGGTGCTGCACCATACAGAGCTATCTTGGCACACACAAAAATAGAGGGAAGAAGCTCAAAAGGAGAGTTCCAGTCTTAAAAATACACCGCAGAGCGGTTTCTCAGTTGCTGGGTGTTATATAGGTCTCTGCATGCGGCTGACTGTGAGCAAGGTGATTATAAAATATGGGACAGCGACTGAGCAGCAGCCTTGCCAAGGGGAGAACGGGGGCTGTCTGTCGCTGGAAGCTGAACAAAGACTGAGTGAGAAAGAACCCGAAGTTCCCAGATAAACCATCCTCAGTGGAAGGTCTATGCTAGTGTTCTCAAACTCTGACGTGTATTAGATCACCTGGTGATGTTGATAAAAGGCATATTCCCAGACCTCATCTCCAGAAATTATCATCAGTGCATCTGGAGGTGTGCCCAGGAATCTGCATTTTAATCAGCGAATTCTTACTCCTACCACACTTTGGGAATCAGCAGTCTAAACTTTCCATTCTGAAGGTTTGTGGTGAACTAACGGTCACATCATTCTCTGAAGGCACAGAAGAGCTGGGACTACCAGAATTCTAACTCTAGCTCTAAATTTTGGTCCAGAATGAGACAATGGAGAGAAAATAGCAGACGGCAGGGAATGCACAATTTTGTGGGGCAAAGTGTCCACCATGACTAAGTACAGTCACTCACATACTCATGGCAACAAAAGGCAACCAACTGAGGCTATGGAGTTAGTTGGAATAAATAAACATTCTAGATCCATGCTGTCTCACACAGTAGCCACTAGCCACATGCGGCTATCAAGCATTTAAAACGTGGCTAGTCAGAATTGAGATTTAATGTGTGTATAAAATACACATCAGATTTCAAGGACTTCATACCATATACATATATACATATACGTGTGTGTGTGTATATATATACATATATGTCTCAAATATTTCATGTCTTATTTCATTCATGTTGAAACAATAATGTTTTGGACATGTCGTGTTAAATAAAATAAATTTAAATTAATTTCACTTGCTTCCTGATCCTTTTCTAAATGTCACTATTTTTGGAAAACCGAAAATTACTTATGTGACTCTCATTATATTTCTATTAGACAGCACTGTTCCAGATCAGGACACCGTCTGGGTCTTAACTGATAGAACGCCTTGATCTTGGAGCGTGCTCCTTCTGGAGGATATTGGTGTGCCAAGAGCCCCTTCTACACTGCCGTCATAGCAGGTGACTTAATGGTAATGGCCCCTCAAGAAAGACGAAGAGCAGACAGCCCTGGCCCAGCTCATTCACTAGTCCAGGAAGCCTGCCAAATATAAACACTCCTGCAATATAGAGAAGGAGTCAAAGGACATACATTGATTAATAACTGAAAAGATAATAAAAACCAAGCAATGCCCAAAGCTTGTGGCCACTGCATGCTGTATAGTAGCCTCTAGCTCCCGGCGTCTCACTCCTACCCATGTCCCATGGGGAAGGGCAGGATGGGGATGGACGCAGAGACAGAGTGAAGGAATTCATACTCCTTGCTGTAGAGGGGGCAAGAGCAAATTTGGGCCATTTCATTTTCTCCTGGAGTAGAACTTGCACCTGGTACAAACCTACCCAGTGTTACCTGCGGTGACTTGAGAAATATTTTTGGGAAGTATTTCTTTAATTTAAAATAAGTCATTACATTATTATTCAGGTTTTTTTTCATCACTGGCCCCCAAATGCCAATAAAGACACAATTAAAGCATGAGCAAAGTTCTTTCAATGACAGAACAGGCAGAGATAAATTTGTAGGTTATTTCAGAGCATGACAAATTTTACACCTAGAGAAAAGTGTAAAAAAAAAAAAGGATTCTCACCTTGTTAACTAAACTAGAACAGAAGATTCAGACGCGTTCTGACTTCCTGGCTGCTGTGGGTGCTGCAGTACCCTGCAATTCTACAAAGACTCTCAACTCCCACAGCCTCCATCTGTCTGGCGTGCTCATTTGAGCTCCCCTCTTGTACCTTCTGTTCTAGAGGTCCCAGAGACCGGTGCCATGGCATCGACAAGCTCTCCACCTGAATCTCAGGATGCTGGGACATCCACACCGCTAAGTCTGGAGTCAGTGCCCACAGCAGCTTTCCTCAGTGACCCCAATTGTAGCATCATCACTCATAGGCAAGAGCTGCAATCTATGTTGAAAAACCCAACTTTCCAAGATGCAAAGTTCATGGCCTCTTGTCAGACCCTCATGTCAGGTATGACCTCATTCACCCAACAGAAGGAACTGGATGAGACTAGAAATTATATTAAATTATGAAGAGGGAAGTTGTACTTTCTCTTGCCCAAATGCCACCTCATGGGACAGTGTCCGGGATGCTTCATGGCGTCTGAGTCTACGTGTACTGAGTTATACTAAATTGAATGTGGCAATTTAGTTTAAGCAAAAGTGTACAAGAGAAGTCACAGACATGCTTGCTAGTCACATGCTCTGTGTGGCAATGAGTTACTCCCCAGCCATACAGGTCAGAGGCCAAACAGTCTCCCGATTCCACCGTTTTTGTTCTGCTTATTGTGGATTTTCTGGCAGGAAATGGAAATTTGGTTGATAATTACCAGGCGTACAGATAAGGTTTCCTCATTAAAGTCTCATAAAACCGCGAAAATAAATCATTGCAAGTGAAGAGGGAAAGAAAATCTTCTGTTTAGACTTTTCTGTGACCATTTAGGCCAATTATTTTTTGTCTGCCAGCCCAGTGGCTTTATTTTCAGCTAGTGTGCAGGCTGATCATCAGAAGAAAGAATTTAGCGACCTCACAGAACTTTTCTGATTTTCAGTTAATGGTTTGGTATGTCAAGGACATGCTGAGCCTGGCAGAATAAATTATGAAACTGCAGCTGAGGAAACACAGCAGAGGAAACCTGCATAATACATGTCTGCAGATATGATATAGACATAAATAAATACTACAATTCTGAGAAAATCAGAGGGGTCCATTTGGTCTGTCCTGGAGGTCAAAGCTGTTCAAAAGTCACAGAAATGGTGATAATCCCAAATAAGACTCAGCTAAAAACTGGAACATACAACCTTTCCCACTCCCCATCTGGTGGAGTTTCTTCCTTTTCTGAACATCAATTCCAGGTATGGGGGACCCTTACATCATTCGGTTTCTCCCAGGAATTCCTCTGCAAGCATTTCCCAACTCAGCTACAAGTCAGGAGCTTTCCAATTTTTCTACCATAATTTCTCTGGTCCCAAGTCTTAGCTTTTCTGCATTCTGGAAAAAGGTGTTACTGCATCCATACATGTTAGCAGTAGCCTTCAAGGTTTCACCTAGGGTTCCTGAAAAGTATGTCACCCTTGGTATGTTACGCCTTTTTCCAGGGGAGCTGATGCCTAGAGCTCATATCCTCATTAGACTGCCTTCGCAAGAGCAGGGAAAGAAACACACTCTCGACTAATTTAATACTTTCAGATTACAAGGAATCCAGATTACTAATGAGTCAAGTTGTTAAAATGAAGATTCTCAGAGCAGATGACTGGGAGGCAAGGTGACCAACTGCCAGGGTTTCCTGGGACTGGGGTTCCCAAGAGGTGAGATTTTTGGTGCTAAAGCCAGGCAAACTTGGACAAATTGATCACCAGTGGACCAGAGACGTTCGCAGAAACTCAAGACAATGTTCATTTCACACTTTCTTAAGAGACTGAACTCTATTATAAGCAGTGACTGCAAAGTACCCAAACATAAGGAGGTTGTGATTTGGCCGTCGTTTCCTTGCCGTCAGTGGCAAGTAGAAAACTAGGCATGGAGGTCGAGATGCAAGCCTTCGTCTGCTCCAAATGTCTCTGTGACTACAGGTTTTGTCACTCCACCAAAAGGAACTGGCCAGTTTTAAACGCTTATTCTTAAAGATGGTTGAGGCCAGGCACGGTGGCTCACACCTGTAATCCCAGCACTTTGGGAGGCCAAGGCGGGCAGATCACCTGAGGTCAGGAGTTTGAGACCAGCCTGGCCAACATGGTGAAAGCCTGTCTCTACTAAAAATACAAAAATTAGCCAGCCGTGGTGGCAGGCGCCTGTAATCCCAGCTACTCAGGAGGCTGAGGCAGGGAGAATCTCTTGAACCCGGGAGGTGGAGGTTGCAGTGAGCTGAGATTGCGCCACTGCACTCCAGCATGGGCAACAGAGCAAGACCCTATCTCAAAAAAAGGAAGAAAAAAAAAAGGTGGCTGAGAAAATGGCTCTGACAGCTCTCGGCAGACCAGATGCCCTGTACAAGGTGCTCATACCGTGACGATCCATGAGGATGACCAGCCACTGGGACATTGTTTTGTCTTCTACTGAAAATATGCATTTCCTCTTTTCCACCTTTCTAAGTGTGTGGACTAGTCAATAGCTTTTGTGTGCTGCTTGTCATCTGTTACCTGTGCTTTCAAAGGAGCCCTAGAACAGCCTCCCCTAGACCCAAACTGCCCGGCCCAGTGGACAGACACACCCCTCCCCACCCCCTCTGCCCCGTCCTTTCTTTCTGTCCTCATGCTCAGGTGCTGTAACAGGCAGGGTGGGCGTGGCTGGAGAAAGGAAAGGCAGCACTCTGGGGTCCAAAGTCCGGTGCATGCCTCCCTCTTGCAACCTGGCACCTCTTCCAGGGCTGTGTCCTGAGCTTTTGAAGCTTGCAGCCCAGAAAGTTATTTTCCATATAATCGTGTGCAGATCCCTACTACCCAGCTAACTGTATTCACTTCCTTCTCCATCTTATTTGCCAAGGCAGTGTGCCTATTTTCCTCTCTTTTCAGGAATTACATTAATGGCACAGTGCCGGCTTCAAGGAGTTTCCACTGAAGAGCACTGGAAGTGACTGATGCACTGAAGGGACAACGGGCATTGTCTCACCCCCATCTGAATGTGTGTCTTGGTCCTCTTCATCTCTGAAAACATACAGGCAAAAGTTTATGTCTAAATCCAAGTGTCAAGAACCCAGAGTTAGTCCCTGGTTCATTTGAACCTTCATGGAAGCAACAATTTTGGAGCTGTACCTTCAGGGCTCCCATCATCTGCCATGTATGAAATAGATTTGTTAAGGGTTGTGAGTGACACCGCAGAGGGGCCATCCATGCTCATCATTGTCCAGATGACTTGTCCTTGCAGAATGTCAGGCGTGTTGTCAGCAATGTTTGTTGACTGAACACAGGAAAATGTGATTCTCCTACCTCCTCCTGCATTCATGCTCTTGTTCCCATTGGCTGTGATTTCATGACTGATAAAACTTGGAAGAGTGCAGCCAGGTGCAGTGGCTCACACCTGTAATCTATCCCTTTTGGAGGCCAAGGTGGGAGGATTGCTTGGGCCCAGGAGATGGAGACCAGTCTGTGCAATGGACTATGGGTCTATGGAGACCTTGCCACTACAAAAAAAAATTGAAAAGATTTTTTAAATGAAAATTTAAAAAAAAAAACCCTGGGAAGACTGTTAAATAAGAATTTAAGCAGAAAGAAACTATTGGCTATGTGTTTGACATCCCATTGGAAATTCTGATTCCCTGTCAGTTGTGGGCCAGACCCCGTACATGACACTGTGGCTGTGGAAGACTCTGAGCACACGCAGCACAGCCTCTGGGTGATCCTGCACTGCTAAGCAGACAACAAGGCCATCCAAACCTTGGAGGCTGCTGTATCCACACAAAGCATCCACCTGCTTATATTACAGAAGCATAATCATGGGAACAGGGCTTTTTGAAAACAAGAAAAGGCAGGAAGGGGGAAAAGAGAAACTTTACAGTGGAGGAACCTGACAAACACTACTAAGCCAGTGATCAAGGTTAGTATCAACAGTCATAAGTTATGTTGCTATGTGCCCCTGATGGGGTCTGATGAAAATACCACTTTACCTCTGTGACTTTTCTTTCAAAGACCCATAACCCCTGTTTAATCATAAGAAATGCATCACAGTCCAGTCACGGAGCATCCTACAATACACCTGAGCAGCGCTCCTTAAAACCGTCAATGTACCATCAAAAACAAGGAATGTCGGAGAAACTGGCACAGGCGGAGCTTGACAGACGTGACAACTCCGTGGAATCCCGTGTCCTGGATGAGATTCTAGGACCGCAAAAGGACATTAGGAAAAAACTCAGGAAATGTGAATAAACTAGACTTTAGTTAGTAATAATGTATCAGCACTGGTTCCTTAATTACGACAAATGTACCACTCGAATGTAATGTTAATAAAAAGGGAAATTGTGAAGACCATGGAGACTATATGGGAACTCTATGTACTATCTGCTTAATTTTCCTAAATCTCTGCTAAAAATAAAGTCCATTAATAATAATAATAGTAATAATAATAAAGCACATACCAGGCACTGGTACTATTTTGCCAAGGTGAAGGGAGATGCCAAGAATAAATAAGGTCCCGCCATACCCTGCACACGGGGCTAAGGAGGGAATGGTTAATAATCTTACTAGGTTTACTGGTTTCCACTTCGTCTACTTACTAATGTACCAAACAGTACATGAAGATAATTATCAGAGAAGCCAGACACGAAGGTCACACGCTGTATGATTCCATTCTTATGAAGTATCTGAAATAGGGGAATCCAAAGGACACAAAACGCAGGGGCCGTGGCGAGGGGAATGAAGAGAGACTGCTTCATGGTTAGTGGGTCTCCTTTTGGGGAATGAAAATGTTTTCAAACTAGAGAGAGGTGATGGTTGCGCAACACTGTGAATTGCTAAATGCCACTGAATGGTCTACTTTAATTTTATGGTTAATTTTATGCTATGTGAGTTCTACCTCTGCAAATCATAATTAACGACAAGAAAATAATTTAGTAACTTAAATATAAAATAATTTTGAGGTCATTTAATGATGATAAAAAATGAAAACGTGATGCTTTTTGTCTACCTGCTTTTTTTCCTCTGCCAGGATTCTGGATGTCAACTGGGCAGTATTGTAAAACTGTTAATGAACAAATAAAATCATAGTCATTTTCATTTGGAAAAAAAAAGAGTCAGGACACAGTTATTAGTCAAAAAAGGGGTCTGGCTCCAGGACAACATATTTGGAACTGGACATCCGTCAGTGATGGGAGAGGACCAGGGCTCCTTAATTTCCCAGGCCTGAGTCCTTCAGAGGTGTGGGACCTCCAACCAGCGACTTGAATTTCGTGGTTGTTACCGTCTTTGTCTATAAACTGTGGAGAGGGGCAGGGTGGGCATTAAAAGACCCTACCAGGGAGAAAATCCAAGGGTTCTCAAGCAAGACTTTCAGTGGACCGTTGCGTGAGTGAGTGTGAGCAGGAAGAGAGAGGAGAGAACGGGCCAGGGTCATGGATGCAAATTTTATCTGCTGGACTAAACTGACCAGGTGTTCTGGTTTCATGTAAACCCAGCAGGGAAGACAGGCAATGCAATGTGTAAGGTTTTAAGTGCAACATGGAGCTGTTTCAAGGATTTCCTGACATACTTAGGCCATGATAACAGGGCCCTGGGATACGGCAGTTTTCAGAAGGATGTGCTGGGAGCAAATTTAATCTTGTGCCTGGTTTTGGGGGCTCTTCTTTCCTTTCCAGCCATCTCTCCAGAAGCGTTCTCTCCCAGCCCAGCCTTCCCTGCCTCTCACCAGGGCTCAGGAAGTCCTCTGCTATGGAGAGGGCTTAGGCAGAGGCCTTGGGTGCTCCACAGATGGCAGATGGCTGTTCCTCCCTCTCTGCTCTGCAATGCCCTTTCCTGGACAGGTGATGCTGAGTGGTGATGCGTTAACTGCCCCTGGGCAGGGAACTAATGCCTGAAAGATCTCACTAGAATGCGGGAGGAGGGAGCTTTGAGGCAGGGCTGTGAGGTCTTTTTCCCCCCTGCCCCACACAGCTGGTCACCTCCTCCACACATGGGGCCAGCCCAGGGTGAGGCGCTAATCCTGAGACTTGCCCCTTCTCAGATTTCTTTCCACTCAGAGGAGCGAGTAGGCCATCCCTCATGAAGCCTACGCAAGGCAAAGCTTCCCAGCAAGGGCCCCGATGGCCTAACTCAGAGCTCCCGCTTCTGTCCCTCCTTCCAAGTCCCAGTCTTGGAAGGTGCAATGGGGAAGAGAAAGTCATGATTCCCATGTTCAGGGCAAGAAGAGGAAATCGAAAATCTTTTGCTCTTTCAACAATGCTGAAAGGCAACAGAAGCCAAATCACGGCAGAACCTGAGTCTGCCACTTAATGTACAAAACTCGCTAGAGGAGCAGTTCACCCTCCATATCTGTGGGTTTCCCATGCATGGATTCAACCAATGGCGGACTGAAAATATTTGAAAAGAAAATTGCATCTGAACACGTCCAGACTTTTTTCCCCTTGTCATTAGTCCCTAAACAATACACGATAACAACTCTTTACATAGCATTTGCATTGTAATGGGTATTATAAGTAATCTAGAGATGATGTAAAGTGTGTGTGTATAGAAGGATGTGAGTAGGTACAAGTATTGCACCTTTTCGTATCAGGGACTTGAGCATCCTCAGATTTTGGTACCCATGGGAGTCCTGGAACTAATCCCCCTTGGATACTGAGGGACAACTGTATTTATAATTCACCTGAATTGTAAATATATTTTCTCATTCTTGGGATTTTCTTTCTCTTTTTCTGTATTTTAAAAATAGACACAGAGTCTTGCTCTGCCACTCAGGCTGGAGTGCAGTGGTGCAGTCACAGCTCACTGCAGCCTTCACCTCCCGGGCTCTGGTGATCCTCCCACCTCAGCATTCCGAGTAGCTGGAGCTACAGATGCCTGCCACCACGCCTGACTAATTGTTTATGTGTATTTTTTGTAGAGGTGAGGTCTTGCTATGTTGCCCAGGCTGGTCTTAAACTCCTGGGCTCAAGTGATCTGCCCACCTTGGCCTCCCAAAGTGCTGGGATTACAGGTGTGAGCCACCACAACCAGGCTTTCTTGTAATTTTGTTAATAACTTTTTTTCTCCAGTTTTCTTTCTTGTAAGAATAGAGAATATAATAAATATAACACAAAGTATGTGTTAATCAACTGTTTATGTTATTGGTAAGACTTCCGGTCAACAGTAGGCTATTAGTAGTTAAGGTTTTGTGGAGTCAAAAGTTATACATGGATTTTTGACCGCACAAGGGGTTGGACCCCTACCCCTGTCTTGTTAAAGGGTCAACTGTATATGCAGGATGCTGTGAGAGCATGAGGGGAAAGAATTGAGCCTTTGCATGGGGGTTAGGGGACATTCCCAGGAGAAGAGACCCCCAGGGCTGAGCCTGGAAGGACCTAAGCAGGTTGAGGCAGCACCCAGGGCCTGGGGAGAGCAACACAGTCACCAAATGAGGACCCTGGCAGAATCCATTCCAGGAACCTTGGGTAGCTCTGTTTGGTTTCCCTGCAGCTCTGAGTCTTCAATCTCTCGAGAGTGGAATGGCACCGAGATGGTGGAGTGGGGCTGAGGTTCAATCCAGTCCTGCCCCTGACACCTATTAGCTATGTGTAAACCCCCGTGAGCCCGCACACCCCCGCCCCCTACACATTTTGGTGTAAGTGCTCAAGAGTTTTCCTACCCCTTACCTTAGAATCAAGAGGTCTCAGCGGTACACAAAGATCTTAAAGGCCTGCGGTCAACAAGGCAGCACCCCAGGGGCCCCCAGGAGCTGGTTCACATCTCAGTGGAAAACCTGACTCAGGTCTTTCTAGGTCTTCAAGCTTCACTTGGGGAACCGTGTCTTCTGCACTTTGCGAACGCTGGTCCCCACCGCAGCACTTCCGTCACTAAGTGTTTACTGGGAAATACTGAAGTGAGAAAGTTAGAACAATATTGTTAAGAGTTTCATTTTTTATGATGCAAAATTTATTCAATGACAAAATTCACCCTTAATTTTGACAGTGTATGTTCTCCCTGCTGGGAGGAGGTATGTGACATTATACGTCCTTTTTAACGAAATGGTTGTAACAGTAGATGACAGGATTTTTTCAAATGCCTTTTCTTGGCAAAATTATCATTTGGTAACTCCTGTCAAACTCTTAGTTTTTATTTTGACTGTTCCCAGTTGATGAAATCTCAAAATCTGGGGATCATTGAATTGGTCATTCTAGAACTGAAGTTCTGGGACTAGGTCTCAACTCTCTCTTCTTAGTCAGAAGTAATAGATTAGGCCTATGGCTCAATTCCGAGGTACTTAAGATGCATTCCTGTGGGGTCTGCCAGGATAGCACAGACTATGCTATAGTAACAAATTAAGCATAAAATCTCAAAGGCTTAATACAAAAACAAAATTATTTCTTACTCATTACACATCCACCATGGGTCAACAGGGGTTTGTATACTCCGCAAGGTCATTCAGGGACCCAGGCTGATGGAGGCTTCACTATTTATAGCTGCACTTTCTGAATGTGCTTAGAAAGTGCACATGACCTCCGAAGACACCATGAAATGTGAAGAGAGGACTGAAAAGCCATGTAGGAGCTTTTATGTCCAGGCCTAGAAGTGACAAACCTTACTTCTACCCAAATCCCTTTAGTCAGAACTCAGTCATCCTAGCCCAGTCTGCCAGTAAGGGAGGCCAGGAAATGCAGGGGAGCACGTGGATATTCAGTAAATACTAAATGCTTCTGCCGTATCAGGACTATAATCGGAAAGAGAAACTGAACAGGTAAATAAAGGCAAGACAGCAGAGCATTTTTATTTCCAGGTTAAAATGTTAGCACACTACCCTATAGGCATCAGAGAACATGAGGGGATTTAAAACAATTAAACTAGTCCCAGTATGAAGAACGGATTAGAAGGAGAGGCACTAGAGTCAGGGAGACGAATTAAGAGATGTTCTAACAGTGTTGGCATTTGGTAACAAGATCTGCATTAGTGTGATCTAAAGGGGAGTGAAAAGTAGGGATGAGCATGAAATTTTCAGCCGAAGATTAATTACATGGAAGGTCAGGATTGAAAATCCAGATTTTGGAGTCAAGAGGCAATACTTGAAACCAAGAGACCCTGCCAAAGGAGAGAGGAGGGGGCTCCACGCAAGCTCTGCTGCCCCTTGGCAAGGCAGTGTGTGGGGGCGCGGACGGAGACCGAGACTTCAGCTTCCTCGAGGGAGGTGAGTGTTGAGAGGGCGAGATTTAGACTCGAGCATTCTGTCTTTCTGAAAATGACTTACGTAACCTTCAGATAAAGGGACCAAGAATAAAATCAAGATTTGTATTTCTGTATAAGTTTGGGGCTTTCTATATTTTTTCAACTTATCTAAATTGAAGACATATTACCCTTGTAATAAGATTATAATGATTTAGTTTAAAAAAGAAAAGAAGAAAAGTAAGATGTCAAATGAAAAGCAAATTTCCTTCTCCATCTACTGTAAAACTAACAATTTTCCCCTGAAAGTCATGTGCATTCTAGTCCCGTGTCTTCCATCCTCACATGCATTTCCTGAGAACCCAGCACCCCATGGGAACTGGATGTGAGGGCTGCTATGAATGAATACATCACAGCATACACACAGAAGCACAGACCACATCGTCACGGGCGACTCAGTGACTCGCTGTCCATCTTTATCAAACCATTCTCCCACCCATAAATTGATGAATTACACTTACTGTTTGGAATAGAAAATATATGCACTGGATGCGTGAGAAATTTTCCTTTCCTTTTCTTCTTCTTTTTTTTTTTTTGAGACGGAGTTTTGTTCTTGTTGCCCAGGCTGGAGTGCAGTAGGTATGGTCTCAGCTCACTGCAACCTCCGCCTCCTGGGTTCAAGCGATTCTCATGCCTCAGCCTCCCAAGTAACTGGGACTACAGGCGCCCACCACCACATCCAGCTAAATTTTTTGTATCTTTAGTAGAGACAGGGTTTCACCATGTCGGCCAGGCTGGTCTTGAACTCCTGACCTCAGGTGATCCGCCCACCTCAGCCTCCCAAAGTGCTGGGATTACAGGTGTGAGCCACAGTGCCCAGCTTTATTTTCCTTTTCTACTCTTCCTAAACCCCTTAGGCCACGCACTTCACATTTTTATTTAATGAAGCTACTCTTTAAATACCAGGCATTGCAAAATATGAGCTGTTGGGTGTAAGACAAGGGTGACCCATTCAGAACACAGAGGAATAAGCAGAATTATCCCACTGCTGTTTTTTGTTGTTGCTGTTTTTTTAAAAAGCTCACAGTGTGCGGCACTGGCAGAATTAAGAGTCTGTTGTCTTTGTGTATAAAGAATGACACCCTATTGAAAACACAACGTGTTCTGGGTTCATGTTTGACAGCCTCAATCCATGGATCACTTTAGGAGTCTCCTGTATCAATACTCACGATAAACAAAGTGATAAAAGACCCCGGAGCTGCAGAGCAGTGTGCTTAAAAATGTGGGCTCTGGATTTAATCAGATTAGAATGCAGAATCTGCCTCAGCCACTCACTCGCGAGTGACCCTGGGCAAGTCACGGAGCTCTCTGTGCCTCGGTTTCCTCACCTGTGAAATGCCAATAACGCCTCCCACCCCCTGGGGCTGCTGCAACTATTGAAATTCACAAGCACGTCAAGTGCTTAAGCACCTGCCTCACACAGGATGAGTCGTCCCCAGATGGAGAGCCTTTTAAAAAACTGCCTCATCGGCAAGAAACGGACCCTCAAATGTCTCAGTGACAGGCACGGGGCTCGGCACAGGCAGAGCCATCCCCACACAGCCCTGGTTCCCCGAAGCTCCTGACACGTGGTGGGAGATAAGCTTTTTCACACTGAGGGGAGCACAGCAAGCTCAGCTTAGCTCAGTGTTGGAAGTTTCGGGTGGGAATGTATAGGGGACCTGCACAGACCAGGGCACAGTAGGTAGCAGCTTGGCCAGTCTTGGCCCTAGCAGAGAGGTCAGAGAGCAACGCAGTTCTAGAGCTGCCATCATGGGTCCCTGGTTGGGATTTCCCATGGCCTTCTATGCGAGGGATTTGCCATATGGGGACACTGTCATTCCAGGGCTGTGGCTGAATCGCCAACTCTGCCTTATGCCTCTGTTTAGCCACCGATGGCCTACAGGATCTGCCTTTCCTCCACCGCATGGAACTCCCAAGAAAGACCTGCAGCTGTGGCAGGCACCAAAGGCAGCTTGCATGTATCTAAAGCAAACTGGTTATCTGAGAATTGCAATACATGCCTTTTTTTTTTTTTTTTTTTTTGATGATGGTTGGGGGAGGTGTCTAAGATGCTTCTGAGGCTGTTGGCCCCTAGTGCAAGTTTGAAACATTCAGGCGCCATGTATTTCTCTATTTAAGAACGTTGATTTGGGATATTTCAAAGCTGACCATTGATTTCTCTTAGCACATAGTAAACAATTCTAAATGTCATTGATCAGAAAACTAACAACTAGTTATTTCAAATTCCATCAAAGTGCACCATTCAATGATGTTTTTCTACAGTATGAAATGTGATAGACTAGAAACTTTTCTATAACATAAAATGATAGTAATTATACAATTCCATGAAAAGAGAAAGGGGCAATAACAGTTAAGGATTTTGGAAACTGTTTTCTGTTCTACCAGTGTTCATTGGGCTTTGTCTTCCTTTGCAAATCTCCAAAAGAGAAATGTGATTTATTTTTTCCAGTTTCAAGGGTATGTACATGCCATGTAAGCTGTCTCTCAACAAACTAAGATGACTTTGAAAATGTCTGTAATCCAATTAAAATCAATATGGGGCAATCTCAGGAAGACAGGGACTTGGATGTGATTTAACAAAGGAACAGGTATCACTTGTACAATGCCTTGACTGGAGAAAGATTGTCGACCAAGGCCTGTGGCAAGCAGGTGCTCAGTAAATATTTTTATGTGTATGACTTGCTCAATGAGTCCAGAACTCAGAAAAGAGGTAAGGCCAAATAATCAGGGATTGGCAAGATTGATGGGGCACAACCCATGCAGAGAGACAAGGGATTGACAGACACAAATCCAGCCAGGAGAGGCTCACAGGCCACTGTCAGCAGGGAGTCACTTCTTGTGCTGAAATCTTTGCTCACCAAGCAAGCTACTGATCGTGCATTTAAATTCTCAGGTGAAATTCTAACTGGAAAATGGGATGGGGTATGAGCATTTTGATCCCCTGGAAAGGGCTAAATATATGGGAAGCAGTGAAAAATGTTAACTGTGAAATATCTTCAGAATCAGTATCCAGAAATCTCCCATTTTTCCCCATTCTTGTTTATTTTCATACCCCATTCAGAACTCCTGTTGACTTTAAATCAACTCAGAGCCTTGGGAAGCAATTTGTCGGAAGATGAAAATCAACAACAAAATAGGACTTTAGGTCCAAACAATTCTCCTTTAAACCCTTTGTGCATGTGATTATCTGATTTGCCTCCCCCCAACATAATCTTTCTTAATTAAATTTAAAATCATGGTTTCTGTTCACTTTTCAAAAATTGTGTAAAATAAACAATGCAGCAGACATTAGCTACCCTGCTGCTTGTGAGAATTGGCCCGTTGTCTTCCACGGTATGGCTTTCCATCTATAGCATTCTTTCGGGCATCGCATTAGAAATTGCAAGCAGAATGTGCATCACTATCCATATAGGTAAAGTGTAACATTTAGAAACTTACTACTCTGTCCCTGCAGTGAGAGAGCAATATTAATTACCTTGCTCCTGGCATGGAAAATGATGAAAATGACCTGCACAATGAGGATGTCAAACTGTCTTTTTTAATCTGACACCTGGACTGGAAATGCTAGGAATCTATGACACTTATAATTAAATACCTAAGATTATCAAACACAAGTTCAGACAAGGCTAATTTAGAAATTATTATCAAGACTCACTGAGGAACATTCATAATTTGGGAGAAAATAAAAGATTAAAATGGCAAAGAGCCCCACAGAGGGACCAAGTACATGGTTTCCCCTTTTAGAAATTGAACTGAAAGTCAAAGACATTTGCTTTCTTTAGAATAAAATCACATTAATTAAAAGATGTGTGTGATTAAGAAGAATCTTTGGTATTGAGGTGTTTTCAGAGAAGAGCTGCTGTTCCAATGGAGGAAAAGGGGAAAATTTTAAATTCTGGATCTCTCTTCTTCTCTTATCTTTTGATAAAGAACAAGGAGGTTACCTCTAACATTTTGTGTTAAACTCAGCTCATTGCTTGACGCCATGTTGGCATTTATTCCCACGTAGAATAACATTAAGACAGGAAGTAGTGAAAGATACAAGTACCAGACTATGAGAAAACCAGGATCTATCTTAAGATATTCTCAAACTCTCAAGAAGCTTCAAGTACATCCCAAGTCATCCTTCTTTAAATTAAAAAAAAGGAAAGAAAAATCCAGAAAAGTACTTTTTATATCAAGTTATTTTCTCCTCAATATCTTAACTGGCCAAGAGAAAATTCCCAACTTATCTCAAATGAATTGTCCATGTCTATTTGAAATATTAGAATCCAAAATATGCATAACTAAGGTATTTTTGAACATGGTATTTTGAACCAAAGTTATGGGAGTGAGAAGCAATATTAACAGAACAGGCTGGGCGCAGTGGCTCACGCCTGTAATCCCAGCACTTTGGGAGGCTGATGTGGGTGGATCACGAGGTCAGGAGATCGAGACCACAGTGAAACCCTGTCTCTACTAAAAAAATACAAA
The DNA here is from genome assembly GCF_000001405.40 of Homo sapiens. Taxonomy (NCBI): domain Eukaryota; kingdom Metazoa; phylum Chordata; class Mammalia; order Primates; family Hominidae; genus Homo; species Homo sapiens. The sequence goes on along the minus strand of NC_000004.12, from coordinate 184,054,056 downwards.
AAATTAGCCAGGCAAGGTGGCGGACACCTGTAGTCCCAGCTACTCAGGAGGCTGAGGCAGGAGAATGGCGTGAACCCGGGAGGTAGAGCTTGCAGTGAGCTGAGATTGCGCCACTGCACTCCAGCCTGGGCGACAGAGCAAGACTTTGTCTCAAAAAAAAAAAAAGAAAAGAAAAGAAAAAAAAAGAAACAGAAGAACATTACACGCAGGTATAATGACAAACTAAAACCCAGCCAAAATCTAATACATTTCCTTAAAAAAAAAAAACAAACCACTCTGTGTGTTAAATCAGAAAGTTGAGTTTTCAGTTCAGTCACTCATGTTTGGACAATGGCAAGTTCAGGCCCATTAGGAAGGAGGGCGTGGTGCTGAAGGGGGGGTTGGCGGAGGGAGGATTAACCATGTAACTGCTTGGCATCTGTGAACCAACGACAGCTCCATAAAGGCCTGGGAAAACAGACAACAGACTGAGGGAGGGACCTGTGAAGAGCCAGCCTTGGTTTTGAGAGTTTTACATGCAAAAAAGAAAGGAACTGGACCCGCCTGCTCCATAGACAGGGCTCCTCCCTTCCTAGGAGGGTAACCCTGACTTGGGATACGGGACACACAGAGCTTGGAGTGCTGGCAGGCAGGCTACTCCCCCACGATAACTCAATTAAAATGGATTTGCTTCTTGTTTTTGAGATTCCTGTGACCCCTTTAAAGACACAGCCTCTCAATGATACCTCAGATTACCAGCACCATATAATACGTGCAGACGATGCCTCGGGCAGAGCTGCAAAGCAGGCAACCTTTACTCTCTTGGGTGGCCCCAGCTTTCTCTCCCTAAGATTTTACATGATGTTTCTTTCCTCTCTACTTCTGAATGTGCTGGGCTCTGCATGTGACACCAGGAATTGTGATGGGTAGCCCTCCTGCGGCTGTATGTGATATGCACCTGTCGTCATATAGTACTACTCTGGTGCTGTGGTATAGGCGTGTTCATCTTGTGCTGGCCTCGAGGCCCTTCACCACATAGCAGGGCGGAGAGCTCAACTGGAGGAAGTGATTGGGTGGAGGTCAGCCATCAAGGGAAGCTCATCTCTCAAATTTAAAGCTGGAATTTGGAAGGAGAGCCTCAGAGAGAAAGAGAGTCTCTAGGCCTCGACCTTAATGGATGAGTATCCATCTATCTGAGGACAAGCCAATGACTGGGACTTGGGAACTCAGGAACTCAGACAGGGTGACCTCATTTATGGTAGGCCTTTACAGCTGGAAGGTAATTAGCTCAGCCTTTGAAAGCAGGGCTGTTTGAATGCTCATATATGCTATGTTTTATTTTCCATCTGGTCCACCTGTTAGAGCAGTGTTGAGAGCCTTGGTCCATCCAAGCTAGATTAAAGGGAATGTGACAGCAACAGCATCCGGGCTTGAGCAAGAATCTTCAAGTGTGGGTAGCACATCTCTGGGGCCGGGAACAGCAGCAGAGCTAAATGAAGCAAAAGAACCCTAGAAGAAGTCGAAACCCTTGTGAACAGAGCTCAGCCATCCCTCTTGGCAAAAAGGTTCTCTTTCAGCTTCTAAACTTTGATTCTGGATTTGGGATTCTGATTCTTGGTTCTTGATTTTGTTTTAAGAAAGTGGTGACTCTGACACTCCAGGCTCTTTCCCTTTACCTCCTTACAAAACTTGCTCCTAAGGGGGGAACCCCCATATCTATTTCATCAGCAAACACGTATTAAACGCTTTCTGGGTACCGGGCTGCAGGTGATGCTCTGGAGGCTGCACTGTGCCCCACCCCTGCCCTCGGGGAGCTGACAGCCTATTGGTCAGTGCTCATCCCCCAGCTATTTTCATTCTAAGACTGTGAATGAAAACGTTTTAGTCTACATCAAAGGAATAGCTGATGTCACCAGCAGTTGGGTGCCAGTTTTCTGGGCCCTCAGATCTGTGCAAGGCCCATTTGGGGCAGGGATGCCAGCTGACCATATTCTCTCTCATTGCTCTACAGAACTGATGGCACTATGGTACCTAGAACACTACCAGCTAGCTCCGTCGGTTTACCCATCTGTCTCCCTGCCCCACCTGCCAGGCCCATGACTGCACCAAGTTAAATCTCCTAGCAGCAGCTTTAACAATATCTTGCCCTCTAACAAATTTAAATAGACACGGGATACACACAGATTTAGGGTAATAGGCTATATTAAGTTACAATGGCTTTCCTAGCCTTCGGTGAGAGGACTGTGCCAGTAAATCTTGATTCTAAAAGAAGAGTTTAAAAGTCAGCATCTCCCAGCACTCCATCTGAAAGGCAACACTCAGACCAGAAGAAAGAGAAAAGGTAGAATATAAAAATAAAGAAAACGCAAAGGTATCGCCACAGACACACACTGAAAAACAGGATATGTCATCCTCAAGAGAGGAGAACCTAAACCTCCGAGACTACTGTGGGCACCTTCGCCACCTTTACTCTACAGTCAGTGCCCAGGATAAGATAAAAATTTCAGTGCTTAGTCACAATAGCAAAGACATGGAATCAACCTAAATGCCCATCAATGATAGACTGGATAAAGAAAATGCGGTACATATACACCATGGAATACTATGCAGCCATGAAAAAGAATGAGATCATGTCCTTATGCAGAGACATGGATGAAGTCAGACCATGTCAAACCCTGTGATGCTTTTCTATGTCACTCAGGATAAAAGCCAAGGCCCCAGACAGCCTACAAGGCTGGCCTCCTTTGGGTCCTGAGGGGTCTCAGGCTCCCTTACCCCTCTCTTGTGCCAGCCGTGTGGGCCTCCCTGCTGTTTTCCCACAAGCTATGCATGCTCCTGCCTTAGTGATTCCCTCTGCTGGGAACCCCCTTCCCCTAGACAGAGTGGGTCCACATCTAGCCTTCTCCACAAGGCTGACACCGACCACCCCACTGCAAGCTGTGACTTTCCCTACCCCTTCTTTGGGATTCCACATCTGCCAAACCCTGGTCTGCTTTCCTTCCTTGAGTAGCCCACACCGCCATCCAGCCTGTGTCCACTTCTTGGGCTCACTGCTCCAGGCTGGCTCCCTGGGCAGGGAAGTTCTCCTCACCAACTCCTCCCTCTCACCAGACCGTGTCCTCCACACAGTGCTCAATAAACACCTGCCAAATGGGGAGTACAGGAGTGAATGGAAGTATAAAATTCTTTTCAAATGGCAGGTGGATCACTTGAGCCCAGGAGTTCGAGACCAGCCTGGCCAACATGGTGAAACCCCGTCTCTACTAAAAATATAAAAATTAGCTGGGAGTGGTGATTCACACCTGTAGTCGCAGCTACTTGGGAGACTGAGGCAGGAGAATTGCTTGAGCCTGGGAGCTGGAGGCTGCAGTGAGCCAAGATCACACCACTGCACTCCAGCCTTGATGACAGAGTGAGACCCTGTTTAAAAAAAAAAAAAAGTTGTACATGTAAAGGTGCTATTTAATATAGGACATAGAGGAATGTGGACACGTCTGTGCCACCGTAGAGCTTCTAACAGTAAGAAGGCCCCGTCTCCTCAGATATCCGTTCTCATGGTTTCCTCTAGCTGGTTCTTCCTACAAGACTCTTACGAATCCCAATGAACTGCTTCATCTTCTCATTTCTAGATGAGCTATTCATCTTCTTCATGTTTCCCCACCCCAGTAACTCCAAGGTTTATCTCTCTTCCAAGGACTAGGTATTTTCTGGACCATTTCCAAAAGAAAAAGTTTCCACAAAAAATTCCTTCTGGAGTCAGACAATCTGGGTTTGCACCCTGGTTCCACTTTCCTTATCTTTACAATGAAGATTATAATAGTAACTATCCCACGTGGCTGTGTGAGGATGAAAGGAATAAATTAATGCAAATTCCCTAGACCAGCGCCTGGCATATATAGAAAGAACTTTCTGTGTTGGCTATTTTTATTCTCAGTATTACTGAATCATGAAGAAAATCATCTGATGTAGACATACACTGTGCTACTTTAACTTGGTTTTAAACGGTATCGATCAACATAACCGAAAGTAAAGCAAAACAAAAATAAAAATTCAATCTGCATCACGCAAAATATCTGGACAGGTCTTCACCAAACTTGGAGTTATCTGACTTTCATATAGAATTAGTGGCATGGTCGAAACTCACTTTGGAAAAGTGCCAAAGGAAATTTCAACAGGATGGGTAGTCATTGTCCAGAACAGCCCAAACTCGAGTATATAAGACTCATAGAACCAAAAATGGAGAGAGGTGTTGTGCAAATATTGAGATGTGATGGACGGAGAAAACCTGAGTCATTTTGGACATGAGGCCTAAACTGCAAGTCGCAAGGGCAAACACTCCTACCTGCCCATACTGAGTTGCTTTCAAGCAATGTGCCACGTGAGCAACTACATGCAGGCTGGCCCAGGTGAGAGACAGAGGGTAGTTTATTTAATAATTGTTCATGCTGGCCGGGCACGGTGGCTCATGCCTGTAATCCTAGCACTTTGGGAGGCCGAGGTGGGCGGATCACCTGAGGTCAGGGGTTCCAGATCAGCCTGGTCAACATGGTGAAACCCCGTCTCTACTAAAAATACAAAAATTAGCCAGGCGTGGTGGCGGGCGTTTGTAGTCCCAGCTACTCGAGAGGCTGAGGCAGCAGAATCGCTTGAACCTGGGAGGTGGAGGTTGCAGTGAGCTGAGATCATGCCACTGCACTCCAGCTGGGCAACAGAGTGAGACTCCATCTCAAAATAATAATAATAATAATAATAATAATAATAATAATAATAATGTGTTAATGCTTTTCCAAAGCAACTCTAAGGAGATCATTTATCAGGTTAAAACAAATCAGCCCCTTTAGAGAAAAAAAGTTAAATTTTCACTAAGATCAAGTCTCAGGAAACATGCTGAAAACTCATGAAAGTCATGAGTTTTGGGATTTAAGGTGAACCCACAAGTAGGGGAGAGATGTATAACAGGATTTAAAAATGATAGGTGACCTTAGAAATGATCATTTTGCAGTTGAGAAAAATTAATAAATTGAAAGGTTAAGTCCATAGCAAAAAGAGAAAATCTTCTCCCTCTTGAGACACCATCAAAATGCAAGGATAATGAAAGATTAAAAAATATATTAATCTACAATGTCAAAGAGACTAGAGAGTAGCTATCTGCCGATGAGTGATTTCAACAAAAATTTCAACAATAAGGCAGAAAGCCAGTGGAGAAGTGAGGAATGACATATATAAGGTGGAGGAGGAGGCAGCATAGTGCTCACTGGGGGTATCTGGATCACAGGGAGTGGTAGCTGGTCCTTCAGGACTCCTCAGAGCCCTAGGAACCGGATACTTTGGTGTGGCAAAAGTGCAAGTGAAATTTAAGGCTGAAAACAAATGGATTTTTTAAAGATAAATAAATTAAGGAATCAATGTCCCTGGCCTATTACACAGAATGCTGTTACCTAAGCATTTGTGCTTCTGAAGCTAACAAATAAAAGGTTTCACTTTTGGAAATTAAATATCCACCCACTACCCCTTGCCCCCCAAAAGACCTTCACATTCAGGGTTTTGATGAATTCCCAGTGTAACAACTGCCTTCCTGGCTGATCATCCTAAAACACAACCCTACCCACACATACAAAAACATACGAAGCTCCTGATCTAATTTTAGAATCTTCTTCTTCTTTTTTTTTTCTTTTTTTAATAGGTGGGTCTCTCCATGTCACCCAGGCTGGCCTCAAACTCCTGGGCTCAAGCGATCCACCCACCTCAGCCTCCCAAAGTGCTGGGATTGCAGGTGTGAACCACCATGCCTGGCTGAACCTTACTCTTAAATATGAATGAGCAACCTAGGATCAATAAAAAAATATAAAAAAGAGAATTCATGATAAGCAGACAGGAAACATGATCTCAAAAGGAAGGGTTAATGTAGGAAGCAGGAAAGAATTAAAACACAAAAACTATGATATTCTCAAAGAAATTAAAGAAGATATTGCATGTATAAAATGGAATCAGGATGTTTTGACAAAGGAATGGGTAGGAAACAAAATAAAAGGCCTCATAAAAATATGAGAGCCAAGATGAAAAAATTCAATAGGGTAATTGGAAAGAGTCAAGGAAACCTAAAAAATAAAACTGAATAACAAAGAGATGGTATGAGAGAGACAAAAAGAAACCCAGAGAAATATTACCCAAGGCAGCATATACGATACCTGAGGCAGATGGTGGATACGAAGAACAAAGATTCTAGTTCTTTGTAGATTTTTTTTTTTAACTGAAACAATCAACTATCAAAGGATAAATAAAAATTTCTGGAGTAAAAAAAAATCTAGGCATAAAAATTGTAAAAGCTCACTATATTTCATGCATAATTTATAAAAAGATACCTACACCTATGGAGAGTTCTAAGTTTTGAGGAAAATGGCAGCCAATTCCACATCTCCTCCCATACCCTCCCAGAAAAACACAATGCAACATAACCAAAACATAAAATTAACAAAGAAAGCGAATACACCACTAGTACTCATGCTTTCAGTATTATAAAGAGGAAGAGAATCCCATGACCTTCAAATTACTTGTAAAGAGATTTTTAAAAACTCCAACAAAGCCCTGACTACCCACCTGCCACTGCAAGCCTGTGGGTATGGCAAACAGGAGAGGAGAGGCTTAAAAGTCTGTGAAAAACAGTAGGTGGTAGTAAAGAATTTAGATGAAGTACAGATAAGATCACTCCCAGAGAGAGAAAGTGAAATAATACATGTCAACATACTAAACTGAGATCACAATCAGATAGTTCTCAGCTCTTGCTACAGAGAATTGGCCTGAAAAGAGCAGAATTAGAGCAGAATCAGAGCAGGACAGCTTCCAGGTTATAATCAAATACATGAGGAAGTGAAGGAAATAAATAATAAGATACCATGTGGTAATGAAACATAAGAAATTTCAACACTTCTCCCCAGCCTGACCTACCACCACCAACTTCATCTCTAAAAGAAACTACACAGCAGAGATGAGAACTGACAGGAGAGAGTGATGGTGAACTACAATCTCTGCCCATGAAAAGAATAGGAATAGGAAAATGCAGCCACATTCATATAAAAGTATTATATAAGACAGAACAAGTTCACTAAGGCTCTTCTGTTTATAAAAAATATCCTCCAAAAATCTAAATATGAAGCTAAAGAAAATTGTAACATAACACTCCAAACAGAACTAAATATCTTCAAACAAGCATCTGGGATATTAAAATCAACCCAATTAAGAATATAAAAGCTAAAAAGAGAAATAGCCAAAACAAACCAACAAAAAACCCAGAAGAAATAAAATAAGGATTTATCCCAGGAAAAAATAGCAAGACAGTATTATATCAGAACTGAAAACTGAATTTCAATGTGTCAAGGTAAGAATATATTCAAAGGAAAAAAAAAGAATAAAAAAATAAATAAATAAAAAATAAAAAAGAATAAAAAAATCCTTTGAATAAAGGATAAAAAGAATATACTCAAAGGATAACCAAATAAAAGAATAAAAAAAGAATAAAAGAATAAAAAAATAAAAAATAAAAAAGAATTAAAAAAATCCTTTGAATAAAGGATAAAAAGAATATATTCAAAGGATAACCAAATAAAAAACACTGAAGAAGAGCAAGAAAAAGCCAAGAGAATGAAAGCAGGATAAAGAAAAAAACAAAAACAAAAAGAAGTTTAAGAAAAAGTGATTGAAATGGAAGAGAGGCAAAGCAGGTATAACATACATATAATTGGCAACAATGCAAAAGAAAATCAAAACAAGGAAACAGAACTAATATTTAAAACGATAATCCAAGAAAAATGTCCAGAAATACAAGAAGAATTGAATCTACACATTTAAAAAGTCCACCTGGTACTAGGAAAAATTGACACAGAATGATCCACTCTAAAATATATCCTAGTAAAATGATAATATCTGATTTTAAAGATAAGGAAAATATTCTCAGGGCCTCTAAGCAAAAAGATAAAGTAACTGAAAACGCAAGAGAACTAGACTGGCATCAGACTTCCACAACACAAGGCAACTATGGTGCAGGATTTTCAAGAAATGTAAAGAAAGTTAAAAAAAAAAAAGGACATTATATCTAAACAAGTTGTCTTTCAGGTAAAAGGCAAGAGAAAAAGTTTTAAAAGTGCCAGGGATCAGGGAATGCTATATACATGTGCCCTTTCTGATGAATCTATCAGAAGATGAACTTCGTCCAACCAAAAACTGATGGGGATTTCAATAAATGGCTTAAGTCACCTATTACGTGAAAAATATTTTTAAATTGACTTATAAACAAAATCCAACACTTCAATGTAAAAAAGAGATATACCTGAACACAGTGACTTGAAAGGCTAAAAATAAAGAGATCCATTCCTCACATGCTACATAAGAATAAAATCCAAATAGATCAGAGATCCAAAGGTAAAAATATATATATTTAACTCTAGAAGTATCTTAGGAAAATATGAGTAAATTCGTCCATAACCTGGTTTTTGGGAGAAACTCTCTAAACATGTAATGAGAAAAAGATTGATAAATTTGACTACATAAAAAGAAAATACTTTTAAATGACAAAAAATAAGCAAAGATAAATGACAATCTAGGAAAGAATATTTGCAATATTTATCTCAGCTAGAGCCAATATTTTAAAGAAACAAACAACTTTTATAAATTGAGGGAGAAAGCCCAAAATCATATAGAAAGTGGGCAAAAGACATGAATAGGCAATTCATAAAATGATTAAACATGACTCAAGCATATGAAAAGATGTACTCTGTTGGCAACTCTATGAAGAAACAGGCACTTTTCACACACCGCTGTTGGGAATGCAAAATGGTACAATTCCTATGAAGGGAATTGCAAAAGCTGGAAATATCTAACTAAACTACGTATTCATTTACCCTTCAACTCAGAGAATTTACCCTGAAAACATACCTCCAACAATATGAAAAGTTATTCATTGTGATAGTATTTGTGATTGGAAACACTGGGAACTACCTAAGTGTCCAAATACAGAAGATCAGCTGAATGAACCGTGAAGGGCAGATGGATATCATATGCCTCTAAACGAGATGCCCTAAGGAGGGCACATCACCTATGTAGCATTCCAGCCAAGAATGTGTCATGAATCTAACCATGAGGAAGCATCAGACAAAGCCAAAATGAGGAATGTTCCACTAAAAAAAGGAGAAGGGGGCTGCATTCTTCAGAATATGTAGATGTGATTAAAAACACACACACACACACACACACACATACACACACACACACAAGGCTGTGGTAACAGTCCAGATTGTAGGAGGCTAAAGACACACAGCAAATACACAGACTATGTGACTCTAGACTAGACACTACGCTAAGGGAGAAAACATGCTATAAAGAGCATTATTGGATCAACTGACACAACTGGAAAATGGGTGGTTAGCTTAGATAAAAAATACTTTTCCAATATTAAATTTACTAAAACTGAAAATATACTCTCCTTTGTCTTAGAAAACACACACCAAAGTATTCAGGAACAAAGGGCCATTATGTATCTAACTTACCTTCAAATAGTTCAGAAAAAGTTGGGGGTGTCTGTGAATGGAAAGACAGGGAGAGAGAGGGAGACAGGCAGAGAGAGACAAACAGAGAGGGAGAGAGAGAGAGAGAGAGAGAGAGAAACTAAGACGAGCAAGGCCAAGTGTTAGCCACAGGTGAATCTGGGCAAAGTGCACATGGGTGTTCTTTGTACTCATATTATTCTTACAGCTTTTTCGTAAGTTTGAAATTATTTTTTAAAAAGATTAAAATGTTTGTAAAAGTCTTCCAACAAACAACAAAAAAATTCTAAACATACGTAGTACAAAAAAGAAGTTCCCTCATAAAAGTTTCCTTAAAAGTGAACAAAAATCAACCTGGACTAGTGGACTTAGACTTTTTTTTCTGTCATACTACAAACCAGAAGAAATAAAATAATAATTATAGAAGTTGGAGTAATATACTTATAATTTTTATCCTCAGTTATTTTTCTTTTGTGAAGGCATCCGAAAAATGGTCTGGTACATACAAAGGCTCAGAAAATATCATCTATGTCTCTTTCTTAAAAAATTATTTGAAGAAGCATTCCAATAGACTTGAAGGGGAATTCTAATTCCAGTTCTAGTATCAATGAATGGTGCATACAAGAACTGACCATTGTCATTATAACCAATTAAGATAGTGTTAAATCTCAAAAAATCATTCCACATAAGTAGAAGCAAATGAAATTTAGATTTCTCAGAGATAGAGAAGATACATGATGTAAAAAAATGTAAAAAACAATAAACTGGATTTTAATTAACAAAGTCTGGACAACTGGTAAAGGAAGAAATGTTGTAATAGATGGGGACATATAAGTGAGTTAAATTATTCATTTCCTATTTTGGGGAAATCAGAAGATAATGCATAATCTCAACCTTGATTTGTGAAAAATACAGAAAAACTTAAAGTGTAATAAAGCGACAAAATTTCTGTGCTGTGAACAGCTGCGGGCTTTAAGTGAGAATTGGGCCAGAAGTTTGACCTTCAAGCCCAAATTACCTCTTCTTGAAAAGGGGAGGAGGCCAACCATCTTATGTTGTCCTTATAAAGTGACCAAAATGATGAGAAGTGTTGAGATGTGGAAGGGATCTCTCTGCCAGTACTGAGCTCACGGTGGGGACTCCATGTCCATTCCATGTGTGGGAAGGGAGAGTGGATGATGGGAATGGAACAAATGGAGCCAGCAATGCTCTTTACAGCATGTTTTTCTCCCGCAGCACAGTTCTTATGCTGCTCAGAGTTGCAGACCAATAGATGTTGCTAGAACCTCAGGACTCTAGAGTCAGTGCTACGAACAAGCAGTGCTCGAAGGACCTAGAGCACATCAGGAGACTGTCTGGAACCTACTGCAAGCTTCCACAGGAGCATCAAAGGTGAAAGACCTTCAACAACAAAGGAAAACCTGATTCAAAAATGGGCAAAGGACTTGAATAGACGTGTCTTCTAAGAAGATATACAAATGGCCAATACGCACAGGAAAAGACACTCCAAATCACTCATCATTAGGGAAATGCAAATCAACCATGAGATACCACCTCACACCCACTGGTATGGTTACTACCAAAAAAACAAAAAACAAAAAACAAAAAAGTACAAGTTTGGCCAAGGATGTGGGGAAATCGGAATCCTTGTTCACTGGTGGTGACAATGTAAAATGGCACAGTCACTGTGGAAACAGTAAGATTTCCCCTCAAAAAATTAAAAATATAACTACCATATGATCTAGCCATTCCACTTCTGGATATATGCTCAAAAGAACTGAAAGCAGGGTCTTGAAGAGATATTTGCACACCCATGTTCATAGCAGCATTATTCGCAATAGCTACAATGTGGAAGCAACATAAGTGTCCATTGATAGGCAAATGGGTAAACATAATGTAGTATATACACACAATACAATATTATTCAGACTTCAAAAGGAAGGACATTCTTACACATGCTACAACACGGGTGAACTGTGAAGACATTATGCTAAGTGAAATACACCAGTTGCAAAAGGAAAATACTAAACTGTATGATTCCATTCATATGAAGTATTTGGAGTAGTTAAATTCATAGACACACAAAGTAGCATGCTGGTCTACTTTGCCAGGAGCTGGGAGGAGTGGAGAATGGCGAGTTATTTTTTAGTAAGTATAGAGTTTCAGTTTTGCAAGATGAAAAGAGCTCTGGAAATGGATGGCAGTGATATTTGCACAATATTATAAATGTCCTTAATACCACTGAACGACACACTTAAAAATGGTTAGGATAGTAAATTTTATGTTATGTGTACCTTACACACACAAAAAAAGTTCTTTAAAGACAGTGAAAGACCTTAAAATGTATGAGTAAAACTCTGCCTCCAACAAATACCTCTTCTCCTTCTAAGAGTAACACTTCCCGGCTTGCCACGAGATCCTGGTGGAGATGGCTGACCAGGTGACACCAGGTGACAAGACACCCAATACTCATCATTCATGAACTGAGTGTTATAAGATCTACTTGGTCATAAAGTTGGAAATTCCAAGAAGTGCTCCACCATTAGGGACAGATGATATCTACAGCTCACAAAGGCATCAATAAGTCACATGTGCTCAGGAGCCCAGGATGCTGCCCTGGCCACACTGACAACATGCTCTCCACCTCTTCCCATGGCCTCATGGTAAATTCCTGATGACCTACTGACAAAAGAGGAAAACAACTGAAGCCAAATGTACTGATGGCTCTGTACCATATGCCAGAACCAGCCCCAAGCGGAGTATTGAAGTCATTATAGCCCCACTTCATGGTAACCCTGAACATGGGGGAGGAAAATCCTCCCAGGGGGCAGTACTTTGCCTACAGAATAGATGGTCTGGACTAAGGTCCTGCTTTGATTCATGGAGTAGCTAATGGTTGGCCATATGGTCAGGGACAATGTTACAGTTTTTTAAAAGGCCATATATAATTAGTCTGATTTATTAAAATGTATATATGTACAATTGAAACTACATACAGCTTAACGTTAACACTATGGGTGGTTTTAAAATTTTTCCGTTATATTTTCCTAGTTTTTTTTCCCGATGGTTGTGCATTATTCTTATAAACAGGAAAAAAGTTAACTTTGTTTTAAAAAGAAACTTCCTTATGGCTGCGCGTCATAGGAACCCATTCAGCACGCTTTGTGGAGTTTATTTTGCTCTGAAGTCTGTCTTCTGTAAAGCAACACTGTGGTCAGTCTGTGGACACATTCCATTATGGCTCCGTATGAGCTTGGTTTGGCATGCTACATGCCAAAGACAGTAGAATCATAATGTTTGTAACTGATACAGTCATATAAATAGGATACAAAACGAGGGGCTTTCTGTTGATGTGAAAGTACACAAGGCAGCGTGGCGTCTCCAGCCATTCAGGTTGTGGCATGAGCCTGGCTAGTGTGTAACTCCTAACTCTGCTGTCCACCAACCATATGACTTTTGACAACACAACCGACCTCCAAGCCCAAATTTCCTCTTCTTGAAAAGGGAAGGATGCTAACCATCTTATGTTGTTCTTATAAAGTGGCCAAAATGATTAAAAGCAGTGAGATATGGAAGGCATCTCTCTACCAGTACTGAGCTCACGCGGGGACTCCATGTCCATTCCACGCATGGGACAGGAGAGTGATTGATGGGAACGGATCAAGGAGATGGCGCAGTTCTTTCCCAGCTCTGAAAGGCTGCTTAGAAAAGGACTCAAAAGTCTCAATTTACATTCTGCCCCAGTAGACCAGGATCAAATAGGTCATGAGCAAAAGGTGGCTGGTTGGAAGAGAGGGCTATCAGTGCTTTGGGAGACTGAAGTAGGAAGATCACTTGGCGCCAGGTGTTCAAGACCAGCCTGGACAACATAAGGAGACTCCACCTCTACAAAATTAAAAAAGAAAAAAAGAGAGGGATATGAGGAGTCTTTGTAAATTCCTCCCTTCTCCCTCAGGGCCCCGATCCTTCAGTGGGATTACACCCAATATGGGTGGGAGCGACTCCCCAGGTGCGTCTAACACCCCCACCGGCAGAGGGGAAGTCACGGAAGAGGAGGGCAGCGTTTACAGTTTTGAGGAGCCAAGCCCACCGCAGCAAAGCCACACAGGAGGAGCCCTTGCTGTTCTCTCTGTTCTCTCCTTTTACTTGGGAAATAACTTGAGAAAGATCAGCTCCAGCATGCCCCAGGTGGACCGCGGCTGGAGAGCAATGAGACAGCACTGCAGTTAGAAAAAAGCATTTTCTACACTCCATCGCTGCAGGAAGCGCACAGCTTCTCTCTCCCTCCCGCCCAGGTTCTTAATTAGTCTTGTGGAATCCGATGCTACAGGGGCACAGCCAGCTCCCAGGGCTCCCAAGAGCGGATTGCGCGCGGCTGCTCCCAGCCCCGCGGGGTTTGGTGAGGTCTGTGGACAGCCTGAAAGCGCAGTGGAGGGAGAGCTTACCACCCACACGCCGCTGCACACACGCTTCCGTTCAATTCGCGTCTGCAGCCTGGGCTGCCCTCATTGGCTTCCTACCACGAGTAGGGACCATGTGCTGTCATGAATCTGAGGCCCCTCATCTGTGAAATCACGCGGGTGAACTCATTCAAAGGTCACTAACCCTAATCTATGAAATGTAGCACAGTACTGGAGAAATAAGGGAGGGTCATTTAGGGTTAAGGTCACTTTGCCTTAGGCAGTTAGAAAGTTTCTGGAGTTTTCTAGGGTGCTCTGTTAGCTTTCCCAGTGATTTTCAGTCAAGGAGGAAGAAACCGCATAGGAAGCTCTTGTCTCCAAAACAGAACTGCAGGAGGCTCATCCAAGGGGAAGGCCAGAGGCGGCCAAGGGGACACTGCTGAGGTGCCCTCATGCCACCGTCCCCTCCACGTTCCCACGTGCTGTCCAAGCTTGTGACATCTGAAATTTTTCTAACCAACCAAAGTCTTTTAACACCAGCTGTAGTTACTGAAATGTGGGCAGGTTTTTTCATAAAGGGAGGTTCTGAGTCAACCTTCAACTCCCCTGGAACCTTTAGAAAAGAAAGAAAAGGTGGGGTGGGCTTGGGGGATGAGAGAGACAGAGGGAGAAAGCGACGAGGAGGGAGGGAGGAAAGAAAGAGAGAGAAAGGCAGCGCTCCCTTCCTTCCTGCTGGCTTCCCTGATGTAATCTATTATGTCTGGGAATGACAGGCTTGAAGAAACATCTGGGACCCACCATGTGCCTTCTGCTATGCCAGAGAAGAGATGATTTCTGGATATTCATCTAACATGAGAGCACTCTTTAAGCCTACCAAGGGAAGCAGGCAGGCTTTTCTCATTTATTGTGCCAGATAAGAGAATTCAGAGATTCGAGAGAAAGTTTTCATTGCAATGTCAAGGTGGGAGTCCTCAGGACACCCCCCACCCTGCGAAACGCAAGCCCCATCTGCTCTGGGAAGATTCGGGCTGTGGAAAACAAGCTCACTTTTTCTTTGTTTTGTGCATACACTGGAATGAATAGAAAATTTCAAGGACTTTTGAGACATCAGTCAGCTAGGGCAAGAACAAAGTTTCATTTGCTAGACTCAGTCAAGCCACTTACAACTGAGATTCTCCTCTGTAGATACTGATTATTGCTAATAGTTGGAAGAGTCACCTACAGGAAAGACTGACAGTCAATTAACCTCTGGTGGAAACCAGTGGCTTCAAGTAGAAAAAATCACAGCTTTGAACGGGCGTGGTGGCTCACGACTATAATCCCAGCACTTTGGGAGGCTGTGGTGGGCGGATGATGAGGTCAGGAGATCGAGACCATCCTGGCCAACATGGTGAAACCCCATCTCTACTAAAAATAAAAAAAAAATTAGCTGGGCTTGGTGGCATGTGCCTGTAATCCCAGCTACTCGCGAGGCTGAGGCAGGAGAATCGTTCAAACCAGGGAGCTGGAGGTTGCAGTGAGCCAAGATCGCACCACTGCACTCCAGCCTGGCAACAGAGCAAGACTCCATCTCAAAAAAAAAAAAAATTTTTTTGAAACAAAAATAAGAAAAGTCACAGCCTCGACCTGACAATGAATTTACTACCATGGTTCAATCATTTAGAATTTAGTCTCAACAGTCTTGAGAAAATTCTGAAATTATTTCCGTGACTCTCCTCAATTTCCTTTCATAAGGAAGGGAAGCTGCAAGTTCTGAGTGCCTCCAGGGAATGGTCAATATCATGTATAAAACAGATGATTAATAGCCAGAAAAGGCATCAGCATAAAGATCAAGAACAATATTTTTTCTGTGTGTATACGGGAAAGATGGTTTTGTGTCAAAAGACAGCTGACAGAAGTGATTTGTTTTCTTTTTGATGACTTAAAAAATGAAATATTTATAGGATTTTTAAAAGCAATCATTTGCTTATTGCCAAGAAATTCACTTGGCTGTTATGTTAATTAAGAAAAAAAGGTCTCCAACTTTGATGTGTTAAAAACTGTAACTGTTTATTGGGAGCAGAAGACTAAAAACTCTCATTTTATTGCAGCCTATGACATATACTCAGCAATTAACCTTTAACAGTGAAACCAGAACATTCCTTCGAAGTTCTAGAATTCAGTGAGAATCTAAACATTTTCTCCCAATATTCTTTTATTACAGACAATTTCTGGTTCAGTAAAAGTGCACTGCATTATAAGACAGCATTCAAAACACTGGGGAGAAATATGTTTTAAACTATTTATCATCCTATGGGGTTTTCATTTTCTGCTGACTGTGACAACCAGAGAATTGAGCGTCTTCTCAAGGAGGGAAAGCTATTTATGGATGGTTTGTGATTAGGAGCAGCTGCTCTTCACCATATATTACCTTTTTGTGATAACCACATTTTCACACAAAGCTACCACTAATAAGCTGGTGCACACTAAACAAACTGCAGCACAACTGTTACCTTGAAAGGAAGATGTCAAATGAAAAGCTCTTCCAGGTTTTCGTATCCTTGAGTTTCTTCATTGTAGGAGAATAATACATCTGAAAGCCTGTTGCATCTTGGGAATCTAATGTTACTAACAGAAGAATACAGTCAAGTAGTTTCTGTGCAGCTTTCACTCTGGGTTAAAATGAAAAACATCTTATACCAGAGGTTGAATCTTCATGGGAATTAGAGATGCTTTTTATTCAACCCATACAACCAGGATGAAAATATATGGGTTGTGTTGTAAATGTTTCTCTACCAAGCTGGAGACCAAATCATACTTGCATTGTGCTTGCATACTTGAGAGCAAGAGAGCAGAAAGAATTTTGAATTTGAATATGCTGTTCCCAGCCATCCAGGTGAAAAAGTTTTACAGTGAAACAGTTACTTTCTCTCAAAATATTTCTGATTAGCAATGACTAATTTGGCTTCCCCTGGTGGACTTTCAGAGATGCAAAAGCCAAGAAATCCCCTATCATAATACTGTTTTATTAAAACTTAATTAGGAGATATGATACTTTACCTGGTAAAGACTCAACCACGCAGAATAATTTTGCAGGAAAATTATACATCAGTATGTAATCCTGAAATGCAAATCCTACAGTAATGGATGCAGTTGTAAAGGTTCCAAAATAAAAGTGACCATTACATGTGTTGGAAAATAGTTTTAGAATAACTGCTGACCAGGATGTAACTGGACACGACAAACAATGAAGGGTAACTTGACGATGTCTTTTCAGAAGCCTTAAACATGGGGAGAACTACAGACCTAGCAATTCTAATTCCAGGACATGTTCAGGTTTCTTCAGGGATGTTTGTGACGGCCTGAACATTCACATCAGAAAAAATGTTTTTGAAAATATCCAACAATGAGAAACAGAAGGAAAATGATTTAAGGAAGGCATCACTATGCAGCCATTTGGAGCAATGTGGATGAATGTTTAAAGCCATGAAAAATGTTAAGGATAACTATGGGAAAAAGGCAGGTTACAAAACAGTTTAGACTGTATGGTCCCAATTTTTTAAAAATATATTTTAAACAAAATTGGGACCATACAGTCTAATATACATGTATATATATATATAAAATAAACACATTATATTGAAAATGATCATCTTTGGTTGATATAATGATGGTTAATTCTTGTTCGCTTGTTTTCTACTTTCTTGTAATTCTCAGTTTTCTTATAATAAACATAGTTTTTAATAAAAATAATAATAAGGCCGGGTGCGGTGGCTCATGCCTATAATCCCAGCACTTTGGGAGGCTGAGGCAGGTGGATCACCTGAGGTCAGGATTTCGAGACCAGCCTGACCAACATAGATAAACCCAGTCTCTACTAAAAATACAAAAGTAGCCAGGTGTGGTGGCTTATGCCTGTAATCCCAGCTACTTGGGAGGCTGAGGCAGAAGAATCACTTGAACCTGGAAGGCGGAGGTTGTGGTGAGCCGAGATTATGCCATTGCACCCCAGGGTGGGCAACAAGAGCGAAACTCTGTCTCAAAAAAATAATAAATGGTTTTATAAGACCAGATGTTCCAAATATTTATCTGTTCTCCACCTATGAATAGCTCCCCAATTCTTCACCCCATTTGTCTAACACTGCCCCTGTATTGTTGGCGTGTGTGAATATCTGTGTGTTTTGGAATCTTTCAGGCTACACAGAATTCAGTGATAAGGTGGCACAAGGTGTCTGCAGTTCAAAGTGAAGACTAGAGACATTTCAGGATAAATTTGTACAGCTGCCCCTCAACATCTTAGGGGGAATGGTTCCAGGACCCCCTGAAAATACCAAAATTCAATGCTCAAGTCCTTGATATAAAATGGCACAGTATTTGCATATAACCCACACACAGGCCCTTGTCTACTTCAAATCACCTCTATTAAACAGTTCACTCATAATACATAATACAATGTAAATACTACGGAAAGAGTTGTTATACTGGATTGGATTTTTATTTGTATTTTTTATTGTTGCATTGTTATTTGTTATTAATATTGATATTGGTATTGCTGTGGGTATTGATATTCCCAATATTTTCAATCCACAGATGGTTGAATCCACAAATGTGGAAGCTGCAGATACAGAGGGCTAATTGTATTAAATTCTAATATTATGAAAATTTTAATTTCACTCGTTATTTTTCAAATATACAAATATGTTCTATCACATATTTGTATATTTGTATATTTTTCAAATATTAATTACTTTGTTTAAAAATTACTGATAATAATGCCTCCCTAGGAATACTGATAAGAATGCCTCCCTAATAATATACCGGTACCATATAGGTGACTATATGGATCTGTGGGACTTTGCTGAAGGCCACCCTACCCCAAACGCCTATAATTCCTTCTGCCGCTCTCATGCATACATGAATGCGTGAATTCATTCATTCATTCAGTCATTCAACAAACACCTATGTCTGTGTCAGCACAGAAGATACAAAGATGACGAAGGCACAGCCTCTCTGCTCAAAAAGCCCCACACTAACAGGGCAGAAAGACACACAAACAGACTACTGTGAAACTATGTGGAAG
Organism: Homo sapiens; assembly: GCF_000001405.40. Lineage (NCBI taxonomy): Eukaryota > Metazoa > Chordata > Mammalia > Primates > Hominidae > Homo > Homo sapiens. Next base: position 184,035,082 of record NC_000004.12, on the reverse strand, counting down.
GCCGAGTTCACCAGCATCCTTCTACCGAAGGTTCTTTTATAAGACATATACCTTTAGAGAAGAGAACTTTTGGAGACAGTTACTGTTTTTCTCCTGTACAGGAGACAGAATTGATGGACAGAGAATAGAAAAGTGGCTCCAGATAAATTCACCTGCTTCCCATGTTTGCGAAGGGGGTACCCTTGGCTACGGTGTTCTCTCCCTAGAGAAGGTACATTTCAAAGGGTGAACGTGACACTGAAGCCAGAAGCAACCGTTCCTGGGATCTGTGCTGGTAGAGGGGAGTGCTGGGGCCAGCATATTATTCACATGTAGTACAAACCTTAAAACCTCCAGATGGTCACTACAGTTACCTAAGGATGAAGTTGTCAGTTTAAATAGGAGACTTGAAATTGTAGGAAAAAAATTTTTTGTTAAGATTTCAGCTCCTTGGAGAATGTTAGTTGCTGTACAGGACGTCTCTACAGAATTGTCTTCAATCTGAGACCTCCTAGCCTGGCTGTGACACAACTTCCTGTCTCGCTTTTTAGGATTATGTCTGAGAAGGCAGAAAAAAAGTGAAAAGTGTGCCCTGATTCCTGAAGACCAATTTCAGAAATCACCACCAAGCTTTAAGCCTCTTCTTTTCTTGGAAAGGGTCAGGGAAGAGAAAACAGACTCAATCTTAGGGAACTTTGTTAAAATATGCACACCTGGGCCCCACTGTGGATTTCCCGAATCGGAATCTTGAGAGGATGAGGGTCTCCTTGGAGGCCAACCATGCATACTTTGGAAATATTTCTCCAGTGACTGATTCACGCCCCCACGCCATGCACTGATGAGAACTATTGCTCTGGACATGCCCCCCTGCACACATCTTCACCTAAAAGTCTCACCCCAAAGACCCAGGCATGACAGGAAATCCCCAGCTCTGAGCTGTAGGGGCCAAGGGAGCCATACAAGAGCCTCTTCTCCAGGGTCTTCAAGCTCAGACAAATATCTTGCAGCCCAGGTCCATGAAACCTAAAGATTGAGTAGTGAACAGGCGCCATGATGGGGCCAGTGAAGGCAGGAAAGGCTGTTCCAGTTCTGCTGAGGGTCTTTGAGGTGATGGAGGCAGCGAAGAGCCTGAGCAGAGGCCTGGCTGGAGCACGGGGATGCCAGCCTTGGGGGATAGGGTGGAGTCAGCAGGCGGGACTTGGGGTGGGGGGTTTGACAAGCCTTAGTGAAGACTTGGATCTAACTGAACTAACTTTGGCCACCAAAAGGATCCAAGCCGGGGAGTAACACAGTTAGACTTGTATGTTAGAAAGATGCCTCCAGTGACAGTGTGGTGAAAATGAGGCAGGACATCAAGGAAGAGGCCACTGAAATAATTAGGCGAGACGTAAGGGTGAGCTGAACTAGCACAGTGGTGGTGGTGGAGCTGGAGATAAGTGGGCTGACTCAGGAGACTCTTAGGAGATAAACGAAGACCACCTGGTGATGGATTCCATGTGGGATGCGAGGGAGTGAGGAAGGGGCCGAGGGGCGCTCCTGAGTTGGTGGCTTTAGCAAGTGGGTAGCCAATGAGATCTTTGGCGAGGCTGGGGACACAGAAAGGAAGACCAAGTTCTGATGGGAAAGATGCAAGTTTCGCTGGAAATACTGGCTGTGAAGAAACAGAGATGTCCAGTCTGGAACTCAGGGAGGAAGTGTGGGCTGAAGATTAAGATACTGAATTCTTTTACAGGAAAATTCAAGTGCCGGGCGCGGTGGCTTACGCCTGTAATCCCAGCTCTTAGGGAGGCTGAGGCGGGAGGATAGCTTGAGCCCAGGAGTTCCAGACCTGCCTGGGGAATATAGCGAGACCCCGTTCCTCACAGAAAGGAAAAAAAAAAAAAAAGACAGAAAGAAAATTCAAGTAGAGGCCCAGGAACAAGAAGAAAAGGGGCCCAAAAATCCTTAAGGGACATTGATCATTCAAGGGGTGGGCACAGGGCCTTAGAAGGGAGAGCCAAAAAAAGTAAGAGAAACATCAGAAAGGTGTGATTTTTGAGGTTCATGTTCTAATGCTGCTATTTAATCATGCCAAAACACACATAAAACATAGTAAGATCATGTCATCTTTACACTCACGACTGTGGTAGAGTGGCTGGACCCAAAACTACAGGTATTGCAGAAGCCTTAAAATACATTTGGCCTTTTCTCTAGCCAAGTGCGGGCACATTACTTTGTGAAGGACACTTTGAAACTCACCAAAAGAACTGCAAGTGGGTGGCTGTCAGGGTTAGGGCCAAGTAAACATAAGAGGGAAAGCCAGCTTGTCAGCATCAGACCAGCGATACCCACCAGAGCCAGCCACTGCAGGCTCTGTGAGGTCACAGGACTGAGAGGCATTCCTGACTTCGGGGACTCTGAAATCCAGCTGGGGACACACAACATGTCCACGGGGGAAAGCAAAGAACACGAGAGTGCTAAAATGACTGAAGGGGCCAGAAGGCTGAGGCGGGAGGATGGCCACAGCCCAGGGGTTTGAGGCTGCAGTGAGCTGTGATCATGCTGGTGCATTCCTGCCTGGGCAACAGAGTGAGACTCTACCTCTATAAAAAGAAAGAAAGAAAAAAGAATGAAGAAGGAAGGGAGGGAGGGAGGGAGGGAGTGGGGAAAGAAAGAAAGAGAGAAGGAGAGAAGGAGAGAGAGAGAGAAAGAGAGAGAGAAAGGAAGGAAGGAAAGAGAGAGAGAGAGAAGGAAAGAGAGAGAGAGAGAAAAGACTGGAGGGGAATGAGCCAAGACAGAGGGCTCCTATTGAAGTAGGAATTAGTCATTGAAAGCTGGGGGTGGGGGTAGTGGCTCCATTTGCAGACAAGGCATGAGGCAATAACATGTGACAAACCTCTACCACGTCACATTCCAGTGCTCACCTTTCATGTTCTATAGCAAAACTGTGTTGGGAAAATGATATTTGTGATGTTCACCCGTTTCCCCCTCGTATACACGTAGAGCATTTATGACGCTACGCATTGCTTTGAGAGGAAGGTCCATCCTATGTCCTCTGTCTTGCAACTGTTATCTTTGTTGCTCCTGAGTTTAAGCCCTTGTCATCCATGCTCGGAACACTCTCCAAACCCCTTTGTCCTTACCAATATCCCACCCTGCTTTAGAGGTCCAGCTTAGACTCCAGTAATAAAATATCGCAAAGTGAGCTCTGTCTCCCCCGAACCTGCACAACCGCACAATGGTGGTTTTGCACCTTACCTGACATGCATGGTTTTCATGGCTCTCGTTTAACCCTCACAGAAGTCACTGTGAGGCAGGGAAGGCGGGATCCATCCCTGTTAGGGTTAGTCAATAACGCCGAGCCTCGGAGGTCAGAGGAGGGTGTTGGCTGCCAAATCCTAGAGCTGGTGAGTAGGCGGAATGGTTCTGGAACCCTTTCCCGCAGTATCCCGAGCACGTTGCAGTATGGGCGCATCACTGCTCTTCCATGTGCGGGGGTGACCTTCCCTTCTGAATCCCCTAGAAGGCAACGATCATGTCTTTTACTTTGTGTCCCTAGAACTTCAGGGATGCTCAGAAGCAAGGAGGAAAGCACTGAATACTTGCTGGGTAAACTATCCACTATATCAACATTCATATCCAAACATCAGAATACATGCAGGTGCACTTGTATGTCCTCTTTCTATTGATGTGGGTTCCTTCCTCAAACAGTGTATTATTAATTTCTCAATCTGGAAGAGCAGTATTCAAGGCACTATCAAATTCAAACCTCACTTTTTCATATACCTTTGCAAAAACCTAGTTTATAACAAGGAGACCCCACATTTTTAAAAAAGCATTCCCCAAAATGAACTACCTTTTGGGGGTGACATTTTTTAAGTCTGTGATTTAGATGCATTTTTTTTACAAATTATGATAAAAATTAATTAATTACAACATTAATTGACAAGCCCTAGATATCTGGGCCTATAGGAAGTGTCTGAAGATTCTCACTTGGATTTTGAGGGGAAATGAGTTAGTTGTGACAAAGCATTTGGGAAGAATGTCTAAATACTCAAGTAAGGACTAAGAAGAATAAGCCAGGCACAGTGGCACATGCCTGTAGTCTCAGCTACTTGGCAGGTCAAGTCAGGAGGATTGCTTCAGCCCAGGAGTTCCAGCCCAGCCTGGGCAGCAGAGCAAGACCTTATCTCTATTGAAAAAAAAAAAAAAAAAATCAAGCACCAGCTTACACCGGCTACAAATAATTCATTTGTCTTTGCTACATGATGGCTTTTACTCTGTGCCCCAAGGAAGAAATGACACTTAATCTTTACTCCTGAGAGTTTTCCCCTCTTAATCCTACTTCATAGTATGAAATTCTGGGCTGGGCGCAGTGGCTCACACCTGTAATCCCAGCACTTTGGGAGGCTGAGGCAGGCAGATCACCTGAGATCGGGAGTTTGAGACCAGCCTGACCAACATCTCTATTAAAAATACAAAATTAGCCGGGCATGGTGGTGCATGCCTGTAATCCCAGCTACTCGGGAGCCTGAGGCAGGAGAATCACTTGAACTCAGGAGATGGAGGTTGCAGAGAGCCAGGATTGTGCCACTGCACTCCAGCCTGGGCGACAGAGCAAGACTCTGTCTCAAAAAAATAAAAATTAAAAATTAAAAAAAAAATTAAAAAATAAAAAAGAAATTCTGGATTGCACTTTATTGAGACGAGAACAATATTTTTTCTCTGGCTAGCAGGAGGTACATTGATTTACAGCTCGAAAAAATTAATAAGGCTTTTTATACTCACGAGAAATCTGTAAGCTTCAAAATTCAGCCTCAGTCAGAGTGAAGTGGCCAGAAGACGCTGCGGAGAAAGGAAGCACTCGCCAACCAGAAGACAGCTGAGCTCAAGAGTGTCGAAAGAGGGAAGACATGGGAGTCACAACTTGTGACCTTCTGTTTATTGTCTTTTTAAAAAAAAAAAAAAAAAGACGGATTCTTGCTCTGTTGCACAGACTGGAGTGCAGTAGCGCGATCTTGGTTCACTGCAACCTCCGTCTCCTGGGTTAAAGTGATTCTCCTGCCTCAGCCTCCCAAGTAGCTGGGATTACAGGCATGTGCCACCACGCCTGGCTAATTTTTGTATTTTTAGTGGAGACAGGGTTTTACCATGTTGGACAGGTTGGTCTCAAACTCCTGACCTCAAGTGATCCGCCCGCCTCAGCCTCCCAAAATACTGGGATTACAGGCGCGAGCCACCACACCCCAGCCCCTTCTGTTTATTGTATTCTTAAACATTTTAGTTGTCCATACACAGTTTTCTGAGTTTAGAATAATATGTGCTTACTGTAGAAAAATTGGGACATACAGACAACTAAAATTAAGATGAGTATTTTCATAGAGGCAAGGCTTTCAAGAAGTGTGGATTTGGAAGCCCCTGTTCAATTTACCTGTAAGGTTACATCTCCCAGTGGGAACTTGACTTTATAGTCATTCAGTTCACCTTGGGCTGCAACCCAGCCCTAGTTGTCTGAACCTTGGTGCCACAAGAAACAACTTCATTTTAGCAATTCCCCTCAAATACACCAACTCCAAACACCTCAGGTAAACCAGAGGCTTAGGAGATTTCTGGTATTACATCAGACAACCAGAAAAAGACGAGCAGAGATTCCGGCTTTTTTTTTTTTTAAAACCAGCTTGAATATTTGGAAGTAAGAGCAAGCAGTGTGTTGGTATATATTATAGCAGACCTCCCTAGTGAGGCTTTACAAACAGCCACATTATGACTACAAAATGAGTTAGTAACAGTTGGGGAAACTGCTCTGGGAAGATATGAAAAAGTTATCAAGAAATCAAATTCATGGACTTGTTCTCAAAGTGTGCGGGACAGGGGGAGAGAAATGAGAACATTAAAATGAAAAATTAGCTGCAAGCAAAATCCCACAGATGCAAAGAGAAGGAGCAGGAGGTGGGGGAAAAAAATGACAAGCAGCCCCAAGGAAACCATGTGGCTGAGATGGGGGATGGAGTGGGGAGAAAACTTAAATCAGGACGGAGAAAATAAATTTTTTGTTACACTTTTATGGAAAGTTTGCATAAACAATCGTCAGCTGCCTTCAGATTTAAGATACGGTTAAAAGGAAACACACTGTGACCGTGGCCATACACACTCCAACCACTTTGGGGAAGAGCCTCCCCCTTGCCTGCCGCACCACAGAGCACTGGACCTCCGTCTCGTGTTTTCCCCACAAATGGACTGCCCGTTCCGTTCCACTGTGCAAGGTTTGGCTTCTCCTGAGCTGCCTGCTCGGTGGCTCTTCCCACCTCTTCTAACTTCCCCCCGACTTGGTGCTGCACACACAGACTGAAGGGTGCTGTGGAGAAACACAGCGGCTCCGTCACAACCCAAGAGCAAAGGGCCAGGCTTCTGCAGCACAGGTGCTTGCAACAGGAAGGGCTGGAAGCCTCCCGCTCAGCTTCTCATCTTATAACAACTTCTCGACATCTCAAAAGCCAAAGCTCAGTTCCTGTTCCCGGTGTTCTTTGGTTTCGGTTTGTGTTGAGGTTTTTTGGTGATAAGGTAGACGCATGGAAGCAAAAAGGATGCAGTAGCTGGGAGCACATTCCTGAGAGGTTTCTTAGTGAGAAGGAGCCCTGACCACAGCACGCAGCGTTTTTCAAACCCTGCTTGAAGCCACCACACCCAGCCCATTTCTTGCTGAAGATTTCAAAGCTCATAAGGGCCACCTAGAAACAATGACAAGCAGAGGCTCCCCCAGCCAGGAAATCAAGGGAATAATATTAAAGTGGTATAAACTGTCTAGCTGAGGGGATGGTCTTGGGCAGGGTCTGTCTTTAAGGCAAAACATGAGAACACAGGATTGGAAATGATGAATGCTGTACTATAAGAGAGGAAAAGAAGCCATCTTCTCAGGGCATGGAAGTGGAGAAGGGCACTCAGAGAAGGCCTTGTGAAAGAGACAGCATTTGATCTGGACCTTGAAATATGGTAAAAATTTAGGTCAATATTCAGAGATTAGAAGTGGGGAGAAGGAAGTAGCGGTTCACCAGACATTTAGTCTGTACTGCTAAGTCAACGTCGCTTCTTTCCAAGTTCTAACAGTGCAGCATAAGGAAGTACACATCTTAAATAAAATTAATAGTGCCCCTCCTCCCTCTGAACCTCACATTCTTCAGAACAATCCTTCTAGGACCAAATAAGCTCACTAACAAGTTTATAATCTTCACTGCACTGTCACAGGAAGTAAGCCGCATACTAGAATAAGTTGAGAAACACTTTCATTTGTTTCCCTATTTCCATATTTATCAAATCAGTTTTAGAAAATGCAATGGATGACCTACTATCGTGTATACTGCAATTGAGCAGTCCAGTAAAGGGATGGCAGGTGATGAGAGCCGGGTTTCTCACTGTGGGAGTGGGAAGTTACAGATGAGCAAGAAAAGAGGCTAGAATGATCCATGTCATAATGCATTAGAGTTGGAGACATCAGCATGACACTTAGCTTAATAGAAGTACAGGTGGTTACATTTAGCAATATCTATTGATACGTGTATGTGGACAGGTTAGCATACACACATATACCTCCTTGCTCTGTCAGCTGAGAAGACCTAGAAGTAATGTCTCCCCAGTAGTAATGCACAAAGCCAGCACCCAGATGGTGGTTTCTAATACCATTCTCCAATAAAAGACACGAGCGTTCTTTAGAGAAACGACTCATTCCAAGACTGGGACAGGAAATATACAAAATGAGCCTACAGCTTCTTATAGTGCCAGAGAGTTAAGAAGGTGCTCAAAAACATGTGAACAAACCACAGTGCTGGGGTACATCAAAGAGGTACAAGAGCCAACTTAAGGAGCTCTCAGTGCAAAATCTGGAAAAGTTTGAGCAATAAAATAAAGTGGTAATAGACTCTCACCCAAAGTATAACATAAATATCTGAATCTATACTGCTAAGAATGATTGAATAAATAAATAAGTGGCACAGAAGAGACAAATCTTCTGTACAGAAGAATTACAACTTATTTATTTAGATACTCTGCCCTTAAGGAAGCAGAGCTTAACTCTCCACTCCTTAAGCTGCACATGGTGACTTTCTTCCAAAGGGAACAGTATGGAAAGAGAGGAAAAAAGAGTAACTTCACGGTGAAGAAACCTGACAACCACTACCTCCAGCCAGATGATCAAGGTTAACATCAATAGTGGTAATAGGTCATAATGAATAGGATGGACTCTTGATATGATGAGAATGGAGCTTTATCTCTGTGGTCCTCCTCTCCAAAACACATAACTCTGGCCTACTCATGACAAAAGTATAAGTCATACTCAAACTGGGGACATTGTACAAAATACCAGACACATACTCCTCAAAACTGTCAAGGACATCAAATATAAACAGAGTTTAAGAAATTGTCACAGACCAAGGAGGCAGGACAACTGATTATAGTATGGTATCCTGGTTGGGCTCCTGGGACAAGAGCAACAAAAAATGACAGTGGGGACAAACAGAAAATTTGAATAAAAGGTGAACTTTACTTAACAATAATGTAATAATATTGGTTCATTAATTGTAACTAAGGAACTGTATTAATGTGAAATGATAATAACAAGGGAAATTGGATATAGGGTATCCAAGAACTCTCTGTACTATCTTTGTAATAATTCCAGAAATCTAAAAATGTTATCAAAGGTTTATTTTTAAGATGCAGTGGAAGTGCTTTACTCTCAAAAACTCTCTACAAAAATGCTAACTGCTGAAGTCCCGAGGCAAGTCTTTCTAAAGTGCTGGCCCTTCCACCAGTTGGCTAGAGCAAGAGTCAATTGTAAAAGATACCTTCTATTATGCTCATTTGTCTGACTTCTTAGGGGCCATATGGAGCCCCAATCCACTTAATTAAGTCCCCTTCAAATTAAGAGATGAGACATGGAAGGGAGAGAAATGTAGAAATGACCATTTCTGTTTCCAAGCTCACTGCTGTATTCCAGACAATCTTAACATTTTCCCAGACTGAGTATTGATCCTTTGACATTCAACACAGATGTCCTCTCATGAACTGCCTTCAAATAACACATGAAGGAAAAAAGAGGGGCAAAAGCTGTCTTCTCCAATCCACTTGAGCTTTGTTAGTTATCTGTCTCGCTTGTTTTATCAACAGTGGCAAACAATGTGAAGCTGCACTGTGTCGATGGGCCTGCTGATCACTAAACCACTGAGCTGTTACTAACTTTAAAGGAGGTGTTTGGCCGGGTGCAGTGGCTCACGTCTGTAATCCCAGCATTTTGGAGGCCAAGGCAGGTGGATCACCTGAGGTCAGGAGTTCGAGACCAGCCTGGCCAACATGGTGAAACTCCAGCCCTACTAAAAACAATTAGCTGGGCATGGTGGCAGGTGCCTCTAATCCCAGCTCTCAATGAAAGCTTTTGAACCCGGAAGGCAGAAGTTGCAGTGAGCCAAGACTGTGCCATTGCACTTCAGCCTGGGCAACAGAACGAGACTCCGTCTCAAAAGAAAAAAAAAAGGAGGTGTCTTTCAGGGGAAAAAAACTTTTCCCACAATAAATCATATATTGTATAGTAAAGAATGGCAGGCAATGGCTTGAAGCATAGATAGAAGAAGGTTACAAAATAATTTCCCAAGATAAGTTCTTAAAAGGGAGTCACACGGACATCAAAAAATATCCTTTTGCATGATATCTCCTTTTGTTTCATTGTCATTTTCAGACGATAAGAATACAGGCACCTTTGATCTAATGCAATATCCATCTATCCATCCATCCACCCATCCATCCATCCATCCATCAATCCATGCATATCTTCAAGTTACCATTTATCAGGCCACTGATGACTCAGCTGGTGGCAGACATCTACAGAAGTGTCAGAGAACCAAAGGCTCTTAGTGCAAAGGTGAGAGTGGAAATGAGATTGAGGGATGACAGTGGTCTGTGCACACAAGGAGGGAAAGACAATATAAATGTAAAATTTAAAATACTAGTAATCAATTGTGGTTATCAATAATGGAGAGCAAGAGTGAGTCCAAATATTAACAGCATAACAACGAACAAATGAAAAGCACTGCTATTATGCAAAGTGAAGAGTAGTAAAGTAAAATAAACTCAAGGTAATAGAAAATAAAAATAATGCATGGAACTTTACAATAAAGGGTGAGGAACAAGGGAAACGCAAAGGAAAGTGACCTGGGAGGAATTTATTTGATGGAATTTGGGAGCTGCAGTTAAGCAACCTATTCGGCCTCTCTTGAGCACAGGTGCCTCGGTTTTTCTTGAAATTCCTGTATGGAGCAATGTACTGTGCAAATATATTAATCACACACATGATTAACCATTTGCTTGACAGGAAAGGTCTGGAGCCACTGAGCGTGAAGATGGGCAGGGGGGTGTCCCTAAATCCAAGAACTCTCACAGTAGGGATAAGATTTTACAGTTAAATGAATTATTAAGGTCAGGTGAATAACTTCTTCTGATTACTCAGTGGTTCTCGATTTCATGGCCACCACCAGGGAAGGAGGCAAGTACTGAGTACTCTGCTTGAATTTTCTCTAAGGAAGGAGAGAAAAGCCACCACTCTAAATGCTAAAAGTAAGTTAAAACCATACCGTTTCCTTTGGAAAGACAACGTGTTTATGAACTGTGACCATTCTCTCCAAGGAATCAGAATCCTGCCTTCCCCCTTCTCCTTAAGTCCCCACGTTTCCTCAGTTCACTAGATCGTTCTGAAATGAACACACAATTACCTTTCCTTGACCACAGCTGCTTTTGGTCCTAGAGTAAAACTCACAATATACTCCCAGTATTCCTGCTCTTCCTAACTTCATGCCTGAAAAAGGAAACGTCTGTATTGAGACAGTTTAAAATATATAGACAAACTTACGCAACAAAATACAACTTGTTCTTCAAAGCAGTTACCTTGGGGTCTCCAGACACTTATCCGTAGACACTGTCATTGTTCACAACAATTTTTGGAAGTCTACTTTGGATATTGCCTTTATAAGAAAATCAGGCTCGACTTTATGGCTCATTGTTTTTGACTGAGAATACCATTTCCTAGCTCCATCATTAACGGGGCAGCAAATCCCTTTGGTTTGAAAAAGCCCATTTTCTACGGGCAAAGATTTGCCACAGTGAGAGACTCAGAAGAATGAATGACAGCTGAAGGAGAATAAACATGGAGGATTCCGAACCTGTGCAAGTGACTCACTGGAACCTGTGAGCAGCCTCCTCGTGTTTACTGGGGAGAGGATCCCATCCACTTGGGAACAAAAGCTGAGACATGAGTGCTAATGAAAAAGAAACCCCAGACCTAATCACATCACTTTATAATTTCATATAGAAAATGTAGTTATAGGCATCTCTCTCACTCTGTTTTAAATTCAGTTACCTAAAAATGTGATTTTTTTCCCCCAACTTTCATGGAAAAAGAATTTTGATCAGAAAATTTTCATTTTTAGTTGTTTTAACTCAGAAGCTCTAATAATATTGAGTAATCACAATGTTATAAAATCCTATTAATTGAAGAGAGAAGTCAATTAACCTCACCTAAAATATTTTCTCTCAAGTACCAAAAAAAATCCACTTAAGACATATAACCAAATGTTATTTAATATCTTAAAAAGTAACACAATCCAAAATGGATATTTCACACAACACTACATAAACAACATGAACACAGTATCACCATAGGGAGGGACTTTCAAATATAGACTTACAAAAATCCCTGTCCTTTTTTTTCTTTTAAGTTATTATACTAAGCATGACAAGTAATCATCATTTACAGTATGGTACACTGACACGATAAAAACCATGTTACAAATGTGCTGTTATAAATCAGTAACATTAGGGAAGACATTTCATGAACTGTAATTATTTCATATGAAATACTATACAATATAAACAGAACATCCATCTTGGATGACCTTTACAGCAACCAGAGACCAAGTAATTTAAAATTTTTTTTCAGTGCAAACACATTTTATTCAAGGCAGTCTTGGCTGCAAAACTCCTTTCTAACATACAGTAAATCCCACTTGCACGTCTTAATTCATTTACCCTAATGCAATAGTCACATTCAGTCACTCAGAGAAAGATACCTGCAGAATTATGATCCCTTTAAACTTGACGTTTAAATTTAATTCTCTTCTAGAACGTAGTATCTGTGTCAACTGCTCTAAGGACTTTAATTTGTAGCTGTCAATACTTGCATGAAGGTGACCCTAGGGCAGCTCTATTCCTAACCCAGCAAGTGTGCACGATACTGCACAGTGTTCTGCCCTTCCAATGTGGAAACCGTGGCGGTGTGTCAGTATCTAGGTGGGAGAATGGAAAGGAGGACCTCGGAGGAAAGGAAGTGGAGGAGCTGCTGCATGTGTACTTCATGATTAGTTTCCCGGAACTGCAGAGGACAGATATTGGAGGAGATCTCAGGTCTCACATTTGGTACCTCTTCTTGGTGGGAGCAAGGGAACAAGTTTACTAAGACCAGCCAAGCTTCTAACCTTACATTTCCAACCTTCCAGAATCATCGCTGCCTGACTTGAAACACCCCATTCCCTCCTTGGCATGATGTGTGTGTGTGTGTGTCCACATTTGAAGCCAACAATTAATGATTACAGCCCTATAACTGATCATGTACAATCGTAAGAAAGTTTAGTTCCCCCTTGAGTCTTGTAGAATCCTGAATCTTGTGAATCATCAACTGTAAGTCATAGAACTGTAAAATCACAGGACTGTGTGTTAGGGGAGCCATCTCTGGGAATCTCCTTGTGGGCTGCTGCTGCAAAAGATGCAGAGAATTAACTCAATAGGAAGGTGCCAATGTCTGTTTGAAACACACAAGGAAATGTAATAATGAATGTTTTCATATATGTAATTTATGAAACATCGCCTGAATAAAAATCTGTGGGAAAATACTGGATGTATCCTTAATACCATAAGACCTTCTGGGAAAGGAATGGGGTGACAGTTGATTCTATCTCACTTGGCAAAGCTCAGACCAATAGTAATCTTTGTCCTGCCCACATTTTACTAACCCAAAGCAAAACAGTGTTTTCCATGCCTTTTGCATTCATGTTTCCTGTGTTCTAGCTCCCCCAAGCCCTAAACATGTGCAGAAAAGTCACTCACTACCAGAAGAGCCCTGGATGACGTTGACAATGGGCGGGATGGTCCTGGGGGAGATGGGGGATAGAAGAGATTGCTCCTGCTTGGGCCCACTGAGGTCTGGCAGCACGTGGCTAGTTGGTTCTGTGACTGGCCTGTGGTGACGGAGGAGATCCCCATCAAAGATCATCTATCTCCTAATTCGAGAAGACACTTAGAACTGGATCAGCTCCCTCAGAAATCCAGCTCCTCCAAAGTAGGGCTCGATATATTGTACTGATTTTCTATGGTGCCAAGCAGCACTGTGAAGAGTACTTGATAAAGTTTTTAATTAAAATTTCTGTTTCAGCACCTTCCACTGCCAGGAGCAGTCATGTTCCTGAAAGCTGGTGATTTAGCACGGGAACTATAGCAACCCAATATGAAACTGTAAACAAGGGTGTGTCCAGATCTGCTTCTGACTGCAGTGGCATTTGGGTGGATCTGTCAATCACCCGCTTTATCCATTGATACCAGTAAGGTGTGCTGAGATGTAAAATTCCAAACACCCTGAACTTTTTTTTTTTTAATGAAAATGGACAAAAGTGTCAAGATGTATTTGTTTTCTTTGACTTTATTAGCACACATCAGAAAAATAGCATTGTATTTTGTGATTTCTCATGATGCTCTATCAAACAGATAGAAAACAGATCATCAATAGCTGCCACTGTGTTCCTGGAGAATCTTAAGTCACTCCTTTTGTTAATTCGTTGTAAGTATGCGTATTACAAAGATGACCTGTCTTGTGAATTGTTTGTAAATCTGAATGCTTTGGAAGCACTTTGAGATCCCAAAGTGAATCGTGCAAAGTCATTATCGGTTGTTGTTGGTTTTTAAATGAAGCTCCAAATACTGCCCATGTTATAAATGGCAAGACTTTCAAAAAATGATCACTATTGTATTATGAGCAATATGCTTGTAATTTAAGTTAAAAACTTTATTTTCAAGTACACTTGGTGGTGATAAGTGGTTTATCCTGGGTAGAGTTTTGCAAAGCTGCGCCAACCTAAAAAAGGAACAATGCTTCTGCTTCCACTGAACAGGTTTCTTCTCCCCATGGTGACTGCAATGTAATTTAAATTTACATTTTAGATGCTGGTTGGGCTATGAAAAAGAGGGACCTGGGAACAGCTGGTGTTCAGATCATTGTTACTCCGGATTAACTGTGAATTGATGCTTCCTGAACCTGACCTTCACAACATCAGAGAAGAAGTAATTTGTTATTTTTATCCAGCTAGTCTCCATTCACCTCTTCTATTTGTTTTCTCTATTTGATGGCACCCCCCCCCCTTTCATATGTTCATTATGGTCCCCTGAGATGTGCAAAATATATATAATGGAATACAAATTATTTAACAGAAGTTGTGGAATTCACAGCACAGCTCTTTTAATTAAAGTGGAGTTTGGGCTCGACATGGTAGCATGCGAGTGAAGGCAGAGCCCGAAGTGCTTCAAGCTTGGCAGTCCACATTGCTTGTGTGTCTTCTGTTACTGAAAACTTAGACTTCAAATCAGATTTCCAAAAGAGTAAATAGCTCTTTCAATTACGTTCACCCATTGGCTCTTCGCCAGAGAACTTTTAACAGGAATGGGTGGAGGGCGGGGGTGGGCACAAGAATTTTTAAACTTCCGTTCATTCCTAACAAAATCGAGTGCGCTTTCGTGGGGAAGAGAGGAGAAGACAGGATTACATCTGAAAGCCAAACAGCGGCGTAAGAGAAAGCCATGGCGATGGAAAGTCATGAGTCCACAGAGGCAATCACTGACACACACAGCACGCCATGCCCTAATGTTGAAGGAAGTGTTCAACTTTGCTCTTCTGAACGATACACTTTAACACACGGCTGCCATTTCATCAAATTTATGGAGGTAGTTATATGTAAAAATAAAAATTACCATAAAGTAATATGTTGTATCATAATAATACATAAGTGTGCAAAATGCCGACAGATGTGTTGACCCTTTCACAGAGATTCAACCAGATTCAGTTTTGTAAACCTTTCAGCTGCTAAACCCTAAGACTGGATAAGCAGTCGTGTAACACAAAGCTATGATTTTACAGGAGGAAAGGGATACTGGCAACGCCTGGCGAGGCCCCCACTGTTCCGGGACCGAGAGCCTCACCGTGACCTCGAATGACATTTGCAATGTGCTGCCGGCTGCCACTCCTCCCCCATTCAAGAATCTCGATCAGATTCAGGCAGGAATATTTTTATATGCAACATCTGCTTACATGGTATCACCTTTAAAGTCCATCATTTCTACACTAATGGCTGCTGGTCTAAGGGAGTTTTTAAAAAATTATGTACCCCATAGCATCAGGCAAATAGTGTACATATTTATTTGAATAATGTCTTCTGTAAACCTATATCTTGTGAAATATCAATAAATTCCTATTTTAAAGCTTCTCTTAAAGGTAACGCTTTCCTTTCCTGTTCACACAGTATTCGATTATTTCAATGGCTACTTTCAGAGGATCAGCTAGAGGCTGATGTGTTGTTTCAATGGTTATATTATTTATGAACTGAGAGTAGAAGAAAAATTTGAGAGCAGGTTTTTGGAAAAAATGAATTTAGACAAATATTTAGTAACTGTATGATATATAACTCCCCAAGGGAACCAACTATGTAGTCTATTAGATACATGATCATTCCTTCTGGACATATTTAAGCAATGAGACAAACAATGCGTTGAGGCATGCCTTGGAGGAAATAAGGCATGAGACTGAAAGCCAACTGGCTTAAGCATTTCAATGGTATGGGAGTTTACTAAGAAACATGCTGAAGTTTCACTATAATAAGCAGAAAAAAGGAATTTACACCAAACTCAAGGAGTTCAGTTTGACCCAATGCAACTTCCAAATAACTGAAAAACTATGAGGGAGCATTTAAAGGTTTCAAGAATGAGTCCAACTGTGTATAGGACTGGATTCTTTAAACAGATTGCTAGTGATTAAACCTCATACAAAAACAGATGCGTCTCACAAATCATATGCCAATTACTGAAATTGGAGGTGAAAATATTCTAGATTTATTTTGGGATATATATATTTTATGGTGTATGGCTCCCAACAGCACATGCCACTGAACTAAATAAAACTTTATGTCAGAACACTTACTTGTGTCATATGTAACCCTTTTGCAAATAATATTCCATTACTACAGATCTGTCCCACTGTTCTCAGAAAATAAAACATGGGAACGTTGGAATGTCTCCTTGCTATAAGATGAAATTATTGGTCATCCCTTTGCTGCTGGGTCTTCTTTGTGTTCAACATGACATTGTAAACCAAAGCAAAATGTTAACAAACCATTTGGAAATAAGTTGGTCTAATTAACTACACATCCAGCTAAAAACGCCTCCTGAAATTGGTTACAAAGTATCTGTAAACATTACTCTGGCATAGTTCATGTATGCATAATTGTTATTCTGATAAATTTTAGGGGAGTACAAATTCGGATTATACCGCACTAGCAGAATGAGCACATTCTGTTGTTTATTACATGGGCACATGTATATTTCTAATCAAAAATTATTTTAAAAGTTTTCTCTATACATATCTTCCCAGGAATAAAAGGCCTGAAGTTCAACACTCCCTAAATTTGCTCTTTCCTACAACCACTAAAAATTATCTCCCACAGCCTAATTTAGGCATTCTATTTAAAACTACATAAAATAGATTTATGTCCTTCCATTAGAAAGAATAACATCCTCAGGCCCTACTCTTCATTTGTATCACAAAGAACATTTTGCTTTTAAACAAACTAATTATTGTATCTATTAGAGTAAGATAGGGTCATCCTAAGTATCACAAGGAGGAAATTCTCTTCCTTCAATATTTGAGTAACACCTTTTACAAGTCCACATCACCTTTTCAATCACCTAATGCTGTGCCCCAGCCAGACTGGAAATTGCTTTCCTTTGTCCACTTCAGATTCAAAGGCCTATATTCCTGTTTGTGATCACGGAAGGTTAAAAAAATCAGACAAGCATCTGTGACACTTCAAAACAAAACCCTGAAAACATTCACTCCCAGTGATCTCCATTGCGACCCCTTCTCACACACTTCCATGGGCTCCTGCAAAATAGTGTCACGAAAACTCACAGTGAAAAATGACTGGTGCATAAACAATTCACACACAAAGGGCCGGGGTCCCTTCTAGTTAGTTTGGCATCTATTTCCCTCAAGGTGGACCCTTGCATTTGAC
This sequence comes from Homo sapiens, assembly GCF_000001405.40. NCBI lineage: Eukaryota > Metazoa > Chordata > Mammalia > Primates > Hominidae > Homo > Homo sapiens. The sequence goes on along the minus strand of NC_000004.12, from coordinate 184,017,764 downwards.
ATTTCGTGGTAGCTTAGTTTTGTTTTTTGTTTTTTTTTTTTAAATTTTTTTTGTTTTGTTTTGTTTTTTTTTTTTTGGAAGTGTCAAGGATCAGTTCTGTGGCACCGTTTAACCACAGACTGGGAGCAACACGCATCTGTGGCATTTTAAAATGGAATTGGCAACTGCATGACATTGAAAATGCGTATTACACTTACAGTGTCTAGACTTTCCTATGTGTGCTCAGATACAATTAGTGAAGCAAAAGTATACATATCACCCCTACTGTTACTCAGTTGCTACAGAGCCATAAATGTGAAAAGCAATACTCTGAAATAAAGATTTTTTGTTTTTTTGCCCTAGCCCTACTTAGCAGCACAGTTTAAGTAAACACAAAAACTGTGGTTGAGATGCTTGTCTTTCCAAAGATGTAAACATCAGTCCCAGTGTCGTAAACTTTGCTGTATCGAATGAGACAGAAGATCTGAGGCAGAAGGACAATCACACGCTAGTAACAGAAGCTTGCAAGCAGTTGGAAGGTTTCTGTAGCTTCTCAGCTTCATTTGTCGGGGGCTCCGCGCTCGCTCGGAAGTTGAAGGCTGGACCAGCTCCACCATGGGCCGGGCTCAAAGCGGGGTTCTGACGACGGTTACTTTCAACAATGCTTGATGTGTTGGAAGCCAGGCTCTCCCGAGTACTAAAAGAGCAAAAAGGGTTTGTTTTGTTTTGTTTGGAACATAAATAATTATAAATTGAGCCCCAGAGGAAGAGCAAATGATGTCGTTAATGGATTTCCTCTGTTGGTTCATAATGTCATATCAATATACATCTCGACTGATTATTCACATCTGCCTCTCCACCACTGGCTCCAGAAGCTTCCACAGACATGTAATAATCAGCAGCACACTCAGTGAATAAAGGGTTTTTAAATAGCTAAATGCACTTTGAAATGTCTTCTCCTTTTTTTCACACTCAACGAAACGACTTCAAAATTTGAGGTGATAGCTAGCTATCACAGTGGTTTTTAAAACAGATACTCATAAATACACCTAAGTCATGATTTCATTTCAGGCTGGAAATTCACTGGCATAGCCGCTCCTGAACACACTCGATAATTTTATCCTAATGATTCCATTTTCATTCTGGATTAGCAGATTTCGACTGTGGGGGACTTGAGCATGCCCTTTTTTGGGGGACCCTGGGCATTTGCCGCAAAGATGGGAATAAAATTCACTTTAAACGTTTTATTCCACTGTTTCAAAATTTAACACTTTAGTTAAAATACATTATATTTTCGATAAAGGAACTTCGATTTTTTTTTCCCATTCATTTGTTAAGTTTCCACTCATTTCTGCCCCACTTCGGCAGGATTGTTTTTGTTTGGATTTTTTGTTTTTGTTTTTGTTTTGTTTTGTTTTGTTTTTGGAGTCAAGGTCTTGCTCTGTCCCCCAGGCTGGAGTGCAGTGGTGTGATCTCAGCTCACTGCAACCTCTGCCTCCCAGGCTGAAGCAATCCTCCTACCTCAGTCTCCCGAGTAGCTGGGACCACAGACATGTGCCACCACACCCGGCTAATTTTCGTGTTTTTAGTAGAGACTGGGTTTCCCCATGCTGCCCAGGCTGGTCTCGAACTCCTGAGTGCAAGCAATCCGCCCGCCTTGGCCTCCCAAAATGCTGGGATTATACGTGAAGTATTTTCTTTTTAAAATAATTCGTATAGAATACAGGTGATTTAAAAGCTGTATTATTTTGCTCTCTCTTTTACTTTTTCTAAGTTAGAAACACTTGAATCTATTTCATTGCTTTAAGATATTTAGAACATTTAAGATTTCAAATGTATAGGGCAATGGCAGAAATAAGATGACTGGGCCAGATTGAGAAGAACTGAGTAGCTTTCCTGTGCCAGGGCCTCAATGTGGCTACAAGAAATGTATCAGCTACAGAGATTGAGGAAGCCAGAAGCATTCTCAAAACATCCACTGCATGAGGCAGAGTCAACATTTAGGAAATAGTCTCTGAGAGTTGGTCCCCACAACTGACTTAAGCCTGCTAGAGCTAGTTAACAAGTCAAACTACTACAGCGAAGACATCCTCTCCTCTCTTTCATTCCCATCCTCGGCTGATAGCATCTTTGAATCCTGTACTCTGACAGCCCTTTCCAACAGGTTATTTAAGCCTAACTCCTTGTGGCTTTGAGTTTGCTTCTCACCAAGAAGCCAAGAGTTAATTGTTTAAAAGGCAGTTTGTTCACTGACAACCAAAAAAACAAACAAACAAACAAACAAACCCTCGGACTTTCTTGAATGTCGAGGGTACCTCCAGAAAGGTAATCCATTTATAGGGAGAAGTCAAGTTTTTCATTATGCTTATGGTAAATCTGAGCATACCTAAAAGACACTCCAAAATGTCATCACTAAAAGGGAAAGTGTGAGACTTGCCTACATGACGTCTCCCCCAGGAAAACTCACCAGTGGCTTTGCCAGAGCTACCACTGAGGCATGGAGCAGGTGGAGGAAGAGGAGGGTCAGGAAAGATGCAAAACCCCAAAGATTTCAAGACACATTCCTTTGGTTTTGTTCTTAATCACTAAAGTAACTTTTTACAGTATCTGACTTCCTCATCTCTAAAATATAGAGAGTTATGATGGGATGTACCTACTCCTAGGGTGACTGTGAAGAAGAAGTAAGCATCAAGGAAGAATCTGTACACTAATAAGGTAGAAAATGTGGATTATTTCATTGTATACCTAGCATATAATGAAATAAATAGTGACTGTGGGTTCGCTTCAGAATCCATGTATTACGAATGACGTATTTTCTATGGGAAAATACATTTTAAGGTCCAAAGGATTCACTCTTAAACCAGCTTTCAAGGGGTGGGCTCAACATTTATTATGTGCCTGCTGTATACCAGGCACCGTAAACACATATTGCAATACATGATCTGAGCTGGGGTCTGTCTCTACTGTAAGATCCCTTCGCCCACCTTCAATCACAGCCAACATATTAATAGTGGTAAATATGTAATATATGTAATAGTGGTAAATTGTGGTAAAGAATGTATTTCATTATTGTTGCAATAATGATTACAGTCTGTGACATTCAAGCTGCGGGCTCCGGATGTGCTGATGAAAAAGTTAAAGGAGATAGAATGTTAGCAGTAAAAATATTCCTCAAATTTAAAAGTTGGTTTTTTGTTTTTTGTTTTTTTTTTTTAAAGAGAGCTAATGGAGTACAACCTGAAAAACAGGATTTCAGGATTTTATAGGCAGGAGAAATGGACCAAGCGGTTCTGTTGTTCATCCTTCTGTACACATGTCTTCCCCTGGCCCCAGGCGTCTACAGCACACGTTCTTGCAATACATTAAGCAGATATACCCCTGGCAGCCTTTGGTCTCTGATTTTCATATTGTGTTTATCAACCAGCTTTAGGCCTCATATTTGAAATCACAGGCTTCTCACGTCAAGACTTTTCATTTTCAATATTAGATCTCATAGCATAGTTCAAGTTTCTACCCTTTTTCCTTCTACATACCCTTTAATTCCCAACAAAAGGGACTGAAGAATTTTGGAAATGTGGCTGAACATGACTTCTAAGCCAGCACTGAAACCCTGGAGTGTGGAGAAAAGTCACTTTTTGGGGTCTTTTTCTGTTTTTTTTTTTTTTTTTTTTTTTTGGTTGGGGCTTAGCTGCTCGGTGAATTATTTACTGAAAGATTTTAATAAATGGCCTGCTTAAGATTTTCATGTCAGGGCTGGGCATGGTGGCTCATGCCTATAAGTCTAGCACTTTGGGAGGCCAAGGCAGAAGGATCTACAAAAATTTTTTTAAAAATTACCAGGTGTGGTTTCACACACCTGTAGTCCCAGCTACTCAGAAGGCTGAAGTGGGAGGATTGCTTGAGCCCAGGAGTTCCAGGCGGCAGTGAGCTACAATCACCACTGCACTCCAGCCTGGGCAACAGAGTGAGACTCTATCTCTAAAAAAAATTTAAAACGATTCCCATGTCTCGCAGCAATGGTAATGTAGGCGCATGATAATGCTATCTGGCTAAAATACTCCCCAGACTGCAGAGCAAAGTTTCTAGTAGTCAAATACTTTCCTTTGCAGAACATTACTCCTGGATCAGCGAGACAACTCAGTGACTTTATTAAGGTGTGTAGAAAATAGTTTGTCACCTAGCTTCTAATCGAAGGGTAGTAAATATGAAAGGGGTAAAATTAGCAATTGTTCTGTAGATTCTCTAACTGTATAACATGTATAGGTGATACACGTTTTCATGTAGAGAAAATTCTACTTAATATTAGTGGGGAGACATGCGGCTATTGTGTGAAGGTTGTCTCTTTAGAACAGTCTTTACCTTCTGCCATGACAAAACACTTAACTTTAAGCACATAATGAAACAACTGAAAATCAACTTACTTCAAGAAATAATCCCAGTCATAAATTCTATATTCTGCACCCCAAGTTTAGAGATAGTAAAATATATTCTGTAGAGATACTGGTTCAACCATTTCATGAATATCTCTGTTTACCTTCAAACAAACAAAAAACTTTCAATATTATGCAGTGGAAGGTTTTCTAGTTAGAACTCATTAAACTACTCCCAATGTCTCCTTAGCAACTATCTCTTTAGTACGGCAGCTTCCTGTCTGTGGAAGCCCAGGGGCCCAGAGGGAAAGGAGAAAGGTTTAAAACGAGCATGTGAAAAGCAGGTAGGAGGCAGAGGCTACATAATGAGAAACAGTAGAACAGAAAGACACAGGCAAATACACCACACCTACCACCAAAAATTGTTCTCAACTTCTACCACGGATTACAGACCTTCTGTTTTGCTAATCTGGTATCCACTACCGGGAACTCAAGAGGAAAAAAGAGTAGAACAGGAAAATGAAGAAAAAAAAGGATAGTTAAAATAAATCAGAAAATAATATCTGATTTGAGATAAAAAATTATTTAGCAAAAATGATTTCTTAGAAAAGCCACTTAGTAGACTAGTGGTTTTCAGGCTGAGGCCCATGGCTCCCTGAGGTGTCAGAGGCTCCTCGAGGGATGGGGAGAGGGACTGGGGCCCATAGTCTCCACTGTCACCACGGCCATCTCTCAGCTCTGTGCAGACATTTAGACTTCCACACACGTGTTAACTTGGAAGAAAGGCTCCAAGACCAAAATAATAATGATGATAATAATAATAATAATGAACCAGCCCTTTAATAAATCACAAAGGCCTAATATGGGACAAAGCAATTAATGATTCCCAGTTCCAGCTGTGTGATGCTCACTTCCAAAATTATCCAGGGATATAGTGAAAAGATCACAACGGAATTAATTTTAATTCTTAATAATTAAATATATGAAGTACATAATCCTATCTGAATCCATGTTAAAATTATAAGTATTATAAAATCTTGGGAATCATAGCTGATGAGAAATGTCAATCTCTCAGTAGTATTTCTGCATCTCAGAGTCACCAATCTGGAGTAGAAGTTAGAAAGAGAATTAGGTCCCATGTTGCTCTTTGAGGAGAAGAAAGAGTTAAGAAGAAAAAAGGAAGTTGCACAGACTCTTGTTTGCTTTCTGAATCCCTGAATAACTCTAGAGCTTTGGCCATGACCACTGGGCACCACTAACTCTTGACTGTCAACCCTTTGCTGAACTAACACCTATTAACAAGAAGGAACTACAATTAGACTGCCCAAATGGGCTCCGTCATTTCTGCAGGAGGAGAAATAAACATGGCACATGCTTTGATCTAACAGAGCACAGGCCCCTGCCCTCGCTGTGAGGGAAGAAATATTCCATTTCTTGGCAGTGAAAGGAAGGTGTGTGAGCCAGAGGGACAGGCTGCACAGAATAGTGGGATCCAAATGGCAACAAGCTTCTAGATCCATTGGAGAGGTTTTGAGATCTGCTATTATATTTTCACTACAGGGACCCCTATCTTAGCATCAATCAGTTTACTCCCAACCCCTATCTTCCTCCCCCGCCCCCAGACTATTTATTCTACTCAAAAAGTTACTATTTTTGAAGGACTTAAAAAACATCCTTCTCTTAGCATGGGTGGCAATATGAACGTAGCAGAAAAAATACTGGAAATATTGGTTTTAGTTAGATCAGACTGATGCAAGTTTGAGGGGAGGAGCCAACCCACCAGTCCAGATTGGTGATCTCTACAGGTGCAGAAACATTTTTTTCAATTCCTGAAAAAGAAGTCAGAAACAGATTGTTAACAATACAACTCATACAACTCTTAACCCTCATCCATAGAACTGAGACTACGAAATCAGAAACTTGTCAAGTTACGTGCATAAAGCCCCAGGCCCCGCTAGGCGCATGTGTGTGCACAGAGACACCTCTCCCTACCGTGGGGAGTTGAATCCACTGTCCACTGTGATGCTGCTGCTGTCCATGCTGTCGAGCCGGGCTGAATGGGTGGCTCTCTGGTTGCTGCTGCTGTCGGTTTCTTTTGGAGCAAGAAGGGTGAGGTTCTTTTCAAATTTCCTCTGCAAGTCTCTTTCCTTCTCCCGCTCGAGGAGCCACTGCATGGTGCCTACGTCCTCTCTATTTTTCTCCTCCTCTGTGTTCTTGTTTGCCCCTTCCTCAGAGTCGTCATCATCAGAGACGTTGTAATAGTCAAAAGAGGCTTCCTGGTTCCCTCCTGACTCCTGCTGACGCTGGGAAGCAGGCATGGCTTGTGCCGCCGAGGTCCCCAGGGACGGTTCCAGTTTCTCACATCGGCCTGGCAATGTGTCAGCAGGTGTCTTCGGGTGAGATTTGAGGAGGGACAGGCTCGACTTGTGATAGCTGTTTACAGACAAGGTGCTGTGAAGAGGTTTGAACAGTGTGTCTTTGCTAAATATCTCTTTCCTCTTGTCCAAGCTGCTGGGCTCGGCACCATGGTGCTGGACGAGGCGTCCGTTGGCGATCCCTTCAGCCACTCCTCCCGAAGCAGCGGGGCCCCCACCCGGCCCTTTTGGTGACTCCTCCTTGTGCCCCACAGGCTCCCTGGAGGAGTGGGGGACCTGCCTATCAGAAGGGGAGAGCTTTTTCACCCCTTCTGCCAAAGTCAGAGTGTCATGGTCCTCCTTATTCTTTCCCAGAGGTGATGGTGCCGTGAGCACCGTCTCACTAGAGGTGTTGCACTGGAAATAGTCATCTGTGGCTGTTTTTGTTGGACAAGAGTTGAGTTCGCCATAGGATGGCAAACTCTCGGGTGGTTTTCCTGGCTCCAAAAGGCTGCAAGCGCTGGACGGTTCCTTGCTGCCACTGACTATCTCTGGAATACACACCTCTTTATAGCTTGTGGACGAAATGTGAGCCCTTTGGAGACTAACGGTCTGTGCAGGCCTTAAAGTACTGTCGTCAATGTAGGATTGGCTGGGGGTCTGGTCGTCTTGGCTGCAGCCTTCAGCAAGGTCTTCCGGCGTCCCTAGAGAAGAAGCACCCAGAGGGCCTTTGGAGTTATCCATCGACCTGGATCTCTCCTTGGCTTTGTTGGATCTCTCATTCCTGGACCTCCGGTCCTGTGTATGGCTGTGGCTTCGGTGCACTTTTGAGTGGGAGCTTCCCCTAGAAGGTTCAGGAAAAGGCATCTCAGTTCTCCTTTTAGCCAATTCACCAGACACATCCCATTCTGGTGTCATGGGGAAGTGGGACTCGAGCACGTTTGTGTTGCTGTGCATGATGAAGTTATCTCCTTTGTGTTCAATGATGAAGCAGCCCTCCCTGGGCACCCTGGTAAGAGGATCACAAAAGTCATACTCTCTTTCAGCTGGGATATCCAGATGTGAACCGTCGGAAGGGTCTCCTTTAGACACCCGTGTCTTGCTGTGAGACCGAGACTTTCCATGGGACTTCCGATGAGTCCTACTCTTTTTACTCCTTCCGCTGTGATGGGCAGAGGACCCGGCTTTACTCCTCTGGGCCTTTTCTTCTTCCAGTTTCTTCATGAGCGCGGTGTGCCGCATGACATTTTCCACGGTCAGGTCTGGGTTAATGCGCCTAATGATTTCCATCTCTACTTCCCGAGGGATCGTAGCTGGCGTGTCCTCGTCTCGCAGGGGCCACTCTTCAGGAGGAAACTGGGCAGAAAAATTGGCCAGCTGTTTGGTCTTGTCTTTTTTAAAACTTAACCGGAATAACTTTAGCCCGAATTTTTTTGACTGCTTTTCACTATCTTTAGGTTTTGAGAGAGTTTCTGTCTTATAGGAAAAATTTACAGTACTTTTGCTCTTTTCAGTGGGTGGCACCTGGCACAGAGAAGGGGGACAGTAAGGGTCTTTGCAGTCCTTGGCAGACTTCCTTTGCAGGGTGGGTGCATGCGTGCTGTGCACGTCTTCTCTGCAGCAGTGGCAAGAGTCGCAGTGGTTTCGGGGCAATGTCCTTTCCCTGACACAGCCTGAGGCAGAGGGCGTGATGGTCCCGGGTTGCGGAGAGGTGCACTGAGACCGGTCAGGTATCCTCTCGTCCAAATGGTACCATTTACTGTTAGTTCTTATGAGGGAAGGAGTTATGAAATAAGTCTGTGGGGTCACGATGAAGTAGCCATCTGGAGTTGGGTAGATCTTCCTCTCCCGTACCAGCGTGTTCAGCGTGTGCCGCAGAATTTCTTGGCTTGGCGTTGGAACACCTGAAAAAAAAAAAAAAAAAACCACTTGTGAGAATGAAGACAGAACATGTGGATTCCTGATTTCCAGGATCCTATTCATTCGCCAAGATGCGAAGTACCATCACAGAGCTAGGATGCACAATTCAGACAAAGGTGTTCATTAAGTTCAGTGCAAATCCTCGCCTTCTTGGGTAACTCCTACATTACTACCCACAGAATGAGCAGATATAAAAGCTGGGAAGACAGAGATGGAAGTTAGGTGGAGTCAGGTTGCTACTGTTGTTACCTGTTGTTTCCTGTTTCCTGAACGAAACAGGAAAGACAGAATATTTTTAAATGAGAGAAAAATGAAAAATGTTTCCCATGATATGATATGAAAGTATAGAAAAGGCTTTTTCAATAAAAGCAACTAGAGAAGCAGAGTGAAAATATCTACCTTGATATTAAAAAACATATCTAACATATATGGAGGCTACCACAGAAGAGTTACTGTGTGTGCTCATTGTTAAAGATTTTACTTAATAAACTTAATTTTGTGAATGATATAAAAGGGCAACTAGACTTGACTACTGTTTATGATGTATCCTCTAATTTTGGAGTCATTGCCTTCCATTTGGAAACTGACTGCAGCCCGGGTAAAATTCATGTAAGAATGTTCTCCTTTTTGGCGTCAGTCAGTAAGAAGAAGGTGGTTTTTCTAATTTCTAACCAAAGAGCCCTAATAAATACATGAGTGAAGGCTTTGACACTCTGTGTCTTTTTGTCCAAAATTCCCATATTGGCTAGAATAGACACACCAGATGAAAATGATGAAAGCTTCTTTGTATGATTGATAATTGTTTTCAAAGGGTTTTTGTGCATGTTTATGCCTCGTCTACCTTAAGAGACAGAATTAAGAGCATAAATTCTTAAGAGAGTTTAAGTTCCCCAGGCTCCAGCCCATTTACTTCATTTCTTGGGTATTCTCCATTTCTCAATGCCAGGCACATAAAGGGTGGTAATACTTAGAAGACTGACCTGAAATCGGTCAGCTTGAGTCATGTGAAACTGCCCATATTTAACCATCTGACTCACAAAAATGGCAGTTGCATGTGGTTCAACCAAACACGAATAAGGCAGTGTAAGGTGGAGACTAAAAGGCTGGGGCCGGGCTGCTGGATTGAAACCCTGCCCTGTCATTGTTAGCTGGTGTCACTGGTTGAATTATGCACTCCCCACCCCAATTTATATCCTGAAATCCTAACTCCTAATACTCTTTTAAATATGACTCTATTTGGAGAAAGGGTCTTAAAGTCAGGTCAAAATGAGGTCGTTAGAGCGGTCTCTAATCGAATACGACTGATGTCCTTCTGAAAAGGGGAAAGCTGGAGACAGAAAGGCACAGAGGGAAGACAGTGTGAGGAGACACACAGAAGGTGGCCATCCGTAAGCCGAGGACAGGGCCCTCACAGCTCTCAGAAGGACAACCAATCCTGCTGAGATTGTGATTCTGGACTTCTGGCCTCCAGAACTGTAGGACAATACATGTTGGTTGGTTGAGCCATCTGCACTTTGTTACAGCAGTCCTAGCAAATGAAGACAGCTGGTACCACCTTAGGCAGCTCAGCCTCTCTGAGCCTCCATTCACTGTCATCAAAAGGTAGATAACAATAGTACCTGTAGCCACAGGGCTGAGGTGAAAGGAGTTTCGTGTGTGGAGCAGTGCCTGGCACACAGAGAGTGCTCAATAAACATTAGCTGGGAGTTAGTCTCCACTTTGGGTCGGGACCCACGGAAAACCAGATTGCCTTCAAACAACAATGTGCACCAACCTAGAACACCTGGGTCAGCTGAGATGCTTCAACTCCCCAAGTCCTTCCAAAGTAGGAAATAAAGGTATTAGAAATGGCCTGGGATTCTCAAGGGGAGAAAATCCGTGAATGCGCGGTAACATACACACCCATTTGTGTTACCATCTTCAGAAGGTATCTTTAGTGACCAAGGCGGAAAAGGTAGCATTGTTCATAGATAATGTATCAATATAATTATTTAATTTTTGAGTCGCATGGTTTCCTTTTAGTCTAATACTTTACTTCTGGCAAGTGAGCATTAGTTTTTATACAAATGATTTTAAGACCAATAATAACAAAATTTTTTTTTTGTTTTGTTTTTTTTTTTTTTTTTGAGACAGAGTCTCGCTCTGTCGCCCAGGCTGGAGTGCAGTGGCGGGATCTCGGCTCACTGCAAGCTCCGCCTCCTGGGTTCACGCCATTCTCCTGCCTCAGCCTCCCAAGTAGCTGGGACTACAGGCGCCCGCCACTACGCCCAGCTAATTTTTTGTATTTTTAGTAGAGACGGGGTTTCACCGTTTTAGCCGGGATGGTTTCGATCTGCTGACCTCGTGATCCGCCCGCCTCGGCCTCCCAAAGTGCTGGTGTTTTTTAATTTTATAATACTTTCTGTACAAAATAGAAATGAATTTTTTTCTTTTTTCCTTTTTTTTTTTTTTTTTTTGAGACAGGGTCTCACCCTTGCGCAGGCTGGAGTGCAGTGACAAGATCTCAGCTCACTGCAGCCTCAACTTCCCCAGGCTCAGGTGATCCTCCCACCTCAGTTTTTCGAGTAGCTGGGACTAATTTTTATATTTTTTGTAGAGATGGGGTTTCTCCATGTTGCCCCCCAGGTTGGTCTCGAACTCCTGGGCTCAAGTGATCTTCCCGCCCCTGCTTCCCAAAGTGCCTTCCACTGAATAACTTCAGGGGACACCACTGACACGGAATATACCTTCTGAGATGAGGGCACACCTCTGCACCGCAGTCTCAGGAATGATGCCCACTGTCATTGTTTGGCACAGCAATCAAGATAACAAGCCCATGTTTAAAGCCGACCACATCTTAAATGGTAGCATACTTTTAGTCAACAATGTGACAAACTTTTTCAAACACTCGTAAGGTTCATTTATAAGTATTCATGATTGACCAGTTTACCATGGCTCCTAATAAGGGAAAGCTGATGTATACGTCATAAAAATAGCTATTACTATAAAGCAAAAGTTTAATTTTATTATAGAATTTGCTGACTGTAGGCCTTCCAAATGATGATCTTAGGAAACTCATAAAGCTATTAATGTATAGAATTATGACTACAATGCAAACATCTTTACTTACCATTAAAAACAAGTTCTCTAGTAGTTCTCAAATGAAGGAATAAAAAGAAAAATAGAGAAAAATTTTTCTATTTCCATAGAGTATTTGTGCTTAAATTTTTTTATGTCTTGGGTTTCCAGGTATATCCATCAAATAATGTTTAATTTGATAATGCAAACTAGAAACATTCTTTGCCCCCTGTCCAAGCCATTTTCCATGCTGTGACCTGAGAGTTTTCAGACTTAACTGAAAGTTGCTTATGTTTATGATTATCATTGTATTATGAAGCCCTAATATACTGACTGATTGTGAAATTCAGGGTTCTGCCAGAAATCTGTAGGGTTGACCTGAGAAAGTGATGGTTGTGATGGATGTTTAACGTTTGCATATTCCACTACTTCCAAATTCGACTCCGAAAGTTCATCATGAGTTCAGATTGTGAGGGCTTAAAGAACAAAAATAAACTTTACATCCTAACAGGCCTGAACCTGATCTCTTCCACACCTTTACATTTTTCAAAGCAAAAATAACTATTTTAAAACACTGCATGACACTGTGGTCTACTTATACCTATGAATTTTTTTTTTTTTTTTTTTGAGATATCGTCTCACTCTGTCACCCAAGCTGGAGTGCAGTGGCACAATCTTGGCTCACTGAAACCTCCACCTCCGGGTTCAAGTGATTATTGTACCTCAGCCACCGAGTAGCTGGGATTACAGGTGCGTGCCACACGCCCAGCTAATTTTTGTATTTTTTAGTAGAGACAAGGTTTCGTCATGTTGGCCACATTGGTCTCAAACTCCTGGCCTCAAGTGATCCGCCCACCTCGGCCTCCCAAATTGCTGGGATTATAGGTGTGAGCCACCACAATCAGCCTCTATGTATTGCTTTAGTCCTGCAAATCTGACAAACTGTCAGAACAGTGAGCACATGGACCTGTTCTGTATGTTAAGCACTTTCAAGTGAAACGCTTTAATGAGCATCTTTAGATTATTCTTGTTTGTGAAGAACGCTGGCTGAAGAAGAATTCAGTAAGAGCCAACATAAGGAGACGAATGGGAGACAGAACACAGTGTATCTATTAACATTCTCCAGGAATCTCTAAAGTCAAGTTCAGCTCCATACCTGGACTTATAGGGTCTAGCTCTATGTCCCTGAAGACCAGTCTTCCTCCCAGAAAGATTCAGTTGTAACAGCTTAACAGGTACCAGACCACCAATTTAAATGATCATTCTGGATGAATGGATGCATAGTTATTTAGAAATACAAGAAGCAAGTATTATTCTTTATAAACCTTTTAAAAATATTCTTGATTCTGTAATGGAAATTGATAGATAAAAGTTGTTGAGTTGGTTTTCAAAAATTCAGCCAACTTGTTTTTCTCACTTTTATAGAAAAGTGATAAAAAGGTTTAAGTTTTGATGTATCGGAATTTTTTTTTTGTTTTTGTTTTTGAAACGGAGTCTCGCTCTGTCGCCCAGGCTGGAGTGCAGTGGCGTGATCTCAGCTCACTGCAAGCTCGGCCTCCCGGGTTCACGCCATTCTCCTGCCTCAGCCTCCCGAGTAGCTGGGACTACAGGCGCCCGCCACCAAGCCCGGCTAATTTTTTTGTATTTTTAGTAGAGACGGGGTTTCACCGTGTTAACCAGGATGGTCTCGATCTCTTGACGTCGTGATCCGCCCGCCTCGGCCTCCCAAAGTGCTGGGATTACAGGCATGAGCCACTGCGCCTGACCCAGAAATTTTTGCTGGAAGACTATTCACTAAAAACTTTCTTTAGAATATGGATGCCCAAAACAAGAAAAGAAGCCAAATTCTAGACTACACTTTTGATTTATAAAATATACATTAAATATGAGATCCAAATATTTTAATAATACTTAGGCTCAAAAACTTTATTTTTGAATAGTAAGATATAAAAGAACTAAATACTTTATTCTTACCTTTAAAAACAAAAAATATAAATATGATCTTTAAATCCCTTCAGAGTTTTAGCATTGTCATTAAAAATACAATTTTCAAGTAGAATTTAAAGGGTTAGATTTTCTAAAATATTTTCTTCTGCTGTAGCTTAACTGATAGTAAAAGACAGACAAAAAAAAAAATCAAAGGAAGGAAGGGAAGGAAAGGAGAAAGGTAGCTAAGAAGAAAGGAAAGAAGGCAGGCAGGCAGGAAACAAACTTTCATTTTTTATGAAATACCAGTTTAAAATCTGGAGCTATTGCTGAACATAACTTTAAATAGTTACCACCATATCCTAGCCCAGGGGTCAGCAGACTTTCTCTGTAAAGAACCACATAGTAAATATTTTAGGCTTTTAGCCATATGACCTCCATTGCTACTACTCAACTCTGCCACTATCGCATAAGGAGCCAAAGACCATCCATGAGCAAATGGGCACGGCTGTGTTCCAATAAAACTTTATTTACAAAAACAGGTGGTGGGCCGCACTAGGCCTGCAGGTTAGCAAACTCCTGCGCTAGACCTGGGTTTGTATGGTGTCCTTGCAAACTTCTGAGGCTGACCAATGAGTCATCAGTGTCACACAGAAGAAAAAGCTCCTCAGTCTGTCTGAAAACCAGGGCCTTGGGATTTAAGTTCTCTTCCCATAAAAGCTAGCAAAACAGTTATTCTTTTAAGTACAAATGACCTATGGATTAATCCACAAAGCATTCCAAGTTAGTGATATTGTTATCAGCTGCTTGGCAGTGAGGAGCATTTTACTATTACACACTGGCTGTATGTTCTTTCCATTATTTATTTTAGAGCCCAAAAATGGGTGGTACGTAACCAATTTCAGAAAAGCCGTGTGATTTCTCATGAAGCTATATAAAAATAAAAGGATTTAAAAAGCTGCTGGGTTGTTCAATGTCAGAAGTGGCTACGCACTCATAGGACAGAAAGCAGGTCCTTCCTCCAAGACCACTGTGTTTGGCAACACTATCTGTCCCCACTTAGGTGGCTCTCACCTGGGATTCTGTTTCTCTCACTACTAAAAGGAAAGGCGTTTGCCTAGGACTTAACAAAAAGAGACAGGCAATCAGACAGTGAAGAATATTCAGAGATAATAAAATGCTAGAAATCTTAAAATAATTTGTATGTTGCAAGGGTGGGTTCATGTTAGAGATTTTGAACCATATACATATTATCAAAACACATTAATTAGAATATTGAAAAAGGAAGAAATATCACAAGGAGAAGGAGAAAACGTTCCTCGGGGACAAAAGGAGAAGCAGGGAGACCAATACAGTAGATAAGATCTCTCCTTAGCTTAGAATTCGTCCTCCCGTTCTCTTCCCATGTGTGGGGTGCACTTCCCCACACCTTGACTTTGAGTTTAGCAGGTTTGTGTTGGTCACTGCAGTGTTAATGGGCTGGCATGAACAAAGCTTGAAGAGCCTTCGTGCCATGGGCTTGTGCTCTGGTGCCTCTGCCATCCCGCAAGTGAAGGAGATCTCCATTTGCCCCGTTTTCTAAATCGGATGGGTACAGATGGAGCAGAACTACCCTGCTGGGCCCCACCTGGCTCAGCTGACTCCTGGGGAACCCACAGAGGCATGAATGAAATCAACTCTTGTTGCCGTAGGCCTTTGATGTTCTGTAGTTGTTTGTTACCCAGCATTTTTGTAGCAAAAGCTAACTGATACAATTAACAGCTTATATTTACTCAGATCTCTTCTAAGTTGAATGAGAAATATAGCAAACGTTCCCTTTTAATATAATCTCTATTTCAACCTAGAAACAGGCTGAGTCCACACCAAGTTGGCAAACTGGTAGCCCGATAATGTATTTCATTTGACTTGCATGTTGCTGGCACACAGACATTAAAACATATACACACACACAATTGTCAATATTTAAGGAAATGCAGAGATTTCACATAAGACCAAATTTCCAGATTGTCTTGAAACATGAGATTGGCAACTCTGGCAGGATCTCCATTTGGGGGTGGGGTGACAATACACTGGCTCTCTTGAAAGAGGGTCCTGCATTCTGCAGCTTGTCACCCTTCCTAATGCCTTCCAGCACTGAAAGCGTCAAATGCCTCTCACACAGCAGCTGGGCTGTTGCCTCCTTTTTATAACATTTAAGAGAAAAGTAAGTATTTTATTTTTTAAAATGAAATCCTAATTTATCAATATTATTTTCTTAAAACTCATCAAGCCATGATACAAATATGTAAGATATGTTAATTTTTGACATGACCCTTTCTGTAGTTTAACTCCCTAGGACTAAAGTTTTCAGCCGTTGAACCCTCACGTTCATGTATTTAAAGATTAGTTTGCAAAGACTGACTGGAGTCCTGGTCATTCTTGCCAGATTCTTCATGGATTCTGAATTAATTTCTTCCTCTCGGTGCCAATTTAAAAAGTATTACAGCTGAAGCAGTTAAGTTATTTTTTGATGTCATGCAGGTGCCTGAATTTTTAATTACAGAAGTAAGGAAAGCTTCGGGTCAGTTTTGGGGAAGAATGTTTTCCTATTCTCTTTAAACATGGGCAGAACAGTCCACGTGAGTCCTAGAGCGACCACAGCACACCGCCACCTGGAAAGTGCTACGTTCCCGCCTCGTTACCTGGGAAGCACGTGGTCAGGTGCTCCATCAGTGCTTCTTGGGTGACAGGCTTTCTTGCCGAGTTCATTGCTGAGATGGCCAAGCAGAGGATCTCCCCGAGTGGAATAAACTGAGACTGACTGATGGGAGACATACTGATGGGTGATACATCACCTGCAGAAAGACAATTTTCAAGTGAGTGGTTCATTAAAAGACCCGGTCATCTGTCAGACACACGCCTTCACGCGTCCATCTGGCCCTGGTCTGACGAACACAGTCAGCTCCGAACATAGCAGCTGCTTGCCAATTCCACTCTGAACACAGAAGCCACAGCCAATTCCACTCAGGTGGAAAGACTTCCACACGCAGTGGAAGCTCCTACTGCCTCAACAAATAAAACTTCCCTTTAACATCCGAGATCTCATTTAAATAGTCCTAGTACTGAAAGTCTTGCAACAACAGGCTTTTATTTCCGTTTTTATTAACTTGGAGCTGATTTATTTAATAACTGCCATTCATATCCCGACAAATTGCATTTGTGTAACTTGATGATTCATTCATTCACACATTGAACGCGTTTACGTGTCTGCTGGGGGAACGGGAGCTGCAGAGACAGAGTGCGCGCCTCTCCCCAAACATCTCTGCCCTCAGTTTCTATTTAAGTGGAGAAGACAGACAAGTAGATCGAACGAAGTTCGCAATGCTGCGTGGCAGGCACACAAGAGAACAGAACAACACCTGGGTGCTGAGAGTCGAGGAAGGATAACACCTCTGGGAGGCGAGGGTGGGGCTCAGAAGCAGGAATTTCCAAGGTTCCACCAAGGAAGTGTAATCTGAACCCAGTGTTCAAGAGTAGGTGTGTCCCTGCGGGGCTGGGACCTATAAGCAGATGTTTTCTGGGGCACAGAAGCGAAGGGGGACAGGTAGGTAGGGACGACCATGAATAAAGAGCTGAGTGTCCAAGCTCTGCATTCTATGAGGGGTGGTGAGCCATGGAAGGCTGAAGGCAGGTGTGGATTTCAGAAAGATGACTGTGGTGGCCGTGGGGATGATGGCTGGGAGGAGTGGGAGAAGGCAGATTACAATTCCCTCAGAGAATGTGGCCTCCTGCACACTAAAAGGGCCAGTGGAGGCAGGAGAGGCTGAAGACCCTGCATCGGAGGGGTGATGGACGGTGACTCTTGAGATGTCAACCTACAATGCAAATATCTGTCTTCATTTCTCAAGTCTTTATACCACAGTGCAGTCAGTGATTTTCAAGTGATGCTCCAAGGATCCCTAGAATTTCTTGGAATATTTCTGGGATGGAGGTGCCCCCAGTAGAAGCAGAGGCTGGGAGGGCAGGAAAGTTCGCTCCTGACACCTGGGTGCCACCTGTTTTATACCTGGGGTTCTCCAAGGTTGCATTTGAAAAGATGTCCTACACGAGGAGGATGCAAACTATCAACACAGTAGAACATAGAAGGGCTCACAGGGTCTGTTAAGTTTCTAATCTGATTTCCTAAATGTACTTCCATAATCTAGCCTTTTTTGTTTCTGAAGCATGCTTGTAATAAGCTACCATGGTTGACCAAAACCGAGACTCAGGTCGGCCTGTAGCATTAAGCAACACCCTCCCCGACAAGGTGTCTGGCTGCTCTGAGGTGGACCAACCTCCTCACTGTCAGGCACTTAAAGCCATGCCCAGCCACAGTTCCTAGTTTGCAGGAGGAGTGCAGAGTCCCTATGGGGAAAAACTTGCTGCTTTGATGGGCTAGGAGAGAAATGGTTTGCTCGATGAAATCAGGCAGCAGGGCCTGGGACAAAGATCAGCACGTACGGGGAGAGTCCAACAGGTGCCTCGGAGGAAGCAGCAGGACTCCAGTGCCCAAGGCTCAGGCCTCACCCCCTTCCCAAACCCAGCTCAGTTCAACGCCCCCCTTTCCCTGGACCACATGGGGCTCCCATCAGCTCTACTGTAGCTCCACTCTCTGCAAGATGGATATGAGGAGGATAAGACGTTGTCCCAGTGGCCAGAGGGAGACAGGAGTACCCACATCCAGAAAAGGAGGAAGGGAGAAAAATCAGCAGAAGCCAGGAACTGACCTAGCTTAGAAGCCACAAATGTCTGGGGCCTATGGGTCATAGGCATCATAAAGAGACACCCTCAGAAAAATTCTTGTAATATTTTGTGGGGCAGTAGCAGGCGAGACCGAGTGTGAACTTGGGGCCATTTTGGGGGATGTGAGTTTCATTCATTGGCTGGTGAAGCTCAGTTCGTATTGGTAACTCAAAAATGACAGAATGATAGAATGACGTGGGCTGGGACCACCTCAGTGGGTAAGTTTCCAACGGCCTAGAACAATGTATTTAAATCTTAAAGAAAAGATTTGTCATATCCTTTTTTTTCCTACAAAAAAAGCTGGGTTTTTTTGTTTGTTCATTTGTTTTTGTTTTTTTGTTTGTTTGCTTTTTTGAGACAGGGTCTGGCTCTGTGGCTCAGGCTAGAGTGAAATGGCACAATCATAGCTCACTGCAACCTTGAACTCAAGAGATCCTCCTACCTCAGGCTTCCAAATAGCTAGGACTACAGTCCGGCCACCTCTTAAAGCGCTGGAATTACAGGTGTGAGCCACCATGCCCAGCCCAAATGAAGTCTTACTCTAAAACCTAATGTGGGTTGGGCATGGTGGCTCACACCTATAATCCCAACAGTTCTAGAGGTCAAGGCAGGCAGATTGTTTTAGCCCAGGAGTTTGAGACCAGCCTGGGCAACATGATGAGACCCCATCTCTACAAAAAATACAAAAATTAGCCAGGCATGCTGGCACGCGCCTGTGGTCTCAGCTGCTTGGGAGGCTGAGCTGGGAAGATCGCTTGAGCCTGGGAGGTCAAGGCTACGGTGAGCTGAGATTGCGCCACTGCACTCCAGCCTGGGCAACAGAGCGAGACCCTGTCTCTAAATCAATAAACACATAAGAAATGTGTGAAGATTGGCTGAGTGCTGATGCAAGCTGCAGCAGAGGTGGGAGTTGGGAAGTTCACCTGTTTGACTCTGCCCTCCGTACCGCAGGCCCTACAGCTCAGGCACAGACAGTCTGAGACACCGGCCTGTAGTTCCTTCTCTCTCACTCCACCTCCACTGGATAGGACAGGGGCACTGAGGCCGGCTTTCTTACAGAGGTGCTAAGTTAGCCATATGGACCTGAAAGTCACCTGGGATGATTTTTAAAGTCAGATGAAAAGGAAGATGGGATCAGCTGGCAAAGAGGGACAGGATCAATGCAGATTCCAGAACCTCTGGACTTGGGTATCACTTGAGAAGTTAATACCTTCCAACGTGTGCCTATTATATAACTAAGAACATCTCAGAAGATGAAAGATACAAAAATACTAAATATGATCCCCAAAATGCAGGCCGGACTATTTCCAGATTTTTGTATAGGTCATAAGAGGAAACTCGAACTCTCTGTAAAAAAGAAATGACTATTAGCAAAATTAATTAACTGCTTTGGTTTAGGTCATGCTTGTCCTTATGGGTTTAGCTGAAACAATTTGTTTGGTTTCACTGCCATATTCTCAGTTAATTTCTTTTCATTCATTGCAGCCAACTCCAAGAGGCAGCATGCTTTAAGTGTGTCTGAATGGCATTTACTTTGGAAAAGCTCAGTTTCACTATAATAATGAATATGGGCAATAACTTTTAACTCAGAATGTAGAACAAAATGGAATTTGGATGTTCTAAGTAACTGTCTCCACCTCATCTCATTTTTGTGCTGCACTAAGATATATTACTTTCAACTCCTTTCCCATCCCCAATCCCATCAGCAATCCTGTCTACACCCAAATGCTTCCTGGCCTGTCCCCTGGATTCTATCCCTGGAGCTCCCTTAAACTGCCATCATCTCTCACCTGGTCCTTCATAAGAACTTGATGATGTTCAGCCTTCCCTCCTGCCTCCAACACTCCCCTCTCCACAGAGCAGGCAAGGTCCTCTTAGGAAAACAAAAAACACACCACTTCCCTGCATAAAATCCTCCAGGGACTGCCTACTGCACTTAGAAGAGAAGCTGAACTCCTTGGTAGGCCTACACGGGCCCACGTGGCCTGAGCCTGTCCACCCTATGCTAGGACCACTCCCACCTCCATCCTTACTTGCCACTCACGACCTCCTCTGTTCTTTGAACATGTCAGGCATTTCCTCAACTCAGGGCCTTTGTATTTTTTGTGCCCTTGGCCTGGGATGCTCCTTGGGTCGACCTTTCAAGACTGGCTTTTCATGCTTTAGGTCTCAATTCAAATGGCACCTCATCAGAAAGCCCTAACCTGACTGTCTGGTCTACTGCCATTCCATCACAGCCGAGTTTACTGTCTTCTCTCCCTGCATGTGTGCATGTGCGTTTGGTTCACTGGTTTACTGTCTGTCTCACCCACTTGAATGTAAGCTCCATGACAGAAGGCAACGTGAATGCCACATTCCCAGCACCTAGAATGATGCAGTGCTTACCCAACAAATATTTGTTGAATGAATGAATATCCATTTTTAACATGATAATCTAAGGAATTTCTTAGTCATCTTAAAGGACTGTAATTTTATTAATATTTTTGCTAAATAATAGCAAACAAAAAGAGAACAAATAAGTTTACCCATGCAATTTCTAAGACTCCCCCAATTAACTGCATGAGAAATAGGCCTCCAAACACAGCAGTTACTATAGAAAAATAACTTTATAACACAACTATTATATAGCAATAAGAAATTAAAAATTAATAAAAATGAGTAAATTTTTTAAAAGAATAATTATATATTAAGTGAAGTTTAGAACATGCATTTAAGATCTGTATTAAAGGAATCACAGGTATCTCTCAACACAACATAAACATTATTCAAGTTTACCATAATCTTCTGTGGATCTTATATAAACCTGCTTAACGAGCCAACTAGTCATTTTTAAGATATGCTACTAGAAAATTCTTCCAACTACCGGACCACATTTATTTATTCAAAGAAGAAAAAAGGAGAATGTAGGTACTGCTAAAATATTGTTGGTCACGATAATCTACATTATCTACAGAAACTACCATATTTTGCATGAAATGTGGATTATAATTTACTTGTCTATAATTTATAGGATGGATTTTTCCATCGTCAGAATTAGTTCAGAACACATTCATAACGACAACTCATCTTAAAGCACATTGGCACTTTGTCAGCTAAAAAATTCTTTCTAAACTGCTATAATTCTGTCCTATTGTTCTAAAAAAGGAGTAGATAGATTTTAGTTCAGCTTTATTTTCTTACAAACATCCATTTAAGTACAGTCCTCAGAGGACTTTTGTCAAATCTAGGCTATTTCAGATAAAACCAAACTCAGTGCCTTGGACAGAGGAAGCATTCCATAGATTTTTAAGCGAGCTTAAAATGTGAAAAGACATGAAAATATTACAATTGTAAGTAAACTTCTGTTTTAAGAGTATTTAACATTTAAAATGCATGAGTGAAAATGTGGACACTGCTTTCATGTGAGGTCATTGTCGGCTGACTGGCATGAAGAGAAAGAGTAGCCGGGTGGATGATGAGGGGCATGGAAGACGGACCCCCTCCAGGAGAGGCGGAACAGCCCAGCCAGCACGGGGGTGCAGCATGCTGAGCCCAGGCAGCCCGGGGAGCTGAGACTGGGGAGCTGCGGCAGGTTCAGGCTCCCCTGGGGCAGGCTGGTGGTGAGATACAGAGAAAAAAGGGGCCAGATCCTGGTTGACAAGAAGGCTTAGATCTTATTCTTGACGGTGACGAGGCACTGCCCCTGTTTTCATACAGACAAATCACATGATATGCTTGCATGAGAAAATCACTCTTGTGCAACTCTGGAGAAAGAGCTGGTGATTCCTAAAATCACTCGCACAACGGACAACAGGCAGATGTCCTGCAGACGCCAACCTGCTCTTGGATTGTCTACAGCTAGTCACCCCTACCTCAGGAAATAGCTTTATCAAGCGCATCCATTTTCACTATTTAAATCCCTCTATCTATTTTCCCCTTCCAACTTCTGGCCCATTACTTTAGTTGGAGTTATTTTAAAAAAAACTCTCTCTCACATAATTCATCCTTTCAAGAAATATCTGAATGCCTATTTTACATCAAATACCTTTAAGCACTCAAGTTCCAAAACTGTTCTTATCTCGGTTCTATTTGTGCAAAAAAAAAAAAAAAAAAAAAAAAAAAAAAAAGACTAAAATAAAGCCCTGTCCTTTATAAGTGGCATTTTCACTTTTTGCAGTCATTAATTGAGGTTCCAGGAACTTCTCAGCCTGTGCACACGCAGGAGACCAGCACCGCTCCTGGGATATGACTTTCACAACAGCTTACACCTGCTCCTTCCTGGGTGACATCCGTAGCTTTCCAAAAGATACCTGCTACAAAAGCCAACATAAAACTATGTCATTTCATCTTAAAGTACCCATCCTCATACAACTGTGTAAGAAAAGGAAAGCCAGAATTTCCCCAGGCAAACTGCATCACAGTAAACAGCCTGGAAAGTACCAGCCTCCATCCTCTATCTTAGCTTTCTTTAAATAATTTTTTTTTCAAGCACCAACATTCCATATGAATTATCCTGTTTTCCTTTTAAGGTACTGTTTTTCATTGCAAGTGTTAATGTAATCTATTCTCTGGGTTGAAGAGTTATCTTTGACATTAATGAAATTCTTGTACCAAAACAACCCACTTAAGAATGTGGTTCTGAAACTGTACTAGTTTATAATTGAGAAATTCCCAATATAAAAAAAGCATTCAAGAGATATTTTGATAAGTACCCAGTCTCTTAAAACAAAATACAATTATCCGCTCTGCGCCCGTTTCCTCATCTGTAAAATGAGAGTTTGGATGAAATGATTTCAAAGATTCCTTCAGCCTCCTAAATCCTGTGATCCTATATGAATGCAGCAGAATTCTGGCATAAAAGCATCATATGGCACGGGTGTCTAGCTCTGCTTCCATCACGCTGGGGACACTATTTTAACACTCATCTGAACTGAAAAAGTTGGGCTTTAATTTTCAAAGAAATGGCTCCATATACTGGCTAATAATTTTTTCTTCCCTTACAATAAAGGCTTCATCATTTTCTCTTTCTAAATTCAAAGTCTTGCTCAGCTTTGTTCCTCAGGACTAATGTGTGCCCCTTTTGTTCTCTGCACCGCCAAAATTAACACGCAAGTTAAAATCACGGATGCCATAAAATTACCACAAGTAGTAGATACCGTGATTCCTCATAAAAATAGTCAAACATGTCTATAAAATGCACTATGGGCATGGGGACAACACAACTCTATTCCTCTCCGCACACTCTTCAGAAAACGATTCTTTCGCCAAGTTTTATCTTAAATGCCCTTGGGCTTGGGGAAATCACCCGCTTTCTGGGGTTACAGTCAAGTGAACAACTTCTCGGATGCAGCGCCTCAGACAAATCTTGTGTTTTACAATTTAATTCAATTTATTAACCCCAATTTTATGTATTAATGCTGTTTGGCTCTTTTAACAGAAGGCCTACTACAGTATTTTTTAAAAAGCTGTTCTAAAAAAACCCACATACTTCTTTCCTATGCGCTCTCTTGAAGACCACAGCACCCATCTGGTGGGGGCAGAGCAGACGGCTCCCATTACCTCACATGCTCCTGCGTTTTAAGCAGCTTTCCTTTGAAACCAGATGACTATTCTTGACTTTCGAATGTTTGTATTTGACATTCAGAAGAAAACTGGCAATGAAAAGGCACTTTTACTAGTTTACTGTAGGTTTGTTTCAAATGCCACTGATTTCAAAAGTTGAAGGCTGAGCCCGATGGCAATAGTCAACTGAAGGAAACAGCATAAAAAAGGAATTTTAGAATATTTAGAGATTCTATAACAACTTTAAAAATGTTTCCTAATGCTTTACTTCAACACTTAATGGGTATCTTAAAGCAGGTCCAATTCCTAAGCTATTATTTGAGTAAATCATTTTAATCAAGAGAGCGTAAACAGAAGACACTCATTAATCATACTGAAATACTGGTGTCCATTAGCTATTACTTACTAAGAAACTTCTAATGGGAATAAAGTTAAACGAGAGTAACACGGTGGCCAAGGGCACCCAAAAGAATGAGTTAACATCCCCCACGTCACCCGGGCCTTTGTGCTGACCAGTCTGTCTAATGCCACTATGTGAAGTAACGAATTAATTGGCTCATTGGTCTACAGAAGAAGCTCATGATCCTCCCAGTCCGCAACCTTTCGTTAGTCACATTAGCTATTGCTCTTGTTACTGAGATTTGACTACAGGTAAAAGCTTATCACAGAATAAATAGAGACAGATAAGGCAGAAAGGGTAGAGCATCGGGCAGAAAGGGGCCATCCTCGTGGGCAGGGGTGGGTGAGAGCGCCCTGGCCAAGAGCCACCTTCCCCACCGCCAGAGGTGATTCCTGACGTCTCTGATAGGAACAACTAACACTTCTGTTGGACCATTTAGCTATTTGCAATAGATGCATAGCAGAAAAGGTAGGATGGAATATGAGCCCTGGGACCAATCAGGTTAATTTCGTAATTAACGCCTTTGCTAAGGCTCCACACTATAACCCATCAGCTAGGTCCAGGGTGGTACGTGCTAGGCACATGGAATAAAACCTAGCCGAATGCTTTCACACGGCAGGTCCTCAAATGCTTGTAGAATCAAAAGGTCCTACGTACATAAACAAGAAGAGGCAAGGCCCTGCTACCTTACAAGATGTTTTCCAACACCAGCTGCCACTTGTGCTCCAGTCCTTCAACCAGAATGAAGGTAAAGCCACTTACCAACAAGGATAAAGTTATGATGAAATACCAGTCCTAGATGATAACAATTAGTAAGATCTCCCAGATGTCCTGAAATTCTGTAAAGCACCTGACCAACAAGAGCACCTGAGGAACATGACGTCTTCCTTTTCCTTAAGTGCATCACATAAGAAAGAACATAAATTCCTATTTTAAGCCACCCTGTACTTCTCCTTCATGTTCATTCTGCAGCATAACCTGGCCTAACACTAGACATTAGATGCTCCAGTTTCCACTGATGATATTTCCCAACTTCAGCTTAATAAATCATCTAACAACTCTAGGTCACACATTCACTTTCCCTCTTTTTAAGTTGGAATCACCAGAGCTATTTCTCAGTCTTTGTATTCTCTGCTTCATCAGTTTAGGGATGACAACTGTAGTGGGACTGATTTCTGTAAAATACAATTGTAATAGGACAGGAAGGCCTAATTAAATAAACTACAAATATGGACAGGTTGACAGTTCCCAAATTACAACAAAATTGTACCGATTGACTGCTACCAACCAACCCCCCTAAAACCGAACACGCTTCTACCCCTTCCAACTGCCATGGAGGTCATTATGAAAGGACTATGTCAGAATTCAGAGGCATGAAAGAAAGGATAGGGGATCAGATCAGATACACAGAGGAAACGTCTAAGTCGCTGTACAATTAAGTAACTTTTCTCTCTTCAATTCAGCATTACAAGATGGTGTTAAAAGCCATGGGCTTTGTAGTCAAAACTTTAGGTTCAGAGCCCAGTTCTGCTCCTCACTGGTTGTGTGATTTGGGGCAAATTATTTAATTTTTTGAGTTTCAATTTTTTCTTTTGTGAAGTATACATAATGATGTTTACCTTGTAGACTCACTGAGGGGATTAAATGAGATAATGGATGTTGAGTGCTTACCCTGTCCCTGAGACCTAATACATGTTTAATAAATAGTAGCTAGTATTAAAAATATCTTCCCTGGCCGGGCGCGGTGGCTCATGCTTGTAATCCCAGCACTTTGGGAGGTCGAGGTGGGTGGATCAGGTCAGGAGTTCAAGACCAGCCTGGCCAACATGGAGAAACCCCATCACTACGAAAAACACAAAAAATTAGCCAGGCGTGGTGGCAGATGCCTGTAATCCCAGCTACTCGGGTGGCTGAGGCGGGAGAATCACTTGAACCCAGGAGGCGGAGGTTGCAGTGAGCCAAGACCGTGCCATTGCACTCCAGCCTGGGAAACAAGGAAAGACTCCGTCAAAAAAAAAAAAAAATTCTTCCTCAAGCCCATCTAGATTTATCCAATTTACTCATTTACAGTGTTTGAATTTCTACCAATGGAAAATTTGTTTGTACCTAAAAATAAGCCTTTTTAAAAAACTAAAATATCTTTGGGAAGGCTAAGAGTGCAGAGGTCTTCCTTATACTAGTATGAAGTAGTTTAATAAGATTACTTTAATCAGATATATAGAACACATAGCATTTGGGATGCATCACCAGGCTGGGAGTGCAAACATGCATTACACTAGGGACTTTGGAGAGAAAAAGGCACTAGGAGATGGGAAATAGTGTGGATAGAGAATTACAAGGATATCAAAGGATGTTGACCTATTTCAAAACTTAGGTTGGGCCAATCCATTACCTAAGAAAGGGAAAGGAAACTCAGGACTTAAATAAGTACTCTTAGTATTAAAAATCAGTGACACCAGGAGTTAAATAATTTCTGATATGATCCGAATTATTAGTAACCATTCTGGCTCTTTCTTCTAAGGAAAATGTCCTGTAGGAGTCAAAAAAGTGACTTTCACCTAAACTTCCCGAATTCGGCATACTCCTCATAACTTAAGGATGGCTTGTCCAATATAATTCAAGTAAACCGTGATCAATGTCCACATGCTCATTTGTCCTTTACGGCAACAGTTCTTTACAAGCAGGGTAAGGCAGCTTCCTGGCTGTGACACTGTCTCAGGGTAAGAACCATCACAACTTCTAGAGTGGCATGCATGACTCCTGAGGTCCACCTTAGCCTGAATATACCCTGTGAAGATTCTTAAAATTAGCAAAACCAGATCATTCTAACTCTCTATGACCAAAAAAAAAAAAAAAAAAAAAAAAAAAAAAAAAAAAATCCTGCTTTTTAAACTGCCCCTCTTCCTATTCAACTATTTATTGAAAGGGTTCCATGTGTAGGGAACTGCTAGGAGATGTAGACAGCAGAAAAAAGCATAAATCTTGATCTCTGCCTTCAATGAGATTACAATTTAGGTGGGAATATAAGATATACATGTGTGAAAATATAAAGCATCATGAAATATACACATTGCTGTTCAAAACACCCTTAGAAGAGCTATAGCAAGAAAACACATGAATGAATAGAAACTTAACTCTATAATGGGAGTTTCAAGGATTTAGAAATGACCTCCTGTTGGGGTGATTAGGGAGAACTTTCCAGGGGACAGAGATTTGGAATAGGTCCTTAAGGATGGGTAGAATTGATGGGTGTGAGGACATGATGGAACTGTATTTGCAACATACCATGCTTGTGTTTTTTCTGACCAAACATCCTTTAAACCTGACTCAGCATCCTCAACGTTGCTCTGAAGATGCAAACTGCTATGCAGAAAGAAGAGACCTCTGACAGTGGAGAAAGGAAACATGCTCTCTTTTCTTCTGTGACAGGGTGAGCTATGAGATGGATGTGACTGCGAAGAGAAAGAAGATGTTCAAGGGGTCTTGAACATCTGCCTTTAAACATGTTCTAAAAATTCTTACCTATTACATACGGGATTCAACACTCTCAGAAATATCTGTAACAGTGCTGAAACCATCCATGTGATGAGGGGGTAAAGCCATGCTTTCAGATGTGCCAAGTCTCACTTTGGAAATGAGGCATGTAATGTACTTTTGAGGACCAAAATTTACCATTTCGTTGTCATGTTTTTTTAAAAAGCTTTCGTGTGAAAAGCCCATGGATGTTGTAAGAAAACAGCTCTGTCATAATCTGAATCCTAAAGCAGACTATGATGAAATATGCTTACTTCCTTAGCAGTTAACAGCAGCCTCAATATGATGTTAGTCTTGGAAACAGTCCCTGGGCACATAAATCAGGCTTTCTTGGATTTTAGTGCATTGCATGTAGGTTAACAGGCCAAACAGTATGCAAAATTTCGGGCACTATATATTAATTGGTAAGAAAAAATGTCGAGGCCGGGCACAGTGGCTCACGCCTGTAATCCCAGCACTTTGGGAGGCCAAGGCAGGCAGGTCAACAGAGGTCAGAAGTTCAAGACCAGCCTAACCAATGTGGAGAAACCCCGTCCCTACTAAAAATACAAAATTAGCCAGGCGTGGTGGCACGTGCCTGTAATCCCAGCTACTCAAGAGGCTGAGGCAGAAGAATCGCTTGAACCCGGGAAGCGGAGGTTGCAGTGAGCTGAGATCACACCATTGCACTCCAGCCTGGGCAACAAGAGCAAAACTCTGTCTCAAAAAACCAAACCAAACCAAACAAACAAAAAAAAAAAAAAAAAAAAAAAACCAGAAAAAATGTCAAATACTATTTACTGAATGCCTCCCTCAGAGCAGCGAGCGAGATAGATATACAGCTGAGGGAAATCTGGGGCAGTCTGATTATTTCCTATTGGCAAATCCTGCTGCTGTGGACTTCTCGGTCCCCGTGAGCAGCTCTGGGATGACCTGGGCTGGTGAGGTCGTGTGTGGTGGGCAGCCCACAGTGGGAGGACCTGGACTGCCTAAGATTGAGGCTGCGGGAGGAGCGGAACAGCAAGACTTCTCAGAGGACCGTGCACCCTCTTCACGGGTGGTGCTGACATTTCACCATATTCCTTTGCACACAACAACTGTTGAAATAAAAGCAGGGGAAACCTACCTGGCCCTTTCTGGACTGGCTCCATCCCCCAGGTAGCACTGACGCTAAAGCCTGGTGCATGCTAGGGAGCTGCATCCAAGCACAAGAAGGAGCCAGTAACAGAAACGGACGTCCTAGAATCTGGAATAAGAAGAAAGAGTAAAGTTTCAAGTCATAGTATCCTAAATGAGCATTTCAGATTGGCTACTGAGGGCCCGTGGAACACAAGAGGAATCTGGTACTTTACCTTCGTAGATCTACTTTTTAAAAATGAGTTCCAGAACTCTCAGCTCTTCTTACAATTCAGGGCTTGAGATACTGGTACAAGTTCAGTTCAAAAGCTGGCAAAAGGCACCTTAAAAAGGCTCTGTGAATGTACTTTGCTGGTAACGTTTTGAGGAGGGAAAAAAAAAGGAATCCTCTTTACCATTCTTTTATCCTATTTGCATGGAACAGCTGGAATCCTGTTCCATGCCTATCCCGTACATCACAGCCACTTGCTGAGCCAACATCCCACTGCAGTGCCTCGGAATCTGCAGTGTCACTCCTCTTCTGCTTGTTCTCTGCAAAGTGAAGTCACAGGGACGGATCAGCCAACCTGACTTCTCACTGCCCTGCCCAGAATCCTTTGTGAACTGAAATGAGTCATCGCTCCAAGAAAAGCTACAGCCTCTGTTTGTCTGTGCAGGCTCCTTTGTCTGTGCAGTGCGGAGACGCGAGGTCAGAATGTACCCCAGGCGCGGGGTGGCGAGGGGCACACTCTCCTCTCCAAGGGGCCCAGGTCCCCTCCCATGCATTAGCACCAACTCATATTTTTTTAATCATGAAAAAGGTAAAAAGGGCACATACCTCCAGATGCTTGAAGAGAGAACACACACATTAAAATTGATCTGGCGTCATATACTCACCAGTCCGTAATTAGAGACCTGCCACATTTTCCTATGTTGTGTTAAGGCTGGCTTTGCATGGTGACGAAGGACGCGTCTCCCTCCTGTGTGTAACAGGCGGTTCTACTGTACACTGTATCAAAGTTTAGCTGCAGTGAGCTATTTGTCATAAATTCCAGTTGCCGTGCAAGTCTTTGCAAGCCTGGGTCTCGTCATTCCCGACACACAGCCGTCAGGCTCGCAGCCCGGGCAGCGGTGGAGCTCACCCAGCACCAGCCAGTGCGGCTTCTGCCGCTGCGAGGAGGGCGGCGTGGGGAATGAGGTCACTATGTCAGGAGCTCGCTCTCAGCAGGAGCCTCTCCTGCGCTTACAACACAACTCCAATCGCACCGAGAAGTGGGATTCATGGGATTTGGGGGGTGGCTGGTTCCTCCCCTGTTTCTTAAAAATGTCTACGGCTAAGATCAGCAAGGTGAAAATGAATCACGTATCTGCATAAAAATGTCCTTTTCATTGCACTACGGGTGCCACGCTCATTGTGAACCCCAGGCTGAATCACTCACGTGTACACCTGCGGACATGCATTTACACACCGACACACACACACACACAGAGGAATTTATGCCAGCAGAGAAAACATGTAGTCTTTATTTAGAGTGCAAGAAGCAACACGTAAACATCTCAGGAGGAAGACGGGGGCGGCAGTTGAGAGAGAGAACACAATGGAAGGAGTAGAGCAGCCACATAAAACCCGAGAAAAATGGAGTCAGAGAGGCCAAGGAAACGAATCTCACGGCAGTGGTACTGCCGAACTCTCCCAAATCCAATAACGCCAAAACAGGCACCGCTCGCTGCCTCCGCTCAGGATCCGGATAACCGAAAAATTATCTCATTCTCAGAAACCCATAGAGGTGGGTGGCAGACGATTCTGCAGCAAATTCTCCCACATCCTCATGAACCCAGCAGCTCAGCTACCAGGGGCACAAAATGTGGGGTGCCAGCAAAGATGGGAAATGCACTGAAGCTCTTCATAAGGCGCCCCCGAAACTCAGAGTTACAGGGGTCCCCACGTGGGTCTCCCGGCTAAAATCCTGAAAGCGTCCTATCCTCTCCTGACTCCGGTGATTCAGCCTGTCCTCCAGAACCTCCCCCAACAGAGCTCAGGCTCTGGCAAAGGCCCCCCTGTGAGTTGAGTTCAAATCAGCGTCTCTTGTCACCCCTGCACAGTGACATCCATTCTGTCCTCGGGAGGCTACAAAACGTATAACCCGCTTCTGCGCCATCACCCATCCGATAGCTACAAACACTAACCAGGTCCCTGTGCCCAGATCAGCTCTTCTCTAGCTGCCTAGAGTCTGGGACACTCAGCAGGCATGCAGACTATATATTCATCTACTGATCCATTGAGATGCTTGCTTTGAATGTTATTAAATAAAACGTCTTCCATGCCCTCAACCACCTAACGCTTTTCACATCCTCTGCCCTCCTGGGGTCCCCCCTTTGCTCTGGTCTGGCGTATCCATTTCCCTCTGACGACGTGGCATCCTCCTGCTGAGTCCTCCCCGTGGCACTGTCTCCTCCCTGTCCTGGACTATCTGTCACCCTGTGACCCCCTTGAGAATGTGTTCCACACCAACTGCTACTGATGCACTTTTTAACAGCCTCATCAATTTTACCTTGTATGCTTGATCAGAAGCATATAAGGACCTAATAGGCCATATACAGATGAAAACATACATGTTTGGATATTAGAAATTATGACTACATTTTTATTTATACATTCTCATCCCTTTTCTTCAAGTATTTGTTTTTTTTTTCTTTCTCCACATACTTAACCAAATACGGTCTTGATTTTCCCTTCTAGGGTATGATTTTCTCTCCTCGTTGATAAGCCACTAGCTTCTCATGCATGCCACAGACTGAGCCTAGGGCCCAGCACCAGCGCCTCCAAACAAAGCCACTCGCCTTTCATCAAACCTCTTTAAGTCTGGCTGTGTTGTTGGATATAAATCCACCCAAACCCATGTAATCCAGCCCATTCCTGTCGGGCGTGGTCTGATCACTGTAAGGTCAGACAGGGTGCCTAATAAGCACACGCACCTTAAGAATGCAATGATGGAAGCATATAACAAATGTATTACAAATTCATATCTAAACAGACATATCTGTAGTCCTGGCAGTGTAAGAGCCTTCTGGGAAGCCCTGGGTCACTGTACCACCTCCTGACAGTTAAAGACACAAGTTTCTTCTATGATCTATGAAAGGTTAAATATGTGGAGAAAGAAAAAAAATCCAAATACTCGAAGGGATGAGAATGTACAAATAAAAATGTAGTCATAATTTCTAATATCCAAGCATGCATGTTTTCATCTATATATGGGCCTAGTATGTCTGTACTTAGAAACTCACATCATCTTCACAAGGACTCTGAAAGTTAAGTACTGGTGTGAGCCCCACTTAAAGAGGGGAACTCTCTTCCTGAAGCTCACAGAGCTGGTGAACGGCAGAGATGGGATTTCAACCCAAGGCAGCTGGCTCTCGAGTCTGTTCTTTCAGCCACTGAAAGTCAATTTTACCTTTTACACGTTTATGTATGCTGTTCTACAGACTTCCTACATGAATCATCTTCAACAACCATTGCTGTTGAAAGTCTGTTCTTTCAACAACACGTGTTACCTCTTGATAATTAAAATAAAAAAGCCACTGTAAACAAAAAAATGTCAAAACCTATATGTCAATTTTTAAATTTAGATTGAACACAATCTGCTTACTTGGCACATGGACCAATGAGGTCAAGGTCACAAGTGGGGTCTCCCGTAGAAGTTGCTTCTGCTGGGGTCTATGACCCCTAACGACTGCCCCTGAGTAGACTTTTATTGAAGGACCATGGAAAAGAATATACACGGTCAGGCAAAACCACCACAAGCTCATCTTGCTGCCCTACCGAGAGTACGGTGGGTTTCATAATGGACACCATTGGCCTCCACTGAGAAACAAAGACAAGAACGGTCTGCTGATGCTTTAAATCTCGGCGTCTGATGGCAAGATGAGCTCAAGAATCACATGCAGCCATCATTAGCAGTCCTCCTCCTGGCCCCGTGCCTCTTACATCTTTGGATAACAGCTTCGGTGTTACAGTAAAGCTTTACGAACATCACACAGAGGACCGCAGAGGTGATTTGCTCAGTTGATGAAGTGTGGGCAGAGGCTGTGCTTGGCACTCGCCTGCGTCCTTGGCAGCAGATTAAATAGCAGCGTCACATAGGGACACGGGGAGGATCTTAATAAACGCTTGATGGCTAATGGTCTCGCATGCTCTTAGAGCTGCTCCACTTGAAAAAGCAGACAGCAATAAATACCATTAAATCAATTAAAAATATTTATCAGGTGCCTAACTGCAAAGTCCTATGGTCAGTTCAGGAATTTAAATTTTAATCTTTAAGGTTGTGTACATATGGAGTATACAAACCTTGGTGCACACTCTCTCATGGACAAATGACATGGTGTCTGCCCTCAAGAAGCTTCAAATGTACTTGAGGAGGTAAGATACTCACATATAAAAAGTGCAAAAATACAAGGCAGTGTATTTCAAAGGGGAGGAACAGGTAACCAGTGCCCCCAAGAATTTTGAAGAAAAGAACCGGGGTCGAAACAGTCAGCAATGGCTTCCACGGAAAGGCCAACTTGTTCTAGAATCTGGACAGGTGAAAGAAAAGAGAAAGCACAGCCCATATGTCATAACATAAGCTCCATGAGCAGGGATACTTTTTGCATGTTTTGTGTTTACAGGTATATCCCTGAAAGTGGCTAGCCAACAGCAGACCCTAAATCTATGCTGAAGGAAGGAGAGGACTGACCTGCAGGGAGGAAGCATGGACAAGGTGTGGAGGTGTGGATGGGAGGGAGGTGGGGATCATAAGGCAGGCAGGCCTGCCTGGGGCTGAGGGTTCATTACTGGGAAGTAGAGGAAGAGAAGGCAAGAGGGGTGGCCCAAGGTCAGATTCAGAACATGGCGCACGGTGGCTCATGCCTGTAATCCCAGCACTTTGGGAGGCAGGAATATCACTTGAGGGCAGGAGTTCAAGGCTGCAGTGAGCTATGATTGCACCACTGCACTTCAGCCTGGGAAAGAGAGCAAGATCCTTCTCTAAAAATTAATCAATTAAAAAAAATTTAAAGAACAGTCTTTAATGGATAGGAAAATGGCCCACTTTATATTTGCAATGAGTTTCACTCAGCATTTGCTAGATGGCCCTTAGTAAGTCTCCTCCCAAAGAAGCCTGACACCTCCATTCTCCAAAAACATTTATAAGCTCATGGCAACTCCCAGGAGGGAAGGGATGCTGACAATATGGTCAGACGCGGCTTCCCCCAGGGACTTCTTGGACTCCTATCACAACTCAGAAGTCTGCGGTGTCAAGATTCTCTTCCTTTTTCAAGACTGCACCAGTCGGGGAGAAAACAATCCTAGTCTGTGACAATATTCCACTAAACCTCCTTTCGACTCAAAACACACTTATAAAACACAGCACGTGAGATCCTAGCATGTGGCTGAGGTCACAGTAACGATGAATGAGTACCGCTCCTATATTCATTGTTCAACATCAGCATCTATGTCATTCAAGGCAAAGAGGGAAAGAGGACCAGGAGAGCAAAGAAAGATGGTTATTTCTGATATGAGAAAAGCGCCATCAAGGAAGCATGGAGGGAACTGAGAGGTGCTTCAGGAAGGAAGAGGCACTGAGGCAGCCACACAGGATGGGCGAGTAAAGGGGTGGGGAGAGGCAAGATGAGAGTGTCTTTCCAGGCAGCAAGGCAGTATGAACAGAGACGATGTGGTTAGACAGTCTAAGATGTTTTGGAGAATGGCTGGTGGTAGATTCAGCATGGCTGGGTTGGAGGGATCTATGAAGGAGATTGGTAGCAACAAGGCCAAAGAGTCAGTCAGGCTGGGATAAAGATAACATTAAATACCTGGAGAATGGCATTAAAGGTTTCTACAGGGGAGATGTTCCTCATGCTGAATGTTTAGGTTATGCAGGCAACAGGGTATAGGATGCATCCAAAGGAAAAGATAATTACTGAGGCAAGGTAAAAGCCTACTGTGAGAGAGTGAACAAAATGTAAAGAGTGCTTAACCAGGGAACAGAGAGAAGCAGAGAGACGTGAGATAACTTTTCTGTTTCACAAAAGTACTATCCAACATTTCCAACATGAAATACTGCAATGCTATCAGAAATGCATGAGTTTCACAACGCACCTAACACTACCTCCCCAGAATCTATCGAAAAGACTATCTGTGCTATAGCAGTAGCCTGACATTTGGAGTAGTGCCCAGGGTAGAATACTAGCACAAACTGAGAAATAAAGGGAAGAGGAGAAATTCTCTAAACAAAAACCCTGGGCACCAATAACAGATTATACTTTCTTAGTTGCATAAAATTGATTTTTTTAAAAAAAGACACAAATTAAAAACTCAACAAAAGCAGTTTGGAAAACAGAAAGTTCCTACATTTTTAGGGCCTTTATAGCCCAGGATTGACTAAGTGGTGGAAGAAACCATTTCAATTAAATTGGGTAAGATTTCCTTGCACTGTATATGTAAGGAAACGAAATACTTTTAAAAAATACACTTGGTGTTCTTACAAGTATTAGAGAGCAACACTATGAACATGAAGTGAAGAACATGGCTATTCTGTTACTTAAATTCTCAAAAGTCAATTCTCATAGGATTGGGAATACTGAATAAGTGCAGGTAAGAGCTGGAGGAGACACAGAAAAACATCTAGTACATCATCACTTAATCGTATATAATCCTAGAGCCCAAAGTGGGAAGGTGACTTGCCCAGGTTGCAAAGATTTACTAGCAAAACCAGAACTAGCACTCAGGTCCCCTGATTCTCAGTGCAGGTGTCCCTCCATTACTCCACAACACCTTGTAAAATATATCGAAAGAAAAGTCAACTGTAAGGCTTTTCCAGATGCACTTTGCGTTTTGTTGTTTTGTTTTGTTTGAGACAGAGTCTCACTCTGTTGCCCAGGCTGGGGTGCACTGGTGCAATCTTGGCTCACTGCACCCTCTCTACCTCCTGGGTTCGAGTGATTCCCCTGCCTCGGCCTCCCAAAGTGCTGCGATTACAGACGTCAGCCACTGCGCCCAGCCGCAGGTGCACTTTGGATAAAAAATTACAAATGAAGTATGCAGATATCTAATTTTTTCCATACCACATTGTGGTATAAACTATTTTTCTGCCCTAAGTTGTTCTAATCAATATCTAAAGAAGACACGTAAGGAAAAGATGAAAGTAAAACGAGGAAAAACTGAGGAGCTTATGATTTTTCAGTTAAAAAGCCAGATTCTAAATTTGTTGTTTTAACATTAAACAATAAGAAAACGATGAGACAGCACAGAAAAACGAAGTGTTGCCCTTCTCCATTACAATTTTATTACACAGCATTTGGATTTACAGACTATTTATTTCCAACCGACTGGGTTAAAACATGCCTGAGTGTATCTCAGACGTTTCTATCTCGTATCTAGTATTTAAACTGCAGAGAATAATGATGGAGGCCCACAGAAGCCCCCAATATGCAGAGGAAAAACAATTAGATTCTACTGTGAAGACGCCCTGAAATTCATACAGTCTATGCATTCTACTCTGTAATAGAACCCTGATTGTCCTAATAACAAAAGTTTAAAACTTTGTTTACAATGAACACCATTCAATATTACTTTCCCAAATTTACAAGTGAACTGACCCTTTAGGGAGACCATCCACATTCATCTTGAGGATGTATAAACCTGCCAGTGTATGGCCCCAATCCCTTGGGACAAATATGCCCCCAATTTGGGAAACAACAACTACATCTAAAAATACGCCCTAAAAATGGTATTTCCCAATTAGTTTTCAAAACTATCATCAGTATTTCTGTTGCTTTAAACATATACTGCTATTGAGTCCTAGAGCTCTTTTAGCTGGAATTAGTTATAAGGTCAAAGAGCTGAGAAACTGAGTGACTTTGTCCCTGGCTTATTTAATTAGAACTGAGTTATCCTCTCTGTGGGTTGCATTCCTTCCCTGCAAGATGGAATTGGGAAAAAAATATGAAGGTGGCAAAGACTGCCATATTTTTACAAAGCAGACATAGCAATAGAATCAACCTCTGACCTCAAGGTGCTTCCAATTAACTGAGGAATGAAAAGTAAACATACATGAAAAGAAAGTATCACCATACTTCTAAAAAAAAAAAACTATGAATAAGAAGGAAAAAAAATTCGCTCCAAACTAAGTCCAGACGGAGTGTAAAGTAAAGAAATACTGGCCAAACATTCTCATCACAAAGCTGAACTCAGCATGACCAGGCTGAATTTGTACTTCTCACAGTCCCCAGTTGAACCAGTTGGAAGGGGCACACCACAATGGAACACCCAGTTCAGGGAGGTTTGCAGGGACCTTCCAAGGGCTGCTTTCCCGACACCTCCGTATCCGGGGACAGACTCCTAATGTCCACCTCTATCCCTACTGACAAGAATGACAACAGTATCCGGACTGTTGTGTTCGCCTGGTGAAAGTATAGTTATTTTCAGCACGCAAAAACAATCCAATATTCGCTGGCTTAAAAGTAAACATTATTTGGGCTTTGCTCTCCTCTACACCTTTCGTATCACAGCCATAAACTTCTACTCTCCTACTAACATCTTTAATGTACATTAGCCTCATCCTCAGTATCACCTCCCTATATCACCTCATGGAAGTTGGATCATGCATTTTTGTTTATAAAGCTAGAAAATGTCATAAAATCCTGATGTAAAAAAGTAAAAACTAGTCATAATTTCTTTTATCTCTCTGAATGAATAAAAATAACATAATTTGTTTTCTAAGATCACAGTGATTATACAATTATCTATATTTGTGCTGTCAAATAGAGTAGCTACTAGGCATGTGTGGCTATTTAATTATAAGTTAATCTAAATTAAATAAAATTAAAATATTAGTTCCTCAGGAATAATACTGGCCAAACATTCTCATCACAAAGGTGAACTCGGCATGACCGGGCCTAAAATATTAGTTCCCGAGGAACTAACATAAGACCTGAAATATAAGACCTAACAATATATTTAGAATCTGGATTTTTAACTAAAAAATCATAAGCTCTCAGTTTTTCTCCTTTTACTTTCATCTTTTCCTTCCTTGTCTTCTTAGGACATTGATTAGAAGAACTTAGGGCAGAAAAAGTTTATGTCATAGTGTCGTATGGAACTTTCTGAGGAACTAATATTTAATTTTATTTAATTTAAATTAACTGAAAATTAGGAACTAATACTGTTAGTTCCTAATAACATTTAAAATAATAATAAAATATTATTTCAAGTGCTCAATAGCTACATGTAGCTAGTATTTACAATGCTGGACAGAGCAGATACAGAACATTTTCATCATCTCAGAAAATTATACTGGACAGTACTGATCTGGTTAATCAAT
Organism: Homo sapiens; assembly: GCF_000001405.40. Lineage (NCBI taxonomy): Eukaryota > Metazoa > Chordata > Mammalia > Primates > Hominidae > Homo > Homo sapiens. The sequence continues at coordinate 183,979,468 of NC_000004.12, read as the reverse complement.
AGGCAATCACAAGAATATCAGTGATATGGTTTGGATCAGTGTCCCTGCACAAATCTCATGTCAAATTGTAATGAATTCCCAGTGTTGGAGGTGGGGCCTGGTGGGAGGTGACTGGAGCATAGGGGTGGAGTTCTCATGAATGAGTTAACACCATCTCCTCGGTACCGTTCTTGTGACAGTGAGTGAGTGAGTTATTCTGAGATCTGGTTGTTTAACAGTGTGTAGCACCTAGCCCGCCCCCCGACCTTTTTGTTTCTCCTGCTCTGGCCATCCAACAATGCTGGCTCCCTCTTTGCCTTCTGCCATGACTGTAAGTTCCCTGAGGTCTCACCAGAACCAGATCCTGCCATGCTTCCTCTACAGCCTGCAGAGTCACAAGCCAATTAAATCTCTTTTCTTTATAAATCACCCAGTCTCAGGTATTTCTTTATAGCAATGTGAGAACAGAATAATAAAATCGGGTACCATTCACTTTTGCCAAGAAAACTCATATTTTTAACATAATTTTGAAAATTAACATATACAAAATTGAGGCCTCTTTTGATGTACAGATTCTGTAAGTTTTAACACATGTGTAGATTTGCCTCCTTGCCATCACTCAGGATAGAATCAGATATGGAATTGCTCTATCACCCCAAAGAACTGCTTCATGTTGTGCCTTACACACTTCGAATCCCTGGAAACCACTGGTATGTTATTTTTCCTTATCATTTTGCCATTTCTAGAGTGTCATATAAATGGAATCATATAGCATGTAACTTTTTGAGACTGGCTTCTTCCACTGAGCCTAATGTTAAAATGTATCCATGCTGTTGCAAGTACTAGGAATGGGATTGCTGGATCATATGGTAAGGATACATATAACTTCATCAGAAACTACTGAAGTAGGATTGCTTTGGCTATTCAGACTCTTTGTTAGTTTCTGGAGGCATCACATCACCTGACTTCAAATGATACTACAAGGCTATAGTAACCAAAATAGTATGGTACTAGTACCAAAATACATACATAAATCAATGGAACAGAATAGAGAACCAAGAAATAAAGCCACATAACTACAACCAACTAATCTTTGACAACGTTGACAAAAATATAAAACACGGGGAAAGGACACCCTATTCAATCAATGCTGCTGGAAAAATTGGAAAGCCAATATGTAGAAGAATAGAATTGGACTCCTATCCCACTCCATATACAAAAATTAAATCAAGATGGATTAAAGATTTAAATGTAAGACCTGAAACTATTAAAATCCTAGAAGAAAATCTAGGAAAAACTCTTCTGGACATTGGTCAAAGCAAAGAATTTATGACTAAGTCCTCAAAAGGAAATGCAACAAAAACAAAAAAAGACAAATGGGACTTAACTAAACTAAATAGCATTTGCACAGCAAAAGAAATAATCAACAGGGTAAACAGACATCCTACACAATGGGAGAAAATATTTGCAAACTATGCATCCAATGGAGGGCTAATAGCCAGAATCTACAAGGAACTCAAATAACTCAACAAGAAAGAAACAAGTAACCCCATTAAAAAGTGGACAAAGGATGTGAACAGAAATTTTTCAAAAAAACAGGCAAGAGGCCAACAGACATATGAAAAACATCACTGATCAACAGATGTTGTGAGGATGTGGAGAAAAGGAAATGCTTATACACTGTCTGTGGGAATGTAAATTAGTACAACCTCTATGGAAAATAGTATGGTGATTTCTCAAAGAACTAAATATAGAACTACCTTTGATCCAGCAATCCCACTACTGGGTGTCTACCCAAAGGAAAAGAAATTATTTTACCAAAAAGACACCTGCACTTGTATGTTTATTGCACCACTACTCACAAGAGGAAAGATATGGAACCAACCTAAGTGTTCATTAACAGATAACTGGACTAAAAATGTGATACACACACACACACACACGAAATGGAATGCTACTCAGCCATAAAAAAGAATTAAATCATGCTTTTGCATGCAAAAGCAGCAACATGGGTGGAACTGGAGGCCCTTATCCTAAGTGAAATTACTAGTAAGGCAAAAACTGTATTTATAGTACAGTTATAAGTGGGAGCAGAATCAGATATGGAATTGCTCTATCACCCCAAAGAACTCCTTCATGTTGTGCCTTACACACTTCTAATCCCGTGGATACATTTTAACATTAGGCTCAGTGAAAGAAGCCAGTCTCAAAAAGTTATTGCAGGGTGGAATAACAGACATTAAAGACTCTGAAAGGAGTCTTTCAGAGTAGGAGGGTAGAAGGGAAGTGAGGGATCAAATACTACCTATTATACTACCTATTATACTGCCTATTGGGTACAATGTACACTGTTTGGGTGACAGTTACACTAAAAGCCCAGACTTTACCACTACACAATATATCCATTTAATACAACTACACTGACATCCCTAAATCTATAAAAATAAAAATAAATTTTAAGAAACTACTGAACTATTTTCCAGACTGGCTATACAATCTTGCATCTAACTGGCAATGCCATTCTAGGAACTTTTTCTGTAAATTTCTTGGGATTATCTATATGGTCAATCAAGTTGTTTGCAAACAGGCAGTTTTATTACAGCTTGTAAGCCTTTCATTTCTTTTTCTTACCTTATTCCAATGGATAGAAACTCCAGTATCATGTTCAACAGGAATGGTAAACGTGAACATCCTTGCCCTGTTTCCAGTCTTAAAGGGAGGGTATTAGGTCTTTCACCATCAAGTATGATGTTAGCTACAGGTTTCTTTTTCTTCAACTTTTATTTTAGATATGGGGTATATGCACAAGTTTGTTACATGGGTATATTGCATGCCACTGAGGTTTGGGGTATGAGTGATCCTGTCATCCAGGTAGTGAGCATAGTACCCCACAGGTAATTTTTAATCCATGCCCTCCTCCCTCCCTCCCTCCCCCTCTAGTAGTCTGCAGTGTCTATAGCTATCATAGCTGCAGATTTTTGTGGACGTTCTTTATCAGGTCAAGGAAGTTTCCTTTTAATCCTACATAGATTGTTGAGAGCTTTCATCATGAATGTATGTTGAATTTTGTCAACTTCTTTTTCTGAATCTGTTAATATTATTGTGTGGTTTTTTTCTTCTTTGGTATGTTAATATGATAGATTACATTGACTGATTTTCTTTTTTTTTGTTTGTTTTTGAGACGCAGTCTCGCTCTGTTGCCCAGGCTGGAGTGCAGTGGCGCAATCTTGGCTCACTGCAACCTCCACCTCCTGGGTTAAAACAATTCTCCTGCCTCAGCCTCCTGCGTAGCTGGGACTACAGGCATGTGCCACCACGCTCAGCTAATTTTTGTATTTTTTAGTAGAGACAAGGTTTCACCATGTTGGCCAGGATGTTCTCGATTTCTTGACTTCATGATCTGCCTGCCTTGGCCTCCCAAAGTGCTGGGATTACAGCTGTGAGCCACTGTGCCCAGCCCTACATTGACTGATTTTCAAATGCTGCCTTATATTCCAAGCCTAAATCCACTCGGTCATGACTTGTTATTATTTTTATTATTGCCTAATTCAATGTACTAATATTTTGTGAAGGATTTCTGCATCTATGTTCCTAAGAGACATTGGTCTGCAGTTTTCTTTTACTGTACTAACTTTGTCTGGTTTGGTAACCAGGATAATGCTGGCTTCACAAAACGAGTTGGGAAATGTTGCCTCCTCTTTTGTTTTTTGAAAAAGATCTTACAGAATTGATGTCATTTCTTCCACAAATGTTTGGCAGAGAATTCTACCAGTGAAACCATCCAAACCTGTAGTTTTTTAGGTTTTGATTTTTGAGTTTTTGGTAAAGATCTAATTATACATTGAATTTATTGAGATATAAAGGGATATTTTGGGGTGAGTTTTGGCAGCCTCTTCTTTCTAGGATTTGGTCCATTTCATCTATATTGTTGAATTTATGTGCACAGAGCTCTTGATGGTGTTTGCTTATTATATTTTTGTGGGGACTATAGTGATATGCCCTCTTTCATGCCTTACAATGGTAATTTATGTCATATTTCCTTGTCAATCTGGCTAGAGGTTTATCAGCTCTTGATATACTTAAAAAACCAGATTTTTAATTTTATTGGTTTTCTCCACTATTGTTTTCAAATTCATTGATATCTACTCTTATCTTTATAAAATTCCTTCTTTCTGCTTGCTTTAGACTTGTTTTGCTCTTCTTTTTCTAGTTTCTTTAGGTAGAAGCTTAGATTGCTCATTGCAGTTCTTTTTTTCTTTTCTAATATGAGGGTTTAATCCTCCATATTTCCCTCTAAGCCCTGATTTAGCTACTTCATATGAATTATGATATATTGCATTTTCAATTTTGTTCACTTCAAAATATTTTCTGCTTTCTCTGAGACTTTGATTCACAGATCACTTAGAAGTAGGTTGTTTAATTTCCTAGTATTTAGAGATTTATCAATTATCTTTCTTTTGTTGATTTCTAGTTAAATCTCATTATGGTAAGATAACTACTTTTGATTATTTCAATTCTTTTAATCATTTTTAGGTTTGTTTTATGTCTCTGGCTGTCATCTATTTTTCTGAATGCTCCCTGAGGATTTTAAAGGAATGTATATTCTGCTATTTGAGGGAGGAACACTTTATAAATGTCAATTAGCAAGTCTGATGGCATTGTTCAGTTTTTCCATATCCTTACCGCTATTCTATCTACTTGTTCTTGCAATTATTGGGGGAGCTGTGTTGAAGCCCCTAACTATAATTGTCCATTTTTCCTTTCAGTTCTATTCTGTTTCATGTACTTTGAAACTTTGTTGTTAGGTACATACACTTTTTTATGCTTGTTATGTCATCATGGTGAACTTACCCATTTTTCTTTATGTAATGTTCTTCTTTATCCCTGGTAATTTTTCTTGCTCTACAGTCTACTATTTCTGATATTAATATGGCCCCTCCAGCTTCCTTATGATTAGTGTATATCACTTTACTTTTAACACATTCATTTCATTATATTTAAAATGTATTACCTGTAGATAGCATATCCTTTGGTCATTTAAAAAAAATCCATTATGACAATCTCTGTCATTTAATTTGTATGTTTAGATCATTTATATTTAATATAATTAGTTATACGTTGAAATTTAAATCTACCCTTTATGATTTATTTTAGGTTTCTTCCCTCATTTTGTTCCTGTTTTTCCTTTCCTAATTTTATTTGAATTATTTGAATATTTTCAGTGCTCTATTTTTGTTTATCTATTGAGTTTTTACTGTATTCCTTTGTATGGTGTCTTTAGCTGTTGCTCTACACATTTCAAATATATATACTTAACTTTTCACAGTCTACTTAGAATTAATATTTTACTACTTCAAGTGGTAAATCTTACCATCATTTTAGTCCTTTTAACCTCTTCTCTTTATCTTACAATTCTCATATGTGTTACATCTATATACAATGAAACTCTACCAATGCTAGAATATTTGATTTCCATTATTATACGTGTATATATTTTTTGACACAGTTTTGCTCTATCACCAGGCTGGAGCGCAGTGGCACAATCTCTGCTCACTGCAACCTCTGCCTCCTGGGTTAAAGCAATTCTCCTGCCTCAGCCTCCTGAGTAGCTGGGACTACAGGCATGCGCCACCACGCCCAGCTAATTTTTGTATTTTTAGTAGAGATGGGGTTTCCCCATGTTAGCCAGGATGGTCTCGATCTCTTCACCTCGTGATCCACCCACCTCGGCCTCCCAAAGTGCTGAGATCAGAGGCATGAGCCACAGCGCCCGGCCTATTATACATATTTTAAAGAACTTAAGAGAATAATTATATTTACTCAGGTATTACTACTGTTGCTTTTCTTTTTCTCTTGATGTTTCAAGTTTTCCTCTGGTATAATTTTCTGTCTATCAGCATTTCTTTTAGAGCAAGTCTTCTGGCAGTGAATTATTGCTTTCTTTTATTTGAGAATTTCATTTTTTTACCTTCGTATATAAATAATATGTTCCCTGGTTATTTTAAAAATAGTGTTCCACTTTACTTTGGCCTTTGTGGTTTCTAACAGAAAATCTTCAGTCATTCAACTTGTTCTATTATATGTTATGTATCATTGGTATGTCTAAACATACCAATTAAATCTGCAGTAATTCAACTTGCTCTATTATATGTTATGTAGCATTTTTCCCTATTTGCTTTCAATATTTTTCTCTCTTTAGTTTTCAACAGTTTATGATGTGTCAGGGCATGCATTTCTTTGATTTTAGCCTGTTTAGGTTTGTTCAGCTTCTTAAATTTAAAAGCTTACGTCTTTGACCAAATTTAGTTGCCAACCATTATTTCTTCAAATCACACTCTTTTAGGAACTTTGATTACACAAATGTTGGACATTTTTGGTATGGTCTCACACATCCTTGAAGCTCTGTTTACTTATTTTTTTTTCAATCTTTTTCTCTGTTGTTGAGATTGAAAAATTTCTATTGCTCTATCTTCAAGTCCACTGTCTCTTCTCTTTCTATTATCTTTATTCTGTTGTTGAGCCCACCCATGAATTTTTATTTTTGATTATTATATATTTCAGTTCTAAAATTACCACTCACTTCTGCATTACATAATCTATTCCCACACTTCTGGGGCCATGATTAGAATAACTGATTTAAATCTTTGATAATTCCAACATCTGTGACACCTCAGTATTTGCAACTGTTACTTGTTCTTTCACATACAAATTGAGATTATCCTAATTCTTCATATGCTGGCTAATTTTTAGTAATGTTGATTATTATATCATGAGAGTCCGAGTCTTTAAATCCTAAGGACAATGTTGAATTTTTTTTTAAGCACGTGATCAACATTGTTAAGTTCAGGCTGCGATTTCCAAACCACCTCCTGTCAGCTGAATGTCACTTCAGTGCAGAAAGCTTTTGCAGTGCTATTTGGATCTGTCTTACATGTATACCATGCAGTGGTCAGCCTGGGACCTGTATGATCTAGTTCATATTTCAGCTCTCAAAGCGTTTGTAATGCTGCTACAATGAGATCCAAACATGCACAGCTCAGAAGCGAGTCCAGGAGTTCATACAATATTTTATGCAATAGCTCTCTTGATCCTCTCTGTGATCTCCCCAGTACCTTCCAGTACCCTAGGGCCCTTTTTCATGGTCCTTCTGCTAGAACGCTGGGTTTAGTTGCCTTGCTCAGCCACATACTTCTAGCACAACTGCATTTCAATGTGGTGTCAAGTGGCAGAAGGACAGAGGGAGGGAAGAAAAGCAATGGGAATTCGCCCCATGCTCTTAGGACCACAGTTCCCTTCATCAGAAAGAAGGAAATCCTCCTCCCCCAGCACGCACAGTTTTGGATGTCTGCCCAGCCCTACGCCGCTGTGCAGGACTGGCTATGGGTTGGGAAGGGAGAGAATGAGGACGGTGGCTTCTTCCACTCACTATGAAGTCAGCACTCCCTTTTCCTGCTTCTCAGGTCAGGAAGCAAGGGCTTCCCTTGAAGATCTTTCTGTCCACACCAGTGTGACCTACTGGATTTCGGGCTACCTCGGAGTCTATGCCAGGTGATACAGTTTAGTGGAACTTCAAATTCTGATCTCCTTCCCCACGGTGCCTGCTGCACCATGCATTCTGCCCATGGTCTCAGCTACACGCTCCCTCTTGCTCGGAAGAAGAATCCATCACTACTTTTTAGTGTCTGAAATAGCACTGTTAGCAGGAGAAGCAAATATGTTCACTTTGGACTTTGTTTTTCTTTTATAAAGACTTACTTTTATTTTAGGACTGCTGCCATTGAGATTTTTTACAAGTTTTATTTTAGCCTTAAAAAATATCATTTCACTTCATCCACTTACCACATACCAGACACTTAGCCTTTTCCCACCTCTGTGATAATAGTGGACAGATATGGGTGACTCAAAGTTAGCTTCCTTTTTGTGGTTCTGGCCTCTTTGGCCAACTATTTTCTTTGGAGTTACTAATGAGAAGCCAAACTGATTGACATGAGTGCTGTCCTCTCTTTCCTCAAGTCCACCCTCTGGCCAGAGGTACTAATGAGCTTTGTCATCAGTGTTAGGTGGATCAGGAGACAGGAGACACCCACATGACCCACAGACCAGATCATTAGCATCAAATATAATTATTGAGTTCATTGTTTCCTTTTCTGAACCTCTCCTATCCACGTCACACACACAATAGTGATGGGTGCTTTCAAAAACTCACCTTAGCCCTGGCTGAGGGCATTACAACAGAGAAGAGAAACAGGTATGGCCTGAGACTTTGCCTCAATAATGTTCAGTCCTCCTACTTTTACTTCAAACTGTTGGTATTTGTGGTCCTTAGACGAGTATCACTCAAGTTTGTCTACTATATGAACATGATTGGCTTCTATACTCAACACAAAAAGTTCCACCAAAAAAACCCCTCAGATATTACATCTTGACAGTTACACTACCATGTACAAATAACCTGACCCCAAAATTCTAATGGCCTTCTCACTGGGGGATATGACCCCAACGGTTATACTAAAAAGAGCTCCAAGAAGGCAATGTTCATATCATATATATTAGTATGTCATAGCGAGGGCAGTTTACTGATAATAGGACAGCCTGTTGAACAGAAATCTTGAGTATTTGGCAGGATGAATAGGCAAGGGATACTTATAATTCTACTCAATTAGAGAGTGAAATGTGAAAGTCAATATATGCAGCATGAGCAGATTTGCAAGAAAAGGTTTATGGGTAATAGATAAACTTTCTTACTCGACCCAAATGAGGATTTTAATCTCTGGCTGCTGGCTGCAGCACTTTGGTGGGGGAACCAGTGGGGACAGAGAAGAAGGTGGCTCAGCCCAAAGTGCTCCATGGAGATGCCTCTAGCTGAGAGCGGGGGCCACCCGAACATCCTCCTTGTGTGTATGTGGTGGCTGCCCTTCCTCCTGTGTGATTCCCCTGACACTTAACAGTTCTAGGCAAGGGTCCGGTCGGGGGCAGTGATGTGGCCTGGGCCACCGAATGGGGTCCCAGGGGCTCCTTCTCAGTGAATGGCAAACTGTGCTTCATCTGCTTGGCATAGTGGGACTCCCTGAGGAGCACCCAACCCAACTGAGAAAACAGTGTTCACTGTCCAGCTTGTGGCTGGGCAATCATTTAGACTGAATTATCAGCATGGATATTGCTGATAGACTTCAGAGAACGAAGGCTACCACAGATGTCAATGATACCACATTTGACACCACTGTTTGACTGAAGCCACGAGAAATTGTAAAGCAAACAAAAGCTGATTTCTAACTCAACCTCGGGACAGAAAATTCAGCTGGAACCCCACACACACACACACACACACACACACACACACACACACACACGTACATGTAGTTATAGACTGAGATTGAGAAACCTAGCAAGACAGTATAAAGTGTTTTTTTCATGCATGGGCCAAGAGCACTGCGGCACAGTCTCTATTGAGACAGGAATGAATGGCTGATGGATCAGCTCCTTTATACTTTGTTCAGATCTGTGGTCCTAAATCAATAGTTTCCCCAACACAAGATATGTAAATTTAACACCTAAAACCTGCAACCATGGCAGGGTGTGGTGGCTCACGCCTGGAATCTCAGCACTTTGGGAGATTGAGGTGAGAGGATCTCTTGAGTCCAGGAATTCAAGGCTAGCCTGAGCAATATAGTGAGATCCCATCTCTACAGAAAACTTTCAAAAATTAGCCAGGCGTGGTGGTGCGTGCCTGGAGCCCCAGCTACTCAGGAGGCTGAGGTGGAGGGATGACTTGAGCCCAGGAGTTGAAGGTTGCAGTCAGCTATGATTGCCACCACTGCACTCCAGCTTGGGTGACACAGTAAGATCCCGTCTCAAAAAAAAAACCCTGCAACCCTGAAAATGGTAAGTTCAAAGTTCATAGATTATGAATAAGCAGAAATCTAGCGGGGTATGGTAGCTCACACCTATAATCTCAGGGCTTTGGGAGGCTGAGGCGGGAGGGTGGCTTGAGCCCGGGAGTTCAAGAGCAGCTTGGGCAACAAAGCAAACCGTGTTGCTGTATTTTAAAAAATAATTTTAAATACAAATCAGGCTAATTTTTAAAAGTAAATGTTTCCAAATATCAAACTGTTAATATAAATTAATTCTAAATTTGCGAAAGCTATCAATACAAGTTGTCTGTAAGCTCTTCTATAATAAAAAACCATGCTGCATTTTCTTCCTTCCACATTTTACTTTTATCCCATCCTTGCTGGTAAGTCACTGCCGTCACAAGCTCTTAATGTCTGTTCATGTAACACGTACACTGATGAAGCAGACTACATTCTTAATGATCTATTCAGATTAGTAGATTTTTCTGTTAACTTTCAAAAACCCACATGTCTACCACATTCATATTTTGCAATAAAGGCGTCAATTCTCACAGGAACAGCAAAACTGGCCTCTTTAAAGTTCCACACCTCATAAAAGGCTTGTTTTAAGAACAAACAATTGATGAAGAAAGACATCACTCCCAATGTGATACCGTATCCTATTACTTTACACTAGAATCTAAAATATTCTCGCCTATACAGCTTAAAGTCATATGTACTTTTCAGGCAGTGCCAGGGCAAAAAAGAAAAAGGAAGTCATATGTACTTAATCATTGAAAGTCTTTAAAATTTCCCTCTTGTGTTATACCATTTACCTTCTATCCTTTCTATCCACCCTCCCCTCCCCCGGCCAAACCCCTGCCACCCAACACCCCCCGCCCCCCTGCCGCAACCCAACCTACTCTCAGAAAAGAAAAAAACATCCCCTGGCAACAAAGATCCTTTTGATAACTTGGCTTGGGCCACAAAGTGGTCCGGAAAAAGGGTTGGTCTTTTCAGCCCTGCGTTTGTAGCAGCGAAGGTGGCAGGATTTCTGTCTCCCAAGCTGTCCTGGGCTGGTCACCTGGGAGCAGGTAGACAACAGCTGGACCAGTACTTAGTAAATTCTGGCCAGATTCTGTAGGTCTGTGTTTGTGCTTGTGTGGACAATTATTTTAACAGTCCACAATGAAAAGAAGAAAAGATAAGACAACAAAGAAAATTTCTCATAAAGATAACTTTACTTGATCAAAAAATTGTCTTTAATTATGCTCTTCTTTGTGTGTGTGTGTGTGTGTGTGTGTGTGTGTGTGTGTAGGTATATGCATGTGTGCATGTTAAATGTCTTCTTTTTTAATGCAGTAATGGTGATAAGAGATGACAGATTTTTTTAAAAAGCACTTGCTTGCCAGAACTAAAAGCTGGCGACCTATGGTGATCCACACAAATTTTATTGAAGTGTTCTTTGAACGTGAAGTCCAAAAGTGTGACAACCCTTGGATTAGATTTCAGAAAGATGGGAGGGAAAAGGGCACAGGGATTGATAATCCTAACACACATCCTGAGGCCATTCCCCAACTCCCTTTGTGATGTTCAGAGTTTGGGAAGCAAAGTGTTACCCATCCTGATATCTTTTGCTTGATAAAAAGCATTAACACTTGCGTTTGAACTCACATGAGTTTCAGTTATTTTCTTAGTGTGTACCGATCCGGTGTTCAGCTGGATCCCCTCATGGGTTTTCCTTAAGTTTTGTCTTCCTCATTTTGTCTTATGCTCCTAAAAACATAGTAGACTTTCATAATTCATTTCCCAAGCTTTGCATTCATAAACTGTTATTTTATGTTTCTAAGTTTTAACATTTTCATACTTTCGTGGCACTACATTTTTCATAACCCAAAGTTGATGATCTTTTTAATCCAACACAGGATTATAACTACTTTCCTTCCTACTATCACCATTTTCATGACATCCTACAATCCAGCTATGTCTGATTGCAGGAAACCCGAACAAAACAACTAGAGCGTAGAGCACACAACAAGTTATCTAAGTTAGGTACATCTCCGGTCCCAAACATCCAACTGCCAGGTGTGAGCACCACCCATGGGTGGCCAGTGTATGCTCCCGTGCCTTCTTACCCTTCCTTCACTCTTCCTTAAAGACACCAAACACCATCATGTTCCCCTTTCTTCCTCTTGCACCACTCACTTTCTCGATGATAAACATTCTCACTCATATGCACACCCCATCATCTTTAACCGCTTTCCTCTCACTTCTTTTTTTTTTTTTTTCTCTTGAGACGGAGTTTCGCTCTTGTTGCCCAGGCTGGAGTGCAATGGCACAATCTCGGCTCACTGCAACCTCCGCCTCCCGGGTTCAGGCAATTCTCCTGCCTCACTCAGCCTCCCGAGTAGCTGGGATTACAGGCATGCACCACCACACCCGGCTAATTTTGTATTTTTAGTAGAGATGGAGTTTCTCCGTGTTGGTCGGGCTGGTCTTGAACTCCCGACCTCAGGTGATCCGCCCACCTCGGCCTCCCAAAGTGCTGGGATTACAGGCGTGAGCCACCGTGCCCAGCCCCTCTCACTTCTAATGCCTACCCTTCCCACCTCCTACTCATAACAACTACACTTTACTGCCAATATGTACAAAGGGGCTTTCTACATGTCACGTCACTTTGTTCTCATAAGAACCTTATGAAACAAATACTATTATCTCCATTTCATGAATGAAATCAGGGAGAGTTAGGTAACTTGCCCAAGGTCACAGTTTTAATGACAGATTATATAATAGCTAAGACATTGATCGAGTTCTATCAAGGAAAAGAAAAAAGCAAAATTTGACAAAGTAAAGAACACTTTTCTTGTTTTAATAGCTCCCAAAAATACTTAAAATATTAAGTCACACTTTCCGCACAGGTCCTAGGTCATCCCTTCTAATTACAACCATTTAAGCACTCATGCTAAAGATGAGTGAAAACTACTCTAAATTGCACGCCTCCTTGTTGAGTGTTCAGTACCTTCTATTTCCCACAGCCATCTGCAGCATTGTGGTCTCATGAAGGTTAAGGTGAATGTGTGGCGTAGCCTGAGTCATCACCACCCCTGGGAACGGCTTCTGGGGGAGGCGCCGCCGGGAGGGTGACTGTGATGAAATGGAAATTCAGTGGACTCAAGAGACCCGTCCATCTGTCCATCAAATGCAGAACTGACTCAGGGCACTGTGGTTCTTTCCAGCTTTGGCTTTTTGGTTCCAAACAGTTGACTTCTCCATCTCTTTGGGAAACTCACTGTGTGTAAATTATTAAAACCAAATGCAGATTCTAAATTCATAACTATGGTCTGAGTTTCCTCTTCTTATAACTGTTTCCTCTGCTGGCGTCTAAAAGAGAGCTCTCGAAGGCTCCATCCTCACCCACACCTCCTCTCTTCCCCAGCTATGTGCCCCACAGGGGCAGGCCCACCCACCGTCTCAGGCATAACCACTCTTGGCCATATAGAGCTGAAGGGGTCAAAACTCCCTCCCTGGTCCCAAAACTCTCTCTGATTGCCTGACCCACCTGTCTTTCTCAATCTCTCCCTCTCCCTCCCTCCCTGCCCCCCTCTCTCTTTACCTATCAGATGATTCCACCTAGATACCCCCAGTGCCTCAAACTCAACATGTCCAAAACTGAATGTTCACTCTATCCCATAAATCCTGCCCCTTCTTGTATCTCCTGGTTTGGACTGTAGCACCACCACTGGGGCAGCCACATGACACATGAATGTGAGACAGACACCTGCTGTCCCTTCTTCCCTAACCACCCCCTTCCCTCATAATGAAACAGTCAACAGAGCCACTCTACTCACTCTCTGGATGTCTCTAAATCCGTTCCTTTCTTTTGCTTTAGGTTTTCACCTGCACTACTGGAAACCGCCCCCCACAACCCCCGCCACTGGTTTCCTCTGTCACCCTAAGCATAAGTGCCCGAATGAGCTTCCCGTCTAAAGCTCCTCTCTTACCCCTTTTCCAATGATAAACCCCTAATGATCTCAATATGTTGATATCAATTGCATCCCTATTTTTGAGCTGATAAAACTAAGGACATTACATAAGGACAGATGATAAAACTGTCTAATGGTATCAGAAAGATATTCTTCTAGAATAACTTATCAGAGTTGAAGAACAAACAATTTTATCTTATCCCTTCAGGAAAGATATCCCATTAAAGTGAACAGAATTTGGTCATTTTAGCAATTAAATGCAAGCAGGAGATAAAGAATGCTAACATTTATTGCACACCTTCTGCACGGCCAGTACTCTATGTCAGACACTTCATATAGGTTCACAATTAATATAACCTGTGATGTGGGTGTAATCCTCATTTAAAGGATTAAAGCTAATTTGTTCTAAGTCTCCCAGCAAGGAAATGGTACCTCCAGGATTCAAATGTCGTTCTAATATCCTGAACCTACACACTTGTCACCATTCCACATGCCTTGTCACCAAGAAAACGGACATGCTGGTGCCATGAGTGGCTAAAAGATTCATAAACACGGCATAACTGCTTTGATTTAAATTCAACCACAATATCTTTTTAATTCAAATTTCAGATTTCAAGACTATAAGATTTTTATGCTGATTGAAAGAGGAAATGGGTAAATATGAGCAGCACTGTTTCGTGATAAGAAAATTCAACAGATAACATGTCTAAGATTTCATAAAACCCTTCCATTTCCTGTTTCTGAGGTCAAGGGTAATTTTTCATAACGTTTCAATGTAAAAACTCACCAATTTGGCTGGGCACAGTGGCTCATGCCTGTAATCCCAGCATTTTGGGAGGCCAAGGCGGGTGAATCACCTAGGGTCGGGAGTTTGAGACCAGCCTGGCCAATATGGTGAAACCCCATCTCTACTAAAAATACAAAAAATCAGCTGGGCATGGTGGCATGCACCTGTAATCCCAGCTACTTGGGAGCCTGAGGTGGGAGAATCGCTTGAACCTGGGAGGCGGGGGTTGCAGTGAGCCGAGACTGCACCACTGCTGGGTGCGACGGAGCAACACTCTGTCTCAAAAAGCAAAACAAAACAAAAACGACTCACCAATTTTTTACACCTGTTTTATACTTAGCTCTGGTCTGGGGACAAAAGGAAGACAAAAGCACAGTACAGAGTACAATCCACCTACAAGTAACAAACTTTCAACTCAAGATAAACAGGTACTGAGATAAAGACAGCATTTCTCTCCCAGCGCTGTTGGCATCATGCATTACATACAACCTCACCATAGACTCAATCTAAATAACATGAGCTCCAAATAAAAAAGGATTTGACATACTACAACCACACAATGTGTAAAATGCACCATAGGGGAAGTGATTCTAGGTCACAAAGATCTGAAAATCAGTCCTTTCTCAACATAACATTTGAATATTAATCAGCACCCCATCGGAAGAACTGAAGTGACTTGCAAAGTTTATTCTCTGAAGCAGATCATCTCCCTTGTGCCATTAATTCATTTAGGAAACCCTTTTTACACAAGTGGAACAGAAGTACATTTCAGACTAGTCTCTATTTCAATTATCAACATTCAGCTTTGTAAAGAAAGCTGGGCGCGGTGGCTCACGCCTGTAATCCCAGCACTTTGGGAGGCCGAGGAAGGCAGATGACGAGGTCAGGAGATCGAGACCATCCTGGCTAACACAGTGAAACCCCGTCTCTACTAAAAATACAAAAAATAAGCCGGGCGTGGTGGTGGGCGCCTGTAGTCCCAGCTACTAGGGAGGCTGAGGCAGGAGAATGGCATGAACCCGGGAGGCGGAGCTTGCAGTGAGCCGAGATCATGCCACTGCACTCCAGCCTGGGTGACAGAGCGAGACTCCGTCTCAAAAAAAAAAAAAAAGAAAGCCAGTAAGGTTGCATTTTTGTCATATTAGAAATAATACAACATTTTTAGGCCGGGTGTGGTGGCTCACGCCTGTAATCCCAGCACTTTGGGAGGCCGAGGCAGGCGGATCACCTGAGGTCAGGAGTTCGAAACCAGCCTGGCCAACATGGTGAAACCCCGTCTCTACTAAAATACAAAAATTAGCCGGGTGTGGTGGCGGGCACCTATAATCCCAGCTACTCAGGAGGCTGAGGCATGAGAATCGTTTGAACCCAGGAGGCAGAGTTTACAGTGAGCAGAGATCACACCATTGCACTCCAGCCTGGGTGACAGTGCAAGACTCCGTCTCAAAAAAAAAAGAAAAAAAGAAAAAAAATATAACATTTTTAAATAGATAAAAGCAACATTCAACATGTTGTTTCCTATTATAATTTGTGTCATTTAAAAATTATTTTAATGGCACTTTATTAATGAAGTTAAGTATTATACAAATATGACTTTTTGACGTCATAATAAAACCCATAAGAATAGAGACCACATGTTTCTTAGTTGGGGGTAACAAATACTGTCTCCTCATATTTCCATGTGACAGAACCACCTGATCAGTAAAGAGCCAGGTGTATCCACTGGTCCATCCCACTCATCTACACCTGGGGGACACTGACTTTTGTGACTGGTGAGTGTGGGAGAAGGATCAATGTAGAGAGAGTAAGTGATCAAAAGTTACCCCAATGAGTGTAGAAGAATTAAGATTTTGTCTGATTTTGAAGCCTTAATACTCTTGATATTCTACCTTCCAGAGACCCTGATTTTATTCTTCTCCTAAAGTTTGCCTATCTTCAAAAGAACTTTTGCTTCTACTGCTTAATAACCCCCCTTTTATAAATGTAGTGAGCTTGATATTTGTTTGTAAACAGTGAATTTCTAAAGAAAAGTATTTTTAAATTTCTTGAACCCACCAAATTATCTAAAAGCACACTGTTTTTCTCTAGACTTCCCTAAAGGGTCATATTTTTTAAAACTTCACAGACCATCAGTATTACCAATCCCAATTATTTCTGAGCAAAGTCTTTTGCTAAGCTACTAGCTTCACTGGATAATATTAGTGATGAAAGAAAAACACTACAATACTGCATCTGCCATTAATCTCTAAGCATCAGGCTTCACATCAATCACAAGTCATTTATTGTGGAACCTGTCACAGGATATAATGATTCACGCTAGTTTGAACTTGCCATTGCTCCTCTTCAAGGGGGCTTTCAAAATAGTAAAAAGCTCATGAAATAGTAAATTAAACAGAACATCACTTTACCTTTCACTTCTACTTAATCTTTAACGTATTAATTTTGCATTTGTTAGATGCTTTAAAATGACTTAATAATGAAGATTTTGCCATATCATAATCTGACCACAGAGACATACTAAATCACCTAAATATAAAAGATTAGAATTTTGCCACTTAAGAAAAACGATTACTATATAGTTACACAAAATAAAGTTGTCTTCCTATGACGATTAAGAAATGTGATTTCTACATTTTAAAGTAAGGGAATCTTTACAGCCTGCGAGTCAACAAAGATAACAAATCCTGCTTATAACAATGGAACTGCACTACAGAGGATCCAATCTTATGCAAACTGAGTCATTAATGAACCTAAAAATTGTTTAATTAGAAAAGCATGTTTGAAATTTGAAACTACACAATTAACCCATCTGCCAGAGAAATGAAGGTAACAGAACAATCAAATGTTTATAGAGAAAAAGTGCCTGTCTCATCAACAGGTGGATTTCTCTTCATGGGGTCACCGCACCCTGCTTTGTTTTAGACAAAGGACTCCAGCCCACTTCAAAGGCCTCTCCAACTGTGGTCTCAGCACAAGCTGTCTGGCTTTGGCATTTGTGCCAGGAGATAGAATCAACATCTTGGTAAAAGTCACAACCCAAGATCCTTTTTGTGCTACAAATATTTTGAACCAATTATTTAAAAACCTAGCTATGCTATCACATTTATGTATCTTTGGTAAAGTCTTTCTTTACAAAGCCATATAAACGGAAACCATATAGAGGGGTAGAAATAAGCCAAGAATACTACCTACTGGGTACAGTGTACACTATCTGGGTGATGGGCACACTAAAAGCCCAGACGTCACCACTGTGGAAGATACGCATGTAACACAATAAGATTTAGGGGTACTGCACTTGTACCGCTGAATCTAAAACATTAAAAAATGAATATATAAAAGAATAAAGCAAGGGTGAAGCGCTGCAAAGCTGGCTACAGATTCTTGCTAGCTGGCCTTGTATTTGGTGAACGGAGGTAGCTGGGCTGACGATCATCCAGCTTCCTCACATGCCGGTGGCCTGACCTCACATAAAGCAAGGTGGCTGGCAGAGTCCACCGTTCTATGCAGCAGCAGCAGCAGCAGCAGCAGCAGCAACCATCACTTGTCGTTCGATGTGTTTTTATTCTTTGTTTATGCTTTTAAAGGCTTATAAATTTTTATGAACTGTTTGAGGGGTAAATACATTGGGGTGGCAATATGACAGCTCGGTGAGCTCTGTCCAAAAGCTTGCTCACATGCTTCCCATTTGTGACACGATGAACCAGATAGCCCAACTCAACTATGGTATGTGTCCCCCCTAGCGACACATACCTTAGTTGGAGACACTGCCTTAACCTTTCCAGGGCATTGGGTTACTATTTATGAATGTGATAAAACATTCTCTAACCAACCGACAAAACCCTGGAGAGCATCCAAGTCGCTGTGTCACAGAGAACCAGGGGTAGGGCTGAGGGGTGTAGCTCATGTGTCTCTGTCACATCAGCACCTTGATGTATTTGTTTCACAAACCACCATAAACATTTCCAGATCTTTGCGTCTGTAAACACAGCTTCCCTTTACAGCTTTAAGTTGAAACTGTCAGAGCATTATTCAGCAGATAGTTTTGGAGCAATCAGATATTATGGTCAATTAATGAAAGACTATAATATCAATATTAGGATATAAACCAGCCAATTTCAAGGAATCTAAAAATGAACTAAACCTCCTGACCAAGCAAATCCGACACTCTTTACATCCCCCTTTATGGCCCTTACGACTCATTATAGATAAAAGGCTTTAAAAAGTAATCAATGCCAAAATATCCTCTAGAAATGAACAAGTTTGCTTACCCAATGTAAATGCACTTTAATGTATCATTTATCCACCAATAGATATTGTCACTGATGCCAGCAATCAAATGAAATGTTGACTCTGAGCAGAATGACTAATATGGAGGGTTATCTCTTTTTTTAGAATACGCTTGAGATTCTCTATGCAGCATACACACGTGTTAAGTTATCTATAATATACACATGCACATATAAAAGATTGAATAAAGGCAGCTGTAAAACTTCCTAACATGTTACAGTCGGTAATTAACGCAAATCGGAATGAAAACACTCTAGACTGCAGTCTTTTGGAGGCAGGAGCTCATGATCCCCAAAGATTCAGAAGCATTACCTCATTGCAGCCTTGAGACAAGCTGAGCATTCACTCTAGGTCTTACCCAGCATGCACCGGTTCACACAAAGACAACAGAGGCGTGACCAATCACATTGTGGCTAGCAGGCACTGTTTCAAAGCGCTCTCCCAATATTACCCATTGACATGCTTGCTGGCAGCCTGCTGAACTTGTCGTCATGACAACACATCCCAGCTGCTCACGGAGGCTTGTTATATTACTTTTCCTTTTCACCACTCACTTAGCTAATTAAAAATTTAGAACTATGTTTTGCATGTTGGATGCAAACTGAAACAATGCAGGTTCCTTTTTTCTTTTCTAGTCTCTATTTTTTTTTCCAATGGAGCTTTTAAAAATGCTGGGAAAAGCAAATTGAAGGACACTCCCATGAAGTCCCAATATAACCAATCAATAGAGAGACTGCATGTAGCTCCAGCCAGATGGAATTTGTCGCTAAACCTACTCCGCAGCAAAGCAAATCCAAATCATGAACATCACTGAAGATGTTCTTCCTGTTCTGAAATCTAGAAGCCAATTCAGCATAGATATTTATGTTGAAATATTCACATTATTCTTGGTCAAAATGTTCTTTCAATATTTTTATTTAACATGATTCTGATGTAAAACAGCTCTACCCATAATTCCACAATGCAAGCAGAGTAAATAAATAAATAAATAAAGCACAGCGAGAAGATCTTGTGAAAACTGCCAATATGGCAAGTATTAAAGGAGGTTCCTGGTAAAAAGCATGCCCGCAAACCTGACACATGTTTTAGATTTGATCACCAAAATGCACCACTGCGGGGGAAGGGGAGGAACGGCAGCCTTGCAGTGGAAAAACCATGGAAAGAAAATGCCAGCTTTTGTTTACCAAAGCATGAGAAATAAATTAAACCTCTCAAAGTGTTTCGAAGGCGATGGCTGCCTCACGAATATCACCTTTTTGAAAACCCCCCCTTCCGCCCTGAGTTAGACCTTCCTAACTGGCGTTGATACCAAAGGCATTCTTAGAATTCTAAGGTAAAAATTTGTCTTCAGATTTCAGATTTCCACATAACACATTTAACAGAGTAGAAAGAAAATGAAAATTCGAAGCTATGTTCATTGTAAATAAGCAGAGATAGGAGACATCAAAGTGGCTTAGAAAATCCAAGTGTTACAGCTGAGGGGAGAGGTCTGCACTAATTTCAATGAAATGAGAACACCGAGACATCAAAAACATGCTGAGAGAGCTGGCGTGCCTTCTGCCTCTTCCCAGGTTAGTCTCCTAATTTTTTTCAGTCTGAAATAATCCAGGACTGTCTGATTTGTAGCATTCAGTCCTCAAGCACAGTGCAAATGTATCCACAGAGAGCCTGGCCTATTCTCTCCAGAACTGCCCACATCCCTGAATTTTCAGGTCTACCGTCAATATCACTGAAAAGGAGTCCCACCCACTGAGAGAGTTAGGAAGAGAAACTTCAAGGAAGCCGTACAGAGTTCTAATTGCCAGTGAGGGATACTGGAGGAGTGCGGGCCCGGGACACCGAGGCAGACATCATGAGCAGAGCTACTTGGGGTGTTAAAGGTAAATACTGCTTATTCTCTGTCTTCTTACTTCAAGTAACCAACAGACGGAAGATCTAAGATGGGCTTTTCAGTTAAACATGGCAGACTGCAAACAGTGTCTCCCCAACTCTCACCAAAATGACAGTAGGTGGAATAGAAAAGGAGAAGAGAATGAGAGGGAAGATGAAAGCAGATAAGTCATGAAATAATTTTGGAAGTTGGAAAAGCAGATGGATGAGAAGTAGCTGAATTACAGGAGTGAAGAAAGTATAAATATATATACAAGAGGAAAAGCCAACCACAGAGGGTGGTATGGGTATAGTAATTCTAAAATTACTATTTTATATATATGGTATTTTATATATATGGTATATATGGTGTGACTGAGAAAATTAATCATGAGAGGAGACAAAGAGCCCAGTGATATCTCTATGAACTCCTGATTTTATATGTATATTTCTCCTAGCTCCGTCCACTGAAAAGCTCAGGAGGCAACGCCACCCCAGTACAAAGAGCTCCCATAGCATTCACGATCTTGGGTTGTAAATACCATTCTACCATTCCCCCTGAAAGAAACCAGGGTGCCTTATTCATGATCTTGGGTTCTAAATACTATTCTACCATCCCCCCTGAAAGAAACCAGGGTGCCTTATTCACGATCTTGGGTTGTAAATACCATTCTACCATCCCCCCTGAAAGAAACCAGGGTGCCTCATTCACGATCTTGGGTTCTAAATACCATTCTACCATCCCCCCTGAAAGAAACCAGGGTGCCTCATTCACGATAGTGGGTTCTAAATACCATTCTACCATCCCCCCTGAAAGAAACCAGGGTGCCTTATTCACTCTCTTGGGTTCTAAATACCATTTTATCATCCCCCCTGAAAGAAACCAGGGTGCCTTATTCACGATATTGGGTTCTAAATACCATTCTACCATCCGCCCTGAAGGAAACCACGGTGCCTTAGAGAAATAATTGATCATCACAAATAGGTCCAAGGCAGGAAAAACATAGGTGAACATGGAACATCATTTAGTGTCAGAAAAGGCTCAAAAACTGATGAGGACACCTCAAAAGACACGGGGACAAGATTGAAAGGATTTCTGTGGTCAAATCGGGAACCAGTTCAGCATAGAATACCATGCCTGCAAAAGACTATAACCCACTGAATAAAAAGAAATCCATGAGTCCATTATGGCACAAAAACAAACAAAAAATTATAGAGTGCTTAGAAAGGACAGTGCTTATTTTCGTTCAACAAATGAACATCAATTCATAACTTTAGAAGAAACTATCGAATTCGAATATCACATTTGTAACCACCATTGCAACAAGTGATTAAAGCAAGAATTACTGATGCATGATAAAACCACAGGGTCAAAGGCTGTTGGAAAACAAGCTATTCATACAGCCTCAAAATATCAACAGATTATTTTTAATTACAAAAAGAAAAAGACAATGGAGAAATCAGGCTGCCACCACCATAACCAAATGATCAAACTTAGTATCATCAATGAGACAAAAAGCCACCACGTGCCTCCCAGTGTTTTTTCTTTTATTATTATTATTATTATTATTATTATTATTATTATACTTTAAGTTTTAGGGTACATGTGTACAACATGCAGGTTTGTTACATATGTATACATGTGCCATGTTGGTGTGCTGCACCCATTAACTCATCATTTACATTAGGTATATCTCCTAATGCTATCCCTCCCCCCACCCCCACCCCACAACACTGTGTGATGTTCCCCTTCCTGTGTCCAGAACACCACACAACTTACACAGTATTCTTGCAAAAAAATGCTTAATCTAAATCTAACCATGGAGAAATAATTGGACTTCAAACTGAGGAATATTCTGCAAAACAATTGGCCTGTAATGCTCGAAAAAATCAGTTTCATAAAATGCAAAAGGAGGTTGGAAAACTCTGACATTAAAAGAAGCTGAAGAAATGCAAGTCAATATAACATGTGATCCTTAGAGTTTGGAATTTAAATATAAGAATTTTAAAAAACAGTTATAGACGATATTATTGGGACAACAGAAAAAACGTGAATGTTAACTGCACACTAGAAATAGTATCATATCAATGATCAACTTTCTGAATTCAGTAATTCTAGTCTTATTATGTGTAAGAGAATGTCCTTGCTCTTGGGAAATGTACCTCTGAAACATTTAGGAAATGCAGCTCTAAAACATTAGTGCCATGATGCTTGCAACTACTCTCAAATGTACAGAAAATAGATACTAGAGATAGATAGATAGATAGATAGATAGATAGATAGATAGATAGATGAATGATAGAATGATAGATCGACAGATAGGTGATAGATAGATAGATAGATAGATAGATAGATAGATAGATAGATAGAACAAATGCAGCAAAATGTTAACAATTAGTAAATCTAGGTGAATAGCAGACTAGTGTTCCTTTCATGTACTTTGTAACTTTTCTGTCACAAGAAATAAATTAAAAGCTGGTGGGAGGAAAGAAGGCTGCAAAGTCTCTCAAATTCAGGTATTGTTAACGGCGAGGTGTAAAACAGGACTGAAAGCAGAACTATTGTTTGCAAAACTTTCTAAGGAGCATTTAGAC
Source organism: Homo sapiens (assembly GCF_000001405.40). Taxonomy (NCBI): domain Eukaryota; kingdom Metazoa; phylum Chordata; class Mammalia; order Primates; family Hominidae; genus Homo; species Homo sapiens. The sequence goes on along the minus strand of NC_000004.12, from coordinate 183,956,138 downwards.
ACTCAGTCCTATTCCTTCATCTAATACAGTTACCTCTCAACCTAGGCAGACGGCAGCAATTTTATATACTGGAGAGGTTAACCCACAGGTTGTTAACTTAGGGATACCAAGCATAGCTGAAAGGAGAAATCAGTTACTGAATGAAATAGGGTTATGTGAAAAATCATATGCCTTACTCTCCCTCTGGACTGCTGTCACACTCTGGAGCCTGGTAGACTCTTCCAGGGAAACTGGCGCAAGAGAAAAGCCCAACCATTATCCTCTACAGATCGCTCTGCAGGCAGGCCCACGAGGGATAAGCCCACCTCCCACAGAACTTCCAAGCAACACTTTAGTGCCTCCAGAGATCAAAACAAAGCAAAAACTAGAAAAAAAAAAACTTTAAAGAAGCGGATGCAAGGCACAGAACAGAACAATCCTCTCCCAAACTCCCAAAATTAATATTCCCAGGAAGCTACTAGAGATGTGGCCCAGCAAAATCGGGAAATAAATCCAGGAACAGGAAGACATGGGGCCTAGAAGACAGAGGATCCAACACAGGAATGGTGAAAAGAAAACTCCCAGATATCAGCTGTTAGCCAGCCTTAAAAGCTACTAGTCCCGATCAGAGGAGGAGGACAGGGCGCTCTCAAAGCTAAGTCTCCAAGAACAGGGAGGAATACCTAGATTGCCTGAGATACTAGAGTACTTGGGGAAAAAAATTCTGGTGGGAATCTGGCACTTCTGATGAGCACTGGGGAAAAAGTTAAAGGCTATTTTTTAAAATCTATGCAATTTTTTAAAAAGGCAATCATTAACTGCAGACAAAACGAATGGCTGTGTAAGGAAAGTAAGTGTATTCATAGCACAATACTTGGCCCTTCAAAGAATAAAAGTTATGTAGTCATCATTAATACCAATACTGATTATTGATTTATCTGTAAGTTCTTGTACATGCGGAAGATAAAGGGAGGTGAGGTGAGTACATAAGGAAGCTAAATTTCCCTTAGGCTACCAGGAAGAGAAAAGATAAAATCCAAAGTAATAAACCAAGATAAAGCATTACAAGCACATTTAGAAATTAGATACATGCCAAGGAAACAACTAGAGGAGTCTGAAGAGATTACCTCTGAGAATGAGAATCCAGGATTGGTTGGGGGGCCGGGCGTGGTAGTTCAAGCCTGTAATCCCAGCACTTTGGGAGGCCAGTCTGGCCAACATGGTGAAACTCCGTCTCTACTAAAAATACAAAAATCAGCTGGGTGTGGTGGTGCACGCCTGTAATCCCAGCTACTTGGGAGGCTGAGGCAGGAGAATCACTTGAACCAGGCAGGCAGAGGTTGCACTGAGCCGAGATCGCACCACTGCACTGCGGCCTGGGCAACACAGTGAGACTCTGTCTCTAAATACATAAATAAATAAATAAATATTGGTGGGGAAGCGATCAGGCAATTGTTATTTTTCATTATGCTAGACAGTAGTGTGTGTGATGTGTGTGTGCATTTTTGACTTCTTAAATTATGTAAATAATTACCTTTGTAAAAGTAAAAATTAATTATAAAAACAAAAGCGGGCTTGGCGTGGTGGCTCAAGCCTGTAATCCCAGCACTTTGGGAGGCCGAGGAGGGTGGATCACTAGGTCAGGAGTTCGAGACTAGCCTGGCCAACATGGTGAAACCCCGTCTCTACTAAAAATACAAAAAATTAGCCAGGTATGGTGGTGGGCGCCTGTAATCCCAGCTACTCAGGAGTCCGAGGCAAGAGAATCGCTTGAACCTGGGAAGCGGAGGTTGCAGCGAGCCAAGATCATGCCACTGCACTCCAGCCTGGGTGACAGAGTGAGACTCCATCTCAAAAAAACAAAAACAAAAACAAAAAACAAAAAAACCCTAATGAATAGCACAGGCTTGGTAGGGCAGAAATCAATCCGCCAGTGAGACCTTTTTGAGTTCCTCCCACGGGCCCTGCAACGTGACAAGAAGTGCTCCACGGTGCAGTGGATGTTCTTTTAGTTTCTTTTTTCATGTTATTTTTAAAGAAGCATTAATTACAAAAATTAGTTTTTATCAAGGACTAAAGAAATTTACCCGAATGACGACGGAAGGGGTGTTGTCACATGAAACCACCTTCAATGAGAATTAGAGGCCCACAGTCTTAGCTCTGCAAGAGTAAAGCAAATTTCACTCACTCATGTCGCATACATCTATTCAGAACCACTTTCCGGCTCCCTCACACACCAGCTGTAGGACTCTGGGCAAGTTTTGAACCTCCTAATGTCTATAAAATGGGTGTAAGGTCGAGTGTGGTGGCTCATGCCCATAATCCCAGCACTTTGGGAGGCTGAGGCAGGTGGATCACTTGAGGTCAGGAGTTCAAGACCAGCCTGGGCAACATGGTGAAATCCCGTCTCTACTAAAAAGACAAAAATTAGCTGGGCATGGTGGTGCACGCCTGTAATCCCAGCTACTCGGGAGGCTGAGGCAGGAGAATTGTTTGAACTCGGGAGGCGGAGGTTGCAGTGAGCCCAGATCCTGCCACTGCACTCCAGGCTGGGCGATTAAGCCAGACTCAGTCTCAAAAAAAATCAGGGATAATAATCATGTATACCTCATAAATAGTGTGTGGCACAGAAAAAATGCTCAAGCAAGTTAAGTGCTACCTACTATGAATGGGCCCCAGTCTTGCCACTGGGTACAACAGGAACAAGGGGCACCCCTGCCTCCAGGACCTCTAGTGGGAGGGGAAGGTGGCAATGAATGACAATGCAAAGTGGTAAAGGGGCAACCAGGTGTGGGGCTAGGAGGTATGCTCCCAATACCACCCTTGCCTTCATGACCCATATACCACCCCTGTGTGAAAAATCTGCCTTTCCCAAGGAAATCCCATAAAACACTAGTCCCAGAATACACTTCTTTAAAAAAAAAGTTTTGTGGTAAAATCCATCTGGGAAACACCACACTTTTTTTTTTAAAATTATACTTTAAGTTCTGGGGTACATGTGCAGAACATGCAGGTTTGTTACATAGGTATACATGTGCCACGGTGGTTTGCTGCACCCATCAATCCATCATCTACATTAGGTATTTCTCCTAATGCTATCCCTCCCCCAGCCTCCCACCCTCTGACAGGCCCCAGTGTGTGATGCTCCCCTCCCTGTGTCCATGTGTTCTCATTGTTCAGCTCCCACTTATGAGTGAGAACATGTGGTGTTTGGTTTTCTGTTCTTGTGTTAGTTTGCTGAGAAAGATGGTTTCCAGCTTCATCCATGTCCCTCCAAAGGACATGAACTCATCCTTTTTTATGGCTGCATAGTATTCCATGGGGAAACACCACACTTTATACCTGCGTTGGTATAGTCACCACTCATGAGCATATGTAGGACCCTAAGGAGTCCTACAGTAAAGAAAATGGTGCAACTTTGTTTAATTCAGCATTTCCCAAACTAATGTGACATGCACCTCTTTTTTTACTCAAGAGGCCCAAGTATCACAAAATTGGTGCTCCACAATCACATTCTGGCAGTCACTGCCACTGATTTTAAGGCTGTCAAGATGGAGAAATTTTTATTCTGTTCTTTCTATTTCATAGCTTTTCAAATTCCTTTTTGATTTACCCCCAATTATTTGGACAATTTTTAAAGTCTCAAATGTTTACAATGAAAATATTATTTAATAGGAAACTCCCCTAACTAAACTACTCTTGTGGAAAGGAATCTAAATATATTTGTGAGATCTGTATATACTTCCGACAAGAATCACATAGTTGAGTTCAAATAATTCAGAATGAAGAAAAGGTTTCAATAACATTTTTAGAACAAAAGTAAAATCAGTGATGGATTCTTTTCTTTTTTCTTTAGAAGAATAGTATATGAATCCTGGATAATTTGTGAAATGAGATGTGTTACGGTTTTCAAAGTACGCAGAACAAACCAACACCATAAAAAAAGTAGCATGTGGGTTCTGCAGCAGTTTCCCTGTTTTGAAATATGCATGACTGGGATCATTTTATATTCACTTGCTTCTCTTGCCTTTTGAGAAAACTCACAAATACATTCTTTCTGTGCCGAAGTTTTCCAAGAAAGAGAGTGTGGAAGTCCGGTGTTGTTTATCTCACCGCAAACAAAACCACTTTAATGTGGGGAAACTACAAAAGGCTAGAGGGAGAGAGCATCGGAGAGTGAAGAGAGTCGCTCACCCACTTTTTATTTATTTATTTAGAGACAGAGTCTTGCTCTGTCACCCAGGCCAGAGTGCAGTGGTGCTATCTCGGCTCACTGCAACCTTCTGTCTCCTGGGTTCAAGAGATTCTCCTGCCTCAGCCTCCTGAGTAGCTGGAACTACAGGCATGCACCACCACGCCCAGCTAATTTTTTTGTATTTTTTGAGTAGAGACGGGGGTTTCACCATGTTGCCCAGGCTGGTCTCGAACTCCTGACCTTGTGATCTGCCTGCCTTGGCTTCCCAAAGTGCTGGGATTACAGGCGTGAGCCACCGCACCCGACCACTCACCTACTTTTAGAAAACTGGATAAGAGACTGTCTTCCTTGCCGAGCGCAGCGGCTCACGCCTGTAATCCCAGCTGCTTGAGAGACTGAGGCGGGAGAATCGCTTGTACCCGGGAGGTGGAGGTTTCAGTGAGCTGAGATCGCGCCACTGCACTCCAGCCTGGGCAACAAGAACGAAGCTCCGTCCCAAAAAAAAAAAAAAAAAAAAAAAGAGAGAGAGAGACTGTCGTCCTCTAAATCATGGATGAAAATATCTATGAACAGGCAGCAACATGGACTTCCCTTCCTCTCTCTAGTCTTGCTCCTCTTCCCACCTCTGTCATCCCAAATCCTTTCTCCACACTGCAGGAAGAATGAGCTCCTAAAGTGCCTCAAGGTGATCCTGTCACTGCTGAGCAAAGCCTTTGCACTACTGTCTTTTTTTTTTTTTTCTTTTTTTTTGAGACGGAGTCTCGCTCTGTCGCCCAGGCTGGAGTGCAGTGGCGCGATCTCGGCTCACTGCAAGCTCCACCTCCCGGGTTCACCCATTCTCCTGCCTCAGCCTCCCGAGTAGCTGGGACTACAGGCGCCCGCCACCACGCCCGGCTAATTTTTTTGTATTTTTAGTAGAGACGGGGTTTCACCGTGTTAGCCAGGATGGTCTCGATCTCCTGACCTCGTGATCCGCCCGCCTCGGCCTCCCAAAGTGCTGGGATTACAGGCGTGAGCCACCGCGCCCGGCCGCACTACTGTCCTTCTTAAACAAACTAGGGACTTCATGACGTGGGTTGTGGGGGCTTTCTGCTCTGACCCCAGTGAACATCCCTAACTCCATCTCTTGGCAGCTGCTCCCTCCTACCAGCCTGCGTTCCCACAAAACTGTGAGCTCCTGAAATCAGCCCCCTGCAGGCTCTCTGCAAGCTGTTCTCTGGCTGCAGCGAGGCTGCTCTTTTCCTTGTCTGGAGTCCCCAGCAGGCTGTGAGTTCTGTGGCTCCCCGGCCTCATGCGCTATTGCATGCCCAACCATCCTGCTCCATGTCATTCCAGCCCCTCGGTACAGTGATCTTTGACAAACTCGGCCTGCCCATGCCACTTCCCCCATTAAGCCTTCCAGTGGCTTCCTGGGGCACTGTCTCTTCTTTCCATCCTGTCTCTCCTGATCTGCCCAGGAGCTCCAGCCACACTGGCTCCCCATTACTTTCTGCTGCCCTTGGCCTTCACACTCCCTGCCCCAGGAGCATCCTGCCCAGGCCAGGTCCCCTTCTTCTGAACCTCCTAGCAGCCTGTTTTATTTCCTTCATGTTTGAGTCTGAGTCTGTCTCTCTCTCTCTCTCCCACTAATCTGTAGGTCCATGAAGGCGGAGACCATTTCAACTTTGCTCACTACCCGATATCCTTGGATAATCCCCCACACCTAGACCACACCCAGGCACACAATAAGCGTCTGTGAACATGTGCTGAATATATGAATCAATGAATGAATGACCAAAGTGTCTTAATCTACCAAGAGAAATAAAAACTAAAGGATTTCAGCTTTAGCTGTCCCTTCTCTGGAATAGCAATGTAATTTAATAAGAGTGTAATGCAGTTAGCAGATTAATCCAATGCAGTTAGCAAATCAATAAAAATGCTGTACAATAGTGAGAAGAACATGCCTAAAATGAAAACTTTATGACTTTTAATTCATGGTGTTAACTGTCAGTAGGAACCCTCAAACCTCAGGGGGACATTGTGAGAAAAGTGGGGAAGAGGTGACATTGCTAGAGGAGGGATACAAATGCCGAGAGAATGGAGCATCCACACATCAAAGCAGAAAAATGGGAAGCATGACTTGGCTAAATGTCTAAACGGATAAGACCACCAGCCTGAAACAACAAGCACTCAAAAAAATATGATCTAAAAATATAAAAATATCTTGCAAAAATCTAAAGTGTATTGGTATTTAAATTAAGAAAGTTTTTGTTTGTTTGTTTGATTTTGATACGGAGTCTCGCCCTGTCGCCCAGGCTGGAGTACAATGGCACGATCTGGGCTCACTGCAACCTACATCTCCCGGGTTCAAGCGATTCTCCTGCCTCAGCCTCCTGAGTAGCTGGGATTACAGGCACCTGCCACCACGCCCAGCTAATTTTTGTATTTTTAGTAGAGATGGGGTTTCATCATGTTGGCCAGGCTGGTCTCGAACTCCTGACCTTGTAATCCGCCCACCTCGGCCTCCCTAAGTGCTGGGATTACAGGCATGAGCCACCACGCCTGGCCTAAATTAAGAAAGTACAGCAAATTACACATCCAAACTATTACTATTTTAAGGGCAGTTTCTTAAAATCAAAGACAAAAAGAGAAAAAATGCTACCTTTGAATTTCCATGTTTAAAGAATTAATACAGTGATTGATTTAAAATTAGCCTGTGTATTTGTTTTGTAATTTGGCTCCTGAGTGTTTACAACTTGAGATCATTTCTGAGATCTCCTCTCTTATTGTTTCTTCCTCTTCATTTAGTGCCTAATCTTCGTTTGATTAGTGGTTGTGAACACTGCTTTCCCCACCTATTATACCAATAGCTTCAATTTCTCCATGAGAAGACTAAAAAAAAAATATGAAAACTATTAATGCCACTACTGTGTGGACCTCTGCTTAGTGGATATCACTTATTATTTTTCTTATAGTCTCCAGGAATTAGCATCCTTGTTTCAGCAATGGATAGATTACAGCCAAGAGAAAGAAAGATCTAAGATTTGCCGAGCACCCTCTAAGTATCAGAGACAATACTTCACATGTTCTCTCACTTAATCATAATAGCAACCTGGTAAGTGAGGTCTCATTATTGCGATTTTAAGAATAAGGCAGCCCGGCACAGTGGCTCACGCCTGTAATCCCAGCACTTTGGGAGGCTGAGGCGGGTGAATCACCTGAGGTCACGAGTTTGAGACCAGCCTGACTAACATGCTGAAAGCCCATCTCTACTAAAAGTACAAAAATTAGCCAGGTGTGGTGGTGGGTGCCTGTAATCCCAGCTACTTGGTAGGCTGAGGCAGGAGAATCGCTTGAACCCGGGAGGCAGAGGTTGCAGTGAGCCAAGATCGCGCCACTGCACTCCAGCCTAAACTCTGTCTCAAAAAAAAAAAAAAAAAAAAAAGGATAAGGCATTAACAAGTTAACAGCTTGTCCAAAGGCTGCATATTAGAGAAAGAGCCCCAAGAGCACCTGGATCCCTGCCTGGTGATTATTCCCCAAACTAGGTGTTGAATTGACTAATAGAAATATGGAGCTACTGGAAAACATTCCACCTGCCAATTTTAAGATGCTATGTATCAGTTTAAGGACAAATAATAAATGCGCAACCTAAAAATTGATTCTCTATTGGCTTCTTCTTTTTGAAAGGAAATAAGCCTCCACATACTTGTCAAACATCTCTACTTACTCTTTTTCGTGTTTTTTTTTTTTTTTTTTTTTTTTTTGAGATGGAGTTTTGCTCTTGTTGCCCAGGCTGGAGTGCAATGTCATGATCTCGGCTCACTGCAACCTCCACCTGCCAGGTTCAAGTGGTTTACCTGCCTCAGCCTCCTGACTAGCTGGGATTACAGGCGTGAGCCACCACGACCAGCTAACTTTTTGTATTTTTAGTAGAGACAGGGTTTCACCATGTTGGCCAGGCTGGTCTTGAACTCCTGGCCTCAGGTGATCTGCCCACCTCAGCTTCCCAAAGTGCTAGGATTACAGGTGTGAGCCACTGCACCCAGCCTCTACTTACTCTTAAATGTAAGTTTGCTACCATGGAGCCTTGTTGTAACAACTTAGGATAGCACAGCATCAAGCAAAAAGCCAACTGGTTCTAACACATGCTAACTGCAGTAATATTAGTATGTACAAAATTGTATTGAGACACAGAGGAGGCACCGTTCCACTCTGCTTGGGAGAACCCTGACAAACACAACAGAGAAGATGACAAGGAAGGAGTCTTCAGGAAGGAGGAAGGGGAGGTGTGTTCCAGGCAGAGGAAACAGCCTCTGGAACACAAAACACAGAGTGAACATTTATTGAGGACTGAGCAATAAGGCAACCATTACTTTAGTTAATCCTCCCAGCAAGGCAATGATGTAGTGCTACTATGATTTGCTTTTTCCAGCTAGGGAAACAGAAGCACAAAGAAATTAAATAATGTATATAGCTAGTGGAAAAGTGGAGTTCTGTGTAGAACCAAAGGGCCAATGCAACAGGGCATATTTTGAGATGTGTATTGCCTGAGAAGCAAAGGACAGCCCCACCCCACAAACTAGATGGCTAATAAAGCAGAGAATGCCAAGGCCAACAACGAAATATTACACTCAGCCCTCTGCGAGCTCCATATCCAGCCAACCAACGATCAAAACTATGCGGAAAAAAATAATCAAAACTAACGATTAAGCAAAAAATAATAGAAATTTTAAAAATACAGTATAATGACTACTCACAGAGCATTTACACTGTATGAGGTATTATAAGCACATGTAGAATTAATTTAAAGTATACAGGAGGATGTGCAAGAGTTCACTGCAAATACAGTTATTTCTTGCTGTCTTAGGGAGCTGGTTCCAGGAGCCCCCTTGCCCCACCCCCCACCAGGATACCGAAATCCACGGATGGTCCAGACCTTTGATGTAAAGTGGTGTGGTGTTTGCATAGAACTTACCCACATCCTACATATATTTTAAATCATCTTTAGATTACTTACAAGACATAATACAACGTAAATACTATGTAAATAGTTGTAGGCAGGGCACAGTGGCTCACACCTGTAATCCCAGCACTCTGGGAGGCCAAGGAGGGGGTGGATCACAAGGTCAGGAGTTCGAGACCAGCCTGACCAACATGGTGAAACCCCCAACTCTACTAAAAATGCAAAAATTAGCTGGATGTGGTGGCACGCACCTGTAATCCCAGCTACTCAGGAGGGTGAAGCAGGAGAATTGCTTGAAGCTGGGAGGCGGAGGTTGCAGTGAGTTGAGATCATACCACTGCAGTCTAGCCTGTGCGACAGAGCGAGACTCCATCACAAAAAAAAAAAAAAAACCACAACTATGTAAATAGTTGTTACGTTATTTAGGGAATAACAACAAGAAAAAAAGTCCATATGTGTTCAGCACGAACGCCTTTTTTTCCAAATATTTTTGATCCACAGTTAGCTGAGTCCAAGGATGCAGAACCCACAGATATGGAGGACATTTTATACTAGGAACTTGAGCATCCTCAGATTTTGGTATCCATGGGGTCATAGGCCCAACCCCCCCTCCTCATGGACACCGAGGCATGACTGTACTTATTATTAAGTTCTTGCTGTGTGCTTAGCTCTTGTCACAGACATAAGCTCATTTAATCCTCCTGACAACAGTCACTGTGCGAGTGAGGAAACTGAGACTAAGAAAAGGCATGTAATTTGCCTGAAGTCGCACAGCAAATAAACGCTTGAAATGAAGTCAGTCTTCCTAGAAAGCCCATCATTTTAACCATGATGCTATCCTGCCATTTTATTAAACACTGAGAGGTCATCTGAATTAAAAAGTGTGACCCTGAATTCAGCCGACGTCTCGTATTTATTTGTTTTAGAACAAGACCTGTTAGACCTAGGAAACATTATTGCTTTCTTTCCAAAATCATTTACCCTGTGTGCCCATTGACATAGAAAATATGTTAAATTGTTCCCTTTAGAAACTGTAGTCCCAAGGGAGCTACGGACTACATTCACAATGGTTTTATTCAGATTTAGAACATTAAGCATTTCATGACTGAAGTTTTCTAAAGAGCTTAAAGAAATATATTCTAAAGGAGGATACGATGGCTACAGCCCTTCGCAAGGAGAGAGGAAATGATGTATCCCAGCAAAACAAACTGAAGGTAAAAGAACACACCGACTGAGGACAAGAGAGCATTTCCCAGCGTCTTAGAACCTGAATCAGTCTTCTTTCGTGGTGTGCTCAACGATGGGAAACAACTTTGCTGTACCCACGGTAAACGGATTTCCTCAGCCCTTTGCAACATTCGTAATCCCTCAACAAATGGAACCTGCTTTGTTTTCACAGAACTTTTTCTTTTTCTGCGTAGAACTGCTACGGGTTCCTAATTTTTAAATGCAGGCCTACAGGCATTCATAGTAACCTGTACCCAGCAAAACCATCTTGAGCACAACTAACTTTTGCTCAAAATACAGATGCAATCTAGAAATGATCTATAAAATCTAAAAACAAAATTACTTATGATTAGAAAGCTCATTAAATCATTCTAATCAATAAATAATCAATTAAGTCACTTTGCTTTTGCTCTCTCACCAAGGAATGGGTATACTGTCACGACCCTCTCTCTCTCCGCTGTGTACCCTCATGTTAAAATCAGATTTTTCCTGTGTCTCTTCCACTTCCAACCCCCGAATTCTGCAACTGAAATTCTCCTACGTTCCCTTTTTGGAGAAATTTTTAAAATACCAAAGAGCTCAAAGATGTGTAAAATACATACCTGCCTTGCCACCACCTAAAACTGACAATTGATGAAATTTTGTCCTAATCTTTCCTACAGAAAAGAATGAAACCTTGAAGGTAAGGTGATACACTCACAGACTCCATACCCAGAGGCACTCTTTTGAACTTGACCATCAATTCTCCCAGGACATTTAAACACTTTTACATATATAAATGAATGCACAACAATATTTGGTATTTTTACATGCATAATAAAAGACTTCAATAAATGGTGTTATATTGTGTATCATTCTGTAAGCTGTGTCTTTTTTGCTGATGTGCCCTAGACATGGTAGACATTAGATAAAATTTGTTGAATGAGTAAAAGATAGGCTTATAATACAGAAGCCTCATATTTGCCAAATAAATAAATTATCCAAACATTCTTTACTAGTTGTCATATTGAGGTGCTCAAAGGCAAATAAAGAATTTATACTTAAATGACTTTCTCACCATTTTATTTTATTTCATTTTATTTAGAGATGGAGTCTCTGTCACCTAGGCTGGGGTGCAGTGGTGTGATCTTGGCTCACTGCAACCTCCGCCTCCTGGGCTCCAGCAATTCTCCTGGCTCAGCCTCCCAAGTAGCTGGGATTACAGGCATGCGCCACCACGCTTGACTAACTTTTGTAGCTTTAGTAAAGATGGGGTTTCAGCATGTTGGCCAGGCAGGTCTCGAACTCTTGACCTCATGATCCACCCACCTTGGCCTCCCAAAGTGCTGGGATTACAGGCGTGAGCCACCATGCCCAGCTCTCACCCATATATTTTAAATGCATGCTCAGTAAATATCTGATGAGCAATGACAGGGTCTTAATGTAGTATTTGAGTGTATTATGCACCTGAGTCTGGAAGACTCACATATCAGCACCACGTGAACTATTCCAGTTAAGCAGTGGTGCTAAAAGTAAGACATGTTTCCCAGGACATGGAGGAGTAGGGCAGCCCTGGCTTTAATTAAGCCCCGCAGGGCCAAGACACTCACTTAGCAAAAGGGATGAACAGATAAGTAACTACTATTTTACCCTGACTTACATTGTCAGCTACTCTGTGAAGTGTCCCCAACTTCCTAGGAAGAATTAGTTCTCTTCTCTCTATCTACACTCAGAACATTTATGCAACCAGAATGTATTCTCTTGCATTTGTCTGTCTGTCTTCTGTACTGAGCCATGGGTTTCTCCAGAGCAGGACTGACTTTGAGACATCTTTGAATCCACAGCACCTAGCACAGTGCTCAGTGGTGGCTACAGCAGAGTGGCATCCCCTGGGGAGATTTCTTTTTTGTTTTTTGGGGGTTTTTCTTTTTTTCTTTGAGACAGAGTCTTGCTCTGTCGTCCAGGCTGGAGGGCAGTGGCACGATCTCAGCCAACTGCAACCTCCGCCTCCCGGATTCAAGCAATTCTTCTGCCTCAGCCTCCCGCGTAGCTGGGACTACAGGCGCACGCCACCACGCCCAGCTAGTTTTTGTATTTTTAGTAGAGACGGGGTTTCACTGTATTGGCCAGGCTGGTCTCGAACTCCTGACCTCGTGATTTGCCTGCCTTGGCCTGAGATTTCTTTTTTAAATCATAAAACTCAAGAATGATTCTGCACTTCTATTTCTTCTCGTACGTTTGAAATTCTTGATCACTTTATTTCTCTATATTTTATTTAAAAAACATTTTAAAATGGAAAGTTCCAAATACATTCAACAGTTAGCAGAACAGTATCCTAAAACCTCCACATACCTATCACTCAGCTTCAAGAATTAACTCATTTTTGTTTCTCTGTGGAAAATGAAACTGGAAATCATACATCTGGATACATAATAGGTATGATTTATTCTAGAAAAACTATGCAAATTCATAGTCCTTGCCTCTACATGAAAAAGGTGTTTTCTGTTAAAATAAAGTATTTTAGATTTTTAACAAATAATTCTCTGCTTTAGTTAAGTTTATTCACTGGGCAACTAGCTACCAGAAGAGAGTATTCCTGGATTGCCAAGTTGCAAACACACGGTCACTGTCCCATAATATCCTATCCCCAAAATTAATGAGAATTAAATGACTAAATATATTTAATTATGTCAGTGTTCTCTTCCAGCCTAAACTTTTATCTGAATTAATAAATCTTTTAAAGTTAGGAATCTCAAGGTTTCTTTTCTATTGCCATTCTGAAAGCTGACTGTATCCCAGATTCAAACAGTCTTCCAGAAAAGTTGAAACTCACCACTGCCAGAGTTGGAATTCAAAGCCCCAGCAATTAGATGAACTGATAAGAAATGATTATGTAGCAATACAAAATCAAAAGCCATTTACTTTACAAAATGAAAACATCTGACAAGACAGTAATAAAGACTTCTTATTTCAGAGCCGTAAGAATTGGTTTCAAACCATTAAAAAAGTTTTTTTTTAAAGCACATGATATAGAAAATCTTTATAAATATGGCCTGCCTCCATTCTCCTAGGACCCTATACCAGATTTGCAGTTCCTGTCTGCCATTTGTTTTCTCAAGCTGAAACAGTAGTTAGCCCATATTTTACAAACAAGAGCTCTTCTATCTCTTTTTGGAGTGCCTAAAAAGTCAGTTTACAAATATAAATTATGCAATATGGAATGACTTTTTTTTTAAGAAAAGGAAGAATATAATTAAGGAAGAGCTGGAGGACTACAGGTTTTTGTATACAGATTATGAAAATGAAATGGGGATGAGCTCAGGAGAATCAGAAGCCTCTTAGTGATCCCTCAGTACCAGATGAAACCCAGATCCAACAACCAGAAGTCTGGTCCCATGTGGTGAGTCATGAGTGTTCATCCAAGTTTTGTTTTTGTTTTTTTTAACCTTGGTTTTGTCTAAAAAAAAAAAAAAAAAACCTAGAAGCCTGGCACATATATATATATATAATGCAAATGTGTAAGATAATTTACAAATTTGTAAGATAATTTACAAATGTCTAAAGTCAAAGGAAATAAGCTGGTTGATCAATCAACAGTAAATTGGATTGTACCTCTGCTGAAATGTCTGCTCTCAGTGTCAAAGTTTATTTAACTGTTGGCTGCTGATCTCAGAGCTGTTAACATTAAAATTACATTGATTGAGCCAAAATCAAAGATGCCTTTGCTGTTTACACATCAGGCATGAAGGCTAATTACTTACTAATCCTTGAGAGTTTTAAATCCTTCTGAGGTACTAAATACCCCTGAGGACCATCCATACTTTTTAATGGGTTGAGGACAGACCCTTCAACACATGTGCCCTCTAATAGCTAAAGAGGAGTCGTAGGTTGCCAGGCATGATGAAGTGATAAATGTCAATAAGAGAATCATTATTGTCTGTCATCCTAGAGAATCTCAGATTCTCTATAACCAAAGTGTACAATAAAATATTCACAACATATTGATTTATACGTCATCTCTGTGTTTCTTCTAGTGGAGCTTTGTAAGGCACAACACATAAACTTAATAATATGAACATTAGCTCCATCTACCAATTGCTAATGACTGTGTGCCAGGCACGTGTTAAGTACTTTAAGCACATAACATGGTATCCATGTTGTCTATCGCCATACCCCCAGTATACTTATTAGGTATACAACCCCCACCCCATGCATGAATATTGGGGTGCTCAAGAAATTTGTTTTTGAGACAGAGTCTTGCTCTGTTGCCCAGGCTGGAGTGCAGTGGTGCGATCTCAGCTCACTGCAGCCTCTGCCTCCCGTGTTCAAGTGATTCTCCTGCCTCAGCCTCCCAAGTAGCTGGGATTACAGGCACCCACCACCACGCCTGGCTAATTTTTGTATTTTTAGTAGAGACGGAGTTTTGCCATGTTACCCAGACTGGTCTCAAACTCCTGACCTCAGGTGATCTGCCCACCTTGGCCTCCCAAAGTGCTGGGATTACAGGTGTGAGCCACCGTGCCTGGCCACAAAATATTTTTTGAATGAATGAAAGAACTGAAGAGTAGGAGAACCAAAAGGATGAGTAAGAATGAATATTATGAACAAATACATACGACTCAAAGGCTCCATCAGCACATGGAATCCATAATTCAGTCTACTCATCTTAGGAGTAACTGATTTGGTTCTTGAAAAGATAAACTAAATATGACCTAATGTGTTTTTACTAACTTCATCATCCTTATCTTTGGTGCACATAAAAGAAGCTAGATCTGAGCTTGTTTCATAAAAAGTGGTCGGTTGGCCACACCACAGATCTAAACCACATGTTACAGCAAGCTTTGTCTCTCCTGAATGTTTCATTTTCGTGGCAGCCTGAATGAAAAGTGGTTTATTTGACACGGTATTCATCAACAAATATTTATTGGACAATTATTTTATGCTGTAATTGTAAAATAAAACTTTAAAATAGTAAAATAAAGAGGTTGCAAATGTAGAAGAAACAGTAGGTTTAGAATAAACTATCATACATAAAATATTTAGTACAATTAGGACCAGGAAGTTTTTAAAGAAAAAGGAAGTCAGGCTTTCAAATCCTGCTGATTAGGGGGTAAATTTTATACAACCAAATTAGAAAATAATACTTGACCTCTGTCAAACATCAAGTGATCAATCAACTTGGCTTATCTTCGAGTTTCAAATTAGACCGTGCTGTGTTCCCTTTGATGACAACATCTTTGTGAAGCTGGTTTTCTCGTGGTTGCCAAGATAAAAAGCAGGATTGTGCAAAAATCAGTGTGGAGCAGGAAGAGGGGTGGCCATGCCCCAGGTAATTCCCACGTTTGAGAAGTTCTGCAGTTTTCAGCATGTACACACATCCCCGGAGTAACCGGGCTTATTTAAGAATAAAATAACACTTTTCATATTGCTACGAAGTTGCTAGGACATAAACACCTGCTTAGTCGTTTGGGTCTCACTAATGAGTAACCAGAACAACTAGGTGTTTCTTTTGCCCTAGCAGTTTTGTGGAAAAATTCGTGAGGCACGAAAGATACCATGAATCAACATCAGGGAACCCGGGCGTCTTGATTTCAGAAATGATAAAAATACTGGCCGGGCTCGGTGGCTCACGCCTGTAATCCCAGCACTTTGGGAGGTCAAGGCAGGTGAATCACCTGAGGTCAGGAGTTCGAGGCCGGCCTGTCCAGCATGGCGAAACCCCGAATCTACTAAAAATACAAAACTTAGCTGGGTGTGGTGGCGGACGCCTGTAATTCCAGTACTCAGGAGGCTGAGGCAGAAGAATCACTTGAACCCGGGAGGCGGAGGCTGCAGTGAGCTGAGATCGTGCCATTGCACTCCAGCCTGAGCGACAGAGCGAGATTCCATTAAAAGAAAAAAATGCTATCTTTAAATAAGAAAACACCATAACTATGATCACTCCTGATGTATCTATCACACTGGTCAGAATTTTTAGGAACTTTACATAACTTCGCCATTATGTCATCTTGCAGATGAGGAAACTGGGACGCGGAGAAGTTAAGAAGCACATCCCAGCTCCCAGAGCTGGGAGAACGCTAGAGCCTGAAATCAAGCCTGGGACCGTCCAACCCAAAGGTGTCACTCTCATTTTACCACAGTCCCTCTCTCTCCAGCAACCACTTGAGCACATTATAAACAACACTCAATAAATAGTGATTCTGAAAAAAAAAAAATCTGTGACCATCTGTAGTCGCTGAGTGGTGGCCCCTAAAAGCGTACATCTAAGTCCTAACCCCCAGCATCTGTGAATGTGGCTTTACTTAGGAAAGGGTCTTTGCAGATATGATGAAGTTAAGGAACTCGAGATGAGAAGATCATCCTGGATTACTCGGGTGAGCCCTCAATCCAACAACAGGTGTTTTCATAGAGACAGAAGATGGGGGAACACAGAGAAGATGAAAAAGCTTTGTGAAGACAGAGGCAGACACTGGAGAGATGCAGCCACAGACGAAGGAGGACTTGGAGTCACCGGAAGCTGGAAGGGACAGGGAAGGAATCTCCCCTACATCCAACACGTTGATTTCAGCCTTCGGGCTCCAGAACTGTGAGAGAATACACTTCAGGGGTTGTTAGCCACCCAGTGTGTGCTACTTTGCTATGGCAGCCGTAGGGAATAACATGCCACCCTTGGTTCCAAGTCACCAAATGATTAAGATTATTACAAATCACTTAAACATCCAAATTACCTGGTTAGCTACCGATAGCTTTTACAAGTCCAAAATCTGAAAACAGTCTTCTATTCCGTATGTAGCAAGGAGCTGACTCTTTGGATAGATTTTATTAATGGCCTGCATTTTTAAAATCATTCATTTAATAAAATATTTTTTATTTTACTTTACAAATTTTTTATTTTCATTAGCAGGCTATTAAAAGATGAGCATTCTTAATCAGAGCTGATGAAATGTAGCAACGGATGCTACAAGTGCAAGGCTGGAAAAAATTCGAAAATGCATTTCAAAACAATCATCCTGAAATTAGGCACAACGTTATCTCCAAGGTAATGGTGAGCTTTGAAAATCAAAGTTGGCACACAGGAGCAATGGCATTTGAAAGAGTGAACTTTGGGAATAAAATAGATTTTTTTTTTTTTTTTTTTTTTTTTGGAGACGGAGTCTCACTCTGTTGCCCGGGTTGGAGTGCAGTGGCACCATCTCCGCTCACTGCAGCCTCCGCCTCCTGGGTTCAAGCAATTCTCCTGCCTCCGCCTCCTGAGTAGCTGGGATTACAGGCGTGCACCACCACATCCAGCTAATTTGTGTATTTTTAGTAGAGACGGGGTTTCACCATGTTGGCCAGGCTGGTCTCAAACTCCTGACTTGAGGTGATCCGCCCACCTTGGCCTCCCAAAGTGCTGGGATTACAAGCGTGAGCCACCGTGCTCAGCCATCAATAAAGTTTTTTAAAGTGACAAATGAGCTTGCTTCTTGCATGTTAATTTACTAACACAAACTGGATGATGGCAATGCTATTCGCAGGGAATAATGTGTATCTAAAATGCTTTTATGTTTTGTTTTAATAACAGTTACAGTAGAGGAACCAGTCTCACAAAAGGTATGTTAAGGAGAATGGAAGAAGATTTTAAAGTAATTTCAGCAAGTTCAGAACTGTTTTGTTTTGTTTCTTGAGACAGGGTCTCATTCTGTCGCTCAGGATGGAGTGCAGTGGCGCAATCACAGCTCACTGCAGCCTCGACCTTCCAGGCTCAAGCGATCCTCCCACCACAGCCTCCCAAGGAGCTGGGACCTCAGGCACACACCCCCACATCTGGCTAATTTTCTGATTTTTTTGTAGAGAAGGGGTTTTGCCATGTTGCCCAGGCTGGTCTTGAACTCCTGGGCTCAAGCCATCCACCTACCTTGGACTCCAAAAGTACTAGGATTTACAGGCATGAGCACCCAGCCAGCTCAGGATTTTTTAACTTTTACTCAAAATAAAGCCAGAGATACTGTATTTTCAAAATTCATCTTTAATCAATTCCAAATTTTTTTTCAGTCAAGTTAGTTAATGGTACATCATCTATTGATGAAATCAATGGTTTCCATACTTCTGGATCATAGAAGCTAACCTTAAAACGCCACACGTTGTGAACAAGGTCCTGAGCGTGACTGTTCTGCAGGTCACACCACACCTGAATGAGCTCAATGAGACGAGTCCACTGATCATGAGCTTGGATGTTGGTGAAATATCAAACTGCTATTGGTGTTTCAATGCCTACTCTCAATTTCTAAATATATGTCCTTGTGGACCTGTCTGCCGACCCCACTCTGAGCAGCTCTAAAACGAACACTGACCTCCCTAAGCAAGTGCCAAGGTCTCATCCAATAAAGAAAAGGTCATATGGCTTCCTGAGCGTCGGAAATAAGGGAAGAAGACACGTCTTCTCTCCATTGGAAATTCTCTCCTTCAGGATGGATGAAGAATTGATTACAGCCTTTCAGGAAAGCTGTGTCTAAACAGGAAACTGACATTAACTAGGAGAATTCTGGATAATAAATTTTTTAAATGACAGGTTATCTCAGCTGAAGTATCACGTACATTAAAGAGCCTCAATGTGTTTTGAATTTTCCTTGCGTGTTACTAAGCTTTCTCTTAGGTAGGCCGTGACTCACAGGAAAGGAAAGGCACAATGAATGTACCTCACCAAAGAGTGCTTTAGCTGTACATCAAAGACATGCATACACTGCCCTGAGTGCATAAAAATATATGCATGTGTGAATTCAAGATACTGTCATAATTATTTCCCTCCTTATTTACAATGCCCATTTCAAAGTTTATTAAAGTGAGTAAGATAATGTCTTTATAATGAAAACTTATGATGTGCAAAAGTATCCATGCTCTGCCCACCAAATTATATCTCCAAATATTTTAAGAACTGTTTATTCCTACAAATCCCTTGTTTCATTAATCAGAATGAAAGTGAGGTGACATATCATTTGCAAGACACAGAAGTGGTTACAACAGATAGTACTGATGAAGTTTTGAAATAAGACAAACTGTGACTCAGCACACAATTGTTCATGGTATACCTCTGAGAACACAGGCAGGCTGGCAGTCCTAAATATTCAACAATTCCATGCACCTATACCTCTCCTTTAAATAAGCTTCTTTGTGATTAAGTTCTTAGTTTTTAAAAAATTATTAGTTTCTTAAAATCTAGGTTTTTCATTTATTCTCTTCAGACACAGTTCTGCCTACAGAATACTCATGTATAATCACAATTCAGTGCTTTGGTCAATATATTCCAATTTTGAGCAACTTTGGTATAGAGAAAAAAAAAGATACTATCAGGCCTTACAATAAAGTAAAAGATACTGACGCCAATAAACTCATGATCCACTGCGGAAAAAAAAAAAAGAGAGAAAATATGCAAAAACCTTACAGGAGAAATAAAAATTGATATCCATCAATCACAGCCTTACAAACAAAGAAAAGCGGTGCTGAAGCAATTACGCTGAGTAGAGTCAGGTGGGCTAGGCTAGGCTACACGAGGCTATAGCTTCCCCAGCACAGATGAGAGCGAAGGTTTCACACAGACTGCAAAAAAAACTCCAGATGGAAACAACAGCGTTTGCCAAGGCTTGGAGGAAGACTGCAGAAGTACTTAAATTTAAATTCTATTAGTAGTTAGTTACTCTCAGGAAGTTGGATTAGGGGTGGTGAAGATTTCATGTTGAAATTTATTTATATGTCCCTTGTTTGAAGTTCCTACAGGAAAGCATTTCTTTTGTCATTTAAAGAAGTAACGCTTTTTCTCCCACGAATGTCGTGAAATACAAAATCTAAATCTGAAATGCACAGGGTTCATTTCAACAAAAAAATTTAGGATGCTTCAGGGTATATAAAGTACTGTATATCAGGTTTTCCACCTTAAAACTTAGGAACTAAACATTTCACTTTGTTATCACTCTTACATCCCTCCTCTTGAAATGCAAACACCATCACTAGAAATCTCTGCATGAGAAGAGGGGAGCAGAGAAAACTAGCAGTTTCTGAGTACTCCTTAGTCCCAGGCACAATGTCAGTTACTTTAATGCACTACTGTCCCATTAATATTAATTCTCATAACAACCCTATAAATTAGGAATAAGTACTTGTTTCTACAGGTGAAGAAAGACTCAGTTTAAAAGGATTGTTCCAAGATCATACAGCTACATGGGAGCTACATTTGATACAGGGCTAGAATTCAAAGTTCAGTTCAATTTCCCCACACTACCAAACTGCTGGGCCCCTGGGCCCTGCCTCTGATCTTCAGCCCTGGCCTTCTGTCCCTCTCACTTCAGTTTCCCTTTGACTCTTTCTGGAATAAGCAGATAGACTTATTCACCCTTATAATTCTCTAGAGCGTTAGCCCCAAAATGCTGCATTCCAGGCCTAAGGGAAAGACAAACCTAAATACGATCTTCCAGTTGTTTTTTTTCATCTTCCCCTTTTTCTGGTCAACAGGGTGATACCCTCTGGGGAGCTTTTAGGTATGTTTGAGGCAGTTTTGCTTGAGAGAGTGCCTCTGGTACTTAGCAGATGAGGTTCCAGGGCACGCATGGGGTGGCGCCCCAGAATGCACGCTCCTGAGCGGGCTTCCCACTGTCCTGCGGGACATCCATGCTGGGGAGTATCTGTGTGTAATTATCTGCACTTAGAACAGAACTCCATTTTACATAAAAACACCAAACTGTTTCCCCGGCTTTAATAAAAGCTGAGTTTTCCAGGATTACAACTGGAGATGGAACAAACTGAACTTTGCTTTGTTTGAAATATTGCACTGAGTTGATTCTTGTTTCAGAAAATTGTGTCGCCAATGGCAATGGCGATGACTGTGCCTGAGGCACCCATGCAACCTGAGGAGTCAGCCTGCTTGTGCGTTCATAGCGATACCCCCAAGAGGCGAAGCAGCTGGCAGCTTCCTGCATTTTCTGGTGAAGACCTATCTAAGCAGGTACATATGAAAATACACCTAATTTTACTATAAGCTACATTCTTCTTATTTCTCATTTATTTTACAATTAAGATGCATATTGATTCTTTGAAATTATGTGTGTAGATAAATTATATTTCAGGATAAGAAAAGAAGCATTACCAAAGTATTTGTTGTTGTTGTTTGAAAAAAAAAGGAGGCTCGTTGAGGCTGACAAGGCCAAGAACTGCTGCTCTAAATCAAGGAATTGTTGAGTGAAAGATTCTGGATATTTGTTTTAATTAATTCTGTCATTAATTGCTGTACAACTGGATAAGTCAGTAAAGGAGACAAGAATAAAAGACAGGCTATATAGAAATAAAGGTAAAAGAAAGTTAGGCTATCTAAAGTTTCTAAAGGCCTTTATATACTTAGATCCAATTGCTTGAATAATTCTCCATTTCCTGATTTAAGACAAAGGGGTTGGGCCAAGGCATTCAGGATAGAGAGACAGAAATTTTTCAATTAAATACAACATTTACCTCTTTATTTTATTTTATTTTATTTTTTATTTTTTTGAGAGGGAGTCTCACTCTGTTACCCAAGCAGGAGTGCAGTGGCACGACCTCAGCTCACTACAACCTCCGCCTCCTGGGTTCAAGCGATACTCCTAACTCAGCCTCCCAGGTAGCTGGGATTACAGGCACCTGCCACCATGCCCGGCTAATTTTTGTATTTTAAGTACAGACGGAGTTTTGCATGTTGGCCAGGCTAATCTCAAACTCCTGACCTCAGGTGATCCACCCGTCTCGGCCTCCCAAAGTGCTAGGATCACAGGCATGAGCCACCACACCTGGCCAATATTTACATCTTTAAATAGATAGAATCAAGTCTGAATTTCTTAATTCTTCCAGCACATCTTAATTCTTAAAACACCCCACCTTCTGCTTACTTTCCTATTTTTATTCTCTCTGTCCATTTTTCCACTATTTAATTTTTTTCATCACATGATAGCTATGTGTCTCCCTAACACATCTTAAATACTTTTGCAGGGAGGCAGGATGAAGCTGAGTATAAATAATAAATGCTCTTTAAAACAGGAGATACTACAATTCTAATTACCTCATAAATGTAATTGTTAGCAATACTCAAGTTGGGCATAATTTACAATGTCTTAATACTTCTGAGTTTCAGCCAGGTGCAGTGGCTCACACCTGTAATCCTAGCACTTTGGGAGGATGAGGCGGGTGGATCACCTGAGGTCAGGAGTTCGAGGCCAGCCCGGCCAACATGGCGAAACCCCGTCTCTACTAAAAATACAAAAGTTAGCCTGGCATGGTGGCGGGCGCCTGTAATCCCAGCTACTCAGGAGGCTGAGGCTGGAGAATCCCTTGAACCCAGGAGGTGGAGGTTGCAGTGAGCCGAGATCATGCCATTGCACTCTAGCCAGGGCGACAAGAGTGAAACTGTCTCAACAACAACAACAACAACAACAACAACTTCTGGGGTTTACTGTATAGCTTTTTATGCAAATGCTTTAATTTCAATAAGAACTAGACAGGCTTAGGAAAAGCCATTCCCAATTACGTCTTTGGCTAAATCTGCAGTATTAAAGTAAATCGGTATCACTTAAAATATACTGGGGAAAGGCACGGTATTTGTGTCTGTCCACAAACTCCAATAAATGTTGTACGTGAGCCAGATAATCTGCTTCGGAAATTATCCAGGAGCTTAAAGAGAAATTTTTCTATTGATGCACATTAAAAATGTAAACACTGGCTAATACGAACATTAACTAATAAACCATTCAGAAAGCAATGTCATATTTATATATTTTTCATGGTCATTTAGCATGTGAATCTGCCTCTCGACAACTCCGTATGGATTCTAAGGAAAAATGGAAAAATAGAGGCAAGCTCTGCAGAATAAGTGCCTTATAAATACTAGTTATTTTTGAAGTCGTATTCTGCAAGAGGCTATAAATATTGTTCAGATGAGGAGGAGCTGTCATGTAGGACATTTCTTTAGTTCTAAAGCTGCAGAAACACCCACATCTTCCACAGTTCTGACAGGGAGTTGGGAGACAACGTTGTTGTAGGAAGTCGGGTTCCCCATTTCCTAGCCAAACTTCAGCTGCTTCAACAGAGCAGCCATGCTACTTTTCACAAGGCTCAGAACAGTTCATATTCAAGGCTGACATGAGCCCTTAAGTGAGTCACAGCAAGTCTAGGTGCTCAAGATCTTCACAGGGATTAAAAGCCCTAAATAACAACATTGGTATGGGCAGGCTGATGTTGAGGTTAACACAGAAAGGAAAAAAATGCCTGCCAAACATTTCTACTGTATAATATATTGTATCAATACACCATTAATGTGTATACTGATACATACATATACTGTATGTATACATACATATACTGTATGTATACATACATATACTGTATGTATACATACATATACTGTATGTATACATACATATACTGTATGTATACATACATATACTGTATGTATACATACATATACTGTATGTATACATACATATACTGTATGTATACATACATATACTGTATGTATACACTGACACAATTAATATATTGTATCAATATATTGCATCAATACCTGAAACTCAACATATCTAAAATGGAACTCATCAACGTCCCCAACCCCATAGCTGCTCCTCCTCATGCATTTCCATCCAAGCAAATGGCACCTCTCCCTTTCTCAGAAACTGGGTATCACCTTGACTCCTCCTTCCTACTCATCGGCTACATCCTCACAGTCACTGACACCTGTCAGTCAGCTGAGTCTCCAAAGCACTTCTCAGCTCTGCCCACCACTCAGCCTCTCCACCATCATCACCTGCTCCACGCTGTCTCCTTCCCAGGCCTGGATCCCTGAAACAGCCCTTCCCTGGTCTCCATGCCTCCCTTCTTGCCCGCTCCAATCCTTCTCTGCCTTCCACAATGCAAATTTTTATTATATTGCTCTCTAGATTAAACACTCTCTACAGTTTCTCATTTACTGCTTCTTAAGAGCATGCAAATTCCTTACCCTCATGCATAGGGTAACCATACGTTCCCATTTGCCTGGGATGGTTGCAGCTTATGCCTGCTCTTCTCGTGCAATTATTAATAGTGCCCTCTTTCACTGGCCCCAGCATGCCAGTTTATAAGGTCATCCAACCTACAAGGCACTTCCTGACTCACCTTACCCTACAGACTCACATTCACCTTGCGCCACACTACCTTTACGGTATAGTGAACTCCTTTCAGTCCCTTTCTTTCACAATAGTCTGCATAATCTAAGTAAACAGGAGACTTGTGTCTTTCACTGTTCCTAGACACTTCGCAACTAATATATTGCTTGCATATAGACACTAGATATCTCTGAATAAATCAACAGAAGATAATACCAGGAATATGGTAGCTCCACAGTTTTTTTGGTGGGGGGAGGCTGGGGGAAGAAGTCTTACTCTGTCGCCCAGGCTGGAGTACGGTGGCACAATCTTGGCTCACTGCAACCTCCACATTCTGGGTTCAAGCGATTCTCCCGCCTCAGCCACCCAAGTAGCTGAGACTACAGGCGCATGCCACCATACCCAGCTAATTTTTGTATTTTTAGTAAAGACGGGGTTTCACCATGTTGGCCATCCTGGTCTTGAACTCCTGACCTCAGGTGATCTGCCTGCCTCGGCCTCCCAAAGTGCTGGGATTACAGGTGTGAGCCACCGTGCCCAACCAGTAGCTCCATAATTAATATATTATAGTAGATGATAAATGAAGATCTTTTGAGAAATTACAAGGAAAAATTACTCAACAAGCTAGGCTTTGGGTTCAACACAATCATCTTAACAAGAACAAACATGACAGTTTCTAGATGAATATTTTTAAGACTTATTTTGATACTAACAAAGACACTTTCATTGTCCCCCAATAGAAATTTCTATTTTAACCAGTATGGCTTATGCTCAGCCTCTTTGATTTGAAGATATCTGTAGAAACCACATAAGATTCTAGGAATATCATGCAAGAAAAAAAGAAAATTTGTAGATCTAGGTCAGTATTTCAACTGATATTGAAGTTATTCAGAAATACTGAGTTACAGCATCCAAAAAATATGAGCTCTTCCTCCAAAACAGAGGGAAAGAAATATAGCTTCATATTATTCTATTAAGCTTTAGAACAGAATATTGAAGACTAACTTCCTTCTTGAAACAAAAGTTATGGCCAGAGCAATGGCTCACGCCTGTAATCTCAGCACTTTGGGAGGCTGAGGCAGGAGGATGGCTTGAACAAAAGAGTTGGAGACTAGCCTGGGCAATATAATGAGACTCCGTCTCTAGGAAAAATACAAAAAAAAAACAAAAAACAAAAAAAAAAGGGGCATGGTGGCACACACCTGTAGTCCCAGCTACTTGGGAGGCTGAGGCAGGAGGATCACTTGAGCCCAGGAGTGAGGCATGATCGTGCCACTGCACTCCAGACTGGGTGACAGAGTAAGACCCTGTCTCAAACAATAAAAAATAATAACAAAATAAAAATAAAAAACTTAGCTGGGCTTGGTGGCGCACGTCTGTAGTCCCAGCTACTCTGGAGGCTGAGCTGGGAGGATCACTTGAGCTCAAGAGTTTGTGGCTGCAGTGAGCTATGACTGTACCAGTGCACTCCAGCCTGGATGACAGGGTAAGACCCTGTCTTAAAAAAAAAAAAAAAAAGTTGGCCTGGTGCAGTGGCTCACGCCTGTAATCCCAGCACTTTGGGAGGCCGAGGCGGGTGGATCACGAGGTCAGGAGATCGAGACCCATCCTGGCTAATACGGTGAAACTCCATCTCTACTAAAAATACAAAAAATTAGCCAGGCGTGGTGAGGGGCGCCCATAGTCCCAGCTACTCGGGAGGCTGAGGCAGGAGAATGGCGTGAACCCGGGAGGCGGAGCTTGCAGTGAGCCGAGATCGTGCCACTGCACTCCAGCCTGGGCGACAGAGTGAGACTCCGTCTCAAAGAAGAAGAAGAAAAAAGTTATATAGCTAGGATAATTGGTTGTAATATTTTCTTGCTATACAAAATTATTCACAGAGCAGTGAACATAACATCAACAAAACAGCTGTTGTACCTCAGAAATACGTTTAACCGGGAGCTTGTCGATGCTGTGGCCCTTCAGCATACAATACTGCTAAATGGTCCTTTTTTTGGTTTTATGTGGAATGGCAGCGCGAAGTGAGAGTTATGAATCCCCTGCAAGAGCCTCTTTGTTCATTTGGTTTTAATGTTTACAAAAGGCTCAGAAGAACCCAGTGTGATCCATGGCCAGAGATTCAATCACTTTCTCAGTCTCACTTAAGGTGTTTGAAATATACCCAATAATCAATCGGTTATTGTTATAAATTATGTCCCCAAACTCCACTCAGGTATGGCAATGACCCAACATACTACACGTAATGTCATATAAAGAGAAAATGTGTACTACTTCCAAACCTCCAGACCTAGGCCGTTCTTTTCCCTGAATTCCTAACGCGTTTATCTAAATCTTTACTGGATTATTCAAAGGAAGGCCAATACCACCACAAAATCAAAAACAGCATAAAATATCTGATTTAATGATAGCTGTGTACTTGATATTTGGGGCACAGCTCTGAACTCTTTTGGTCTCATCCTGTATGCTGTAGAAAAGAAACCAGCCATGAGCAATGGGAGGCCCCAAGACTTCAGCAAATCTCCATGTTTTTGATCATGACTAGATCTCATGTAATTTTCCCAATAACTAAAAATTTTAAGTTACTGCCTTGTATCTTTAAAGATTATTTGTATTAAAATTAAGACGGCAAGTGAAACATACTCATCTGAGGAATTCTCGAGACGGTTACAGGAGTTACGCTTTCGGGGCTTGTGTTACAAGTATTTCACACTTTATCCAAAGCTTCTTTTCCTTTGAGTAAGAGCTATGACTTTCTCAGACATCGTCATTTTCTCTTATTTCTTATCACCAGCAGCTGTGGTGGGTTGGTGTTCTTTTCAGGACTATTTCCAAAAAGAAACCAAGTTTTTTTGTTGTTTTTTTTTTGTTTGTTTTTTCCTGAGATGGAGTCTCGCTCTGTCGCCAGGCTGGAGAGTGCAGTGGTGTGATCTCGGCTCACTGCAACCTCTGCCTCCTGAGACACTAAGTTGTTAATCCCCTCCTGTCTCAGAACTTTGAGAACAGGCCCGTGGAGATACACCGGGTTGGCAAGAGTGCCAGGCTCGGCCGGCTCACTGGGTTACTGATTCAGGTCCACGCTCACAGGACATGGGATTAAAATTTTTGTGCCTCAGCAAAATTGCAAGTTTGTCCTAGACCTCCATCCTGATCACCCGTTAATAATTGAAATCTCTGATAAATCCTTGAACACCAAGGCTCTCCTCTGTTATTCTCTTCACTGTATTCTCCAGCTGAAAGATACGTTTCTCAAGAATCTTGAAGGGGGCAAAATCCAAGCTCCTGCAGACATTGAAGTAGGCTTTTGTGTTTGTGTGGTTTTTTTGCTGTTTCATTTTGTTTTAAATCCAACAGTTTATTATCTTCTGCACAGAAAGGAGACCATGGGGGCTATAAGCATTTCGTGGGCAGCTCTGGGGAGGTGCAGAGATGAACAGAAGGGTACACCAGATACAAAATGCCCCCCCCCGAGGGCTCCCCATCCTCACCCACGTGAAAGACACAAATGAACTTAAAACAGATGACCTAAACTGAACACCAATCTGTTGGGAAAAAAAGCTGCCACAAAGCCCATAAGCAAACAATGCAAAATGGAACCACTGAAATAATACACCAGGGATCCTTAGCACCTCTGTTCATCTGGAAAGATTCTGCAGTTGTATCCTCTCTGTTGAGTAGCCTGACCATCATGCTGGTCCTATCACAGCCTCTGCAAGACCATCCGACCACAGCAAGGAGGGGCGCAGAGCCAGGTTTGTTTCCCGGCCACTTGGTGGGATGCCTGGGTGCCCTGCTGAGGGGTGTGCTCACTTACCTGCAAGTGGAGAAACAGGGTAAGTCTGTTCTCCTCCTAAGCAAGAAGAGAGAGCAGACTGACAATGGCTCCTCATAGATGTAAAGCCCTGGGTAAGTCCCAGAAAGGGCAAAAGAAGGCAATTGTTAGAATGCCACACCAGCACTCACACACCCTCCTACCTCCTATCAAAAACATCAGTTGGCAACCTCCTGACCATTAAGTCCTAATGGGTCCTTCCAGCTCAGTAATATGTGCACTGAAAAAGTACCACGTCTAGCCTGCAAAGCCAATCTATTTTAAACACACTATTTAAAACAGCTCCTATAGGTCAGGGGAGATTGTAATTACCGGCAATTAAGTCTTTCCCACCTCAAAAAAAAAAAGACCCCAAAAGTTCTCAGAAATAAATGACCCTTTTTTAGAGGCCCAAAGATGCTTCTTGCTAAACTGACACTATAAGCTTATTAATAACAATAACTGTTCACTGTTATGGAGCACATAACATTAAATCAAAGATTGCTGTCCTCAAGGTTTTACATTGATGAAGGCATTTGATCCTCAAACAATCCCATGAAGCAGGTGCTGCTATTGTCCCATTTTACACATGAGACACAGAGGCCAGGCATGGGGGCCAGGCTACACAGCTGGTTCCGTGCAGAGCCTGTGCCCAAACTCAGCCAGCCTGCTCCCACATCCGGGCCTCAAGCCACTATTTGGCGTTGGCTCTGCTTTCAGAAAACCAACTGAAAAGTCTACATGTGTGCAAAGAATCAATAACTGGCTAGAAAAGCAATCAGAGTCAATGAGGAAATAATACTCATCATGATGTGTTGTTTTGATCCTCCCGAACGCTGCCACTTCTGCACCAATAGCATTTTTTCCTTTCTGTTAAGAGTAGGTTAATACTTTACTTTTGCCCAGTTTCCATCTCCTAAACTTTTTACAGATCTGGTTAAAAAACACTATTTGTGGTCGGGCCCGGTGGCTCACGCCTGTAATCTCAGCACTTTGGGAGGCCGAGGCGGGCAGATCACCTGAGGTCAGGAGTTCGAGACCAGCCTGGCCAACATGGCGAAACCCCGTCTCTACTAAAAATACAAAAATTAGCCAGGCATGGTGGCGCGTGCCAAGTCCCAGCTACTTGGGAGGCTGAGCCAGGAGAACTGCTTGAACCCGGGAGGTGGAGGTTTCAGTGAGCCAATATTGTGCCACTACACTCCAGCCTGGGTGACAGAACAAGACTCTGTCTCAAAAAGAAAAAAAAAAAACCCACTTTTGCTTTACTCTAATTATACATTGGAAGATGAAGTACTAAAGGTTCGTCCTAAGAAAAGTTAGCAGATCCAGATTTGAATCCTAGCTCTGCCATTAATTAGCTAGTAATGTTCAACCACAAATTCTTTATCAGTAAACTGATATAATTATAATACCAACCTCAGAGAATTGGGTGTTGTATTAAATGAAAGAATATCACTGGCTCCTATGAGGGCCTCAATAAGTGGAAAACATTATTATCAGGAATTCTAAAATATTCTTTGGGGAAAATGACGTGTTTCTTACTTATTTCTTCTTGGATATTTACTTATTTATCATTTTGAGTGTTTATCTTGAATGCTTTATATTTTTTATGTTTATTATTCCCTTATCTTATTTTCTTAATTTTTAAAATCTGCACTTTTTAATGTATCTTGACTGTTTTATTTCTTTATCTTGAATATTTATTTGTGTATTTTTCCTCTGAATTTTAAAAACACATCTGTTCTCATATAGGTGATGGAAATACAGATTTCTTTTTTAAAACGAAAAAGACTCGTGTCATTAAGGATGCAGAATTACTTGGTTCTCCCATGTAATAAAATTTCATGTTAATTCGAAACCTACCAATTTGGAGTTTGGCGATGATGGGATAGGGCCAGGTTAAAGGTTACCTTTCCTTTGGCTAGGACAAATAACTGCCATAAATAAAAGTTCAGGGCACCATATCAATGATTCAAGAAGAAAAAAAAAACCCTGTTTTCAAATACTAAAAGGAGCAATCTCTTAGTAGAACCATTGATATGCTAATTATAAATAATTTATCCATTCATTAGATAGCTTAAGGACATGAAAGTAATAAGACTGCATTCCATTAAACATTCTATAAAATTTAAATCTTTTACTTATTTAGACAGGTCTTCCTCCCAATTATCCCAAATTAGTGCAATTCTAGTCCTAGTTATATGTATTACATTGTCTAGTGGAACATTATATACACAGAAAGTCATATCTGACAAAAGCTTAATTAGGTGATCAATTTTTCTTGACTAGAGCTTAAGAAGAGCTCAAGTGTCCTTCAGAAATAATTCTTCATGATAATAGACTCCAACTGGAATTATTCTTCAAGCAACTTTGCAAGTGTGCCGGGGGAGGGGCCGGGGAAGGGGGATCATGCCTGTAATCCCAGCACTTTGGGAGGCCAAGGTGGGAGTATCTCTTGAGCCCAGGAGTTCAAGACCAGCCTGGGCAACATAGCAAGACCCCAACTCTACCGAAAAAAAAGTGAGTTTGAAATGACAGTTTGTGATCAAGATTCAAATTTTCACCCGTTGTACCTCTTTCAATTTGGATTCCTTTTCTGAGTATTTAGACTACCATCATTAGAGAACCATTCAGAAGATTAAGGAGTATCACATACCAAACCTGTGCTTTCACCTTCTCATATACCAAACCTCTGTTTCACTAGGAACAAACCCCCAAAGGAGACATCCCATCAGCCCTGGCTTCATTCGAAGATTAAAACACGGGGAGAAAAAGAAACCTCAACTTCCTCATTACTCTAGATCCTTCTACTTGGCAAAGTGTTAAAACCTAGAAAAATCCAAATGTTTGGTACTCCCACTTTTGCACTCAGATTATAGACCGCTACATGTAAAAATCACTCATCATACAAATTAAGGCCACCACAAATTCACGGTATCCGGCCTCAGCAGGCCTCCCTAAGACTCTCTAAGGGAGGTCTACGCATGTACCTTCTGACGCCAGCACAGCTATCTTGACTCTGGTATCTTGCCCATGACCTCTTCCAACTCTTGCAGCCAACTTCCTGCTTCAAGGTAGAGACAGGCACCGCCAGGCATGGAATTCCTCAACATTCTGGCCCTGTCACCCTTGCGAGCCTATCTCTATCCACTGCCGGCCTATCAGTTTCTTCCTCTAGGCCCTACAATCCATTTTCCACCCTGAGCCAGGGCGATCTCCCTCTCATGCAAATCCCAACATGTCACTCCCCTACCTCAAGTCTGTCTGGGACTCATTAAGCTCAGAATAACCCGACAGCTCCTCAGCTCGAAACATAAGGTCCTCCTGGGTCCCAGCCCCTCCTCTCTCTTGCCTTGTCTCTCTCATCTGCTGGCCTCCAGAGAGAGGGCACTGCCTGGGGGACTCCTCCTGTCTCCAGCCTCTCTTGTCCTTTCCTGCTGGGCTGCCTGCCCCTCCAAGGGCAGACACGGGGCTCCTGTGCCTCCTCAGAAGTCCTTTCCCATGTCCTAGTCTCTGTGGGGGTCCAGCCCCCCTTACTCAGCCCCCATCATCACCCTCATCCCACTGTCCCGCAGTGGTTTCCTGTATATCTCCAGCCAACTGTGGGGGCCTTCAAGGCAAGAATGGATCCTGACTCTTTAATAAGACAAGCATACGTGTCAAGGCCCTGACACGAACAGGCAACGCTGGTTTGCTGAAGGTGTGAGGAAGCAGTGAGGATTTGAAGGAAGGAGCTGAGAGGCTGCTGTCCTGGACAGGCAATTCCAAATCAGTGGCTACCAAACCTAACTGTACATCAGAATCACCTCGAGAGCTTTGAAAATATAAAGTTCTGGACCCCATCCCAAGCTACAAATACTTTGGAATGAGGCTAACATGTGTATCTGCTTAAGTTCCCCAGATGATTCTGCAGAAGGAACCAACTCAATGCTGGTCCACAGATGGTGTCTAGGAACCACAGTCTACAGAGTGTTCCTACCTTCCGGAGGGTATATCTAGAACACAAGGACAGAGTCAACTCAATGCTGACCCTGCCGAATGCAGCCTGACAACTCCATGCCACACCCCTCACAGCCCCAGGTAAGGACTCATCTGACACCTCACTTTCTGCAGCTCACCCCTAAAGATATTCTAAGCTCTTCACTACATTTTAAGCAACTTGGGAAGGGCCCATATGGTTACATCCCACAGCACTACCTCATAGCACACACTGCAAACAGGGATAAAACTTAAAGAATCACAAGTGTACTTTGCCTGTGTTTAAATATTTCCCTCGCTTGGAAAAAAATAAGAAAACAGTATTCAAATACAAGCACAAGAAACCAGGAGCACGTTTGTTGGTCTGCTCTGCCTCTGCCTTCCGTGTTGGTTATTAATCAAGTGACAGCGGCCTTCTAAGAAAGACTCCAGCTGATCATGTTTCTCTGTGCAGCAGACAACACAGAGATCACTCCAGTTTTCTTCTAACTTCTCAGAGAAGACAGATCATCCACAGCATGGAGCTATGAGTGTACTTCATAACATACATGACTAAGAACACACATCCATTAGGATGGCTACTATCAAGGAAAAAAACAGAAAATAACAAGTGTTGTCAGGGATGTGGAGAAATTAGAACCCTTGTACACCGTTGGTGGGTATGCAAAATGGTGCAACCACTGTGAAAAACGGTTTGGTGGTTCCTCAAAATAAGTTAAACAGAATTACCATGTGAGCCAGCAATGCTACTTCTGGGTATGTACATAAAGGAACTGAAGCAGGGACTTGCCAGTTCTTTGTACACCTGTGTGCACAGCAGCATTCTTCACAAGAGCAAAATAGTGGGAACTCAAATGTCCATCAACAGGTGAATGAATAAACAAAACATGGTACACGTGGGCAATGGAATACGATTCTGCCTTAACAAGGAAGAAGATTCCAACACACGCTACAACATGGATGAAACTTGATGATATGCTAAGTGAAATAAACCAGTCACAAAAGGACAGATATTTTATGATTCTACTTAGATGAGGTGGGGTAATCAATTTCACAGAGACAGACAGTAGAATGATGGTTGCAGGGGATGAGGGTAGGGAGGACCGAGAGTTAGTGTGTAATAGGTGCAGAGTTTCAGTTCTGCAAGATGAAAACAGTTCCCAGGATACACCCTGATGTTGGCCTCATGACAATGTGAATGTACTTAATACCACTGAACTGTACCCTTAAAAAGTTAAGATGGTAACTTTTGTGCCAGGCACGGTGGCTCACATCTGTAATCCCAGCACTTTGGGAGGCCGAGGTGGGTGGATCACAAGGTCAGGAGTTCAAGACCAGCCTGGCCAAGATGGTGAAACCCCGTCTCTACTAAAAATACAAAAATTAGCCGGGCGTGGTGGGGGGCGCCTGTAATCCCAGCTACTCGGGAGGCTGAGGCAGAGAATTGCTTGAACCCGGGAGGTGGAGGTTGCAGTGAGCCAAGATCACGCCACTGCACTCTAGCCTGGGCGACAGAGCGAGACTCCATCTCAAAAAAAAAAAAAAGTTAAGATGGTAACTTTTGCATTATGTGTTTTTTTTTTACCACAATTTGAAAAAGTAAGTTTAAAAAAATGCATGACTAAGCATGAATCTAAACAGTTAAAATAATATTTGCACCTGAGGAACAAACTATTCATCTTCTCAAAGCACCAGGGAACAGCGAATTTGAGGAAAGTCATCTAGCTCAGATGAATGCAATTTCTATACATTTAATGTGCTGTAAATCGTTAAAACCCTTTGCTCTAAAGAGGTAGTTTACTAATCAAATCTCTCCCAGAATATCATTAGAAAGAGGAAGACAATAAGAAGTTAAGTAGACATGCAAATAATTAAGAAATTCTCATCTTAGGAAACTGAATACAAGTGTTTGACCTTTTTCATTTTACGAGTTTATCGTTTGGTGTATTGATTCTAAAGTTAAAAATACAGAGAAACTATAAATCATATTTTTAGTTAAAAGCTGACAACTTTGTGTTATATTTCTTTAGTATAGTATACAGAGAATTTAAGTGTTAGCTAGTTAGCTAGCCATGAAACGGGAGTAAGAGTTAATAAAAGATATCATTTTTAACTATTATATATTGTTTAAAAGCAATTTTGGTCTTTTAGAAATATATACCGTATTTCATAAAGCTTTGTGACTGTTCTTAAATGTTCTAAAGAGCTGGGGTTTCCTTTATTTGTATTATATTAAATCTTATACATTCCAAGGATTATGTAGGTGCTAGATTTTGCAAGTCCTCCTACTAACAGAACTGAATGAAGCTTATGTTTTCCTATTACCCACATTCACTGGGTTGCCATGGGTTACTGAACCCATCCTCCTGGACCACTGAAATGCTGGAGGAAATTGTAACGGATTTTCTCAGACTGACCCTCCTACAGGGAGTCACAGGACACTTTTTTTTTGTTTTCCCCCAAAAGGAAGATTTGTAATATACATCTAATGTACTCTAAACCAGTTCACTGATCCTTATCAAAGATACAGTTGGTTTACCCAATTTTTAACCATCTATAGTTTTTAATCATATTCAACAAAATTCCTAGTTTATTAATTTCTTTCTTGATTACCTTGAACTTGATTTTATCTTACACCATGCAAACCCATAGAACTTCTTCTTTGCCCCCAGTTCTGTCATTTTGAATTACTGTGCCAGGTACTGTCAAATTGTTCAATTATTTGGATCCTAGCCTACTGCTATCCTCATAGATCCTAGCCTCCTGCTATCCTCAGAATAATGTTCGGTCTAACTCTTACAACAACAGATGGCAGAAATTAGACTGTGCTAAACCGAATGCTTCTTCAGCAATTTTTCATAACTAAAAAAGTCAAGAAAAATACAAGAGAAAATGAGTAAGCAAAAGAAGATGATTTGCAAATGAACGAAATTATGTTTATGTTTGAGACTTCTTTTCATTTGATGTTTCAAATTTTGTTGTCAGGTACCTTTGCACTAAATGCGTTAAGACCTAGGAGTTGTTTGGTCCCAGCTATCTCATCTTCTCCAGGAATCAGGGATGTTCACTACATGATTGGCAGCTCATGATAACACTAAGCCAATTAAGACGACTAAGGAGCTCACAACGGCATTACAATGGCATTTGAAACCCACTCTAAGGTGCTAAAAAGAGGAAGAGGAAGAAATAGCAGCAGGGAAACACTCAGCAAATCCCCCAGCCTGCCCCTTACCAGATCTTAGGAGGCTTTATTGTTCTTTGGGTAAGGCAAGATAATTCTCAGAAGAACCTCAGCTGGCTAAGAAGAGATTATTTTTAAATAACATACCCAAATATTTAGGGTTAGACTTGTTAGAATATGCAAGGAGCCCTAAAATCTGCTCTCTCATTACAGCACAGGCTTCTACAGTGGGGTCCACTTAGAGGAAGTGCAAGATGAACCACTGGGGGAATGAAACAGTATTCAATACTTTACTTAAAAATAAGAAGGCTGGGTCTGGTGACTCACACCTGTAATCCCAGCACTTCGGGAGGCCAAGGCGGGCAGATCACTTGAGGTCAGGAGTTCAAGATCAGCCTGGCCAATATGGTGAAATCATCTCTACTAAAAATACAAAAATTAGCTGGCCGTGGTGGCAGGCCATCCCAGCTACTCAGGAGGCGGAGGCAGGAGAATTGCTTGAACCCAGGAGGCGGAGGTTGCAGTGAGCCGAGATGGTGCCACTGTGCTCCAGCCTGGGTGACAGAGCAAGACCCTGTCTCAAAATAAAAATAAAAATAAATAAAAATAAGAAGTTATTTTACTAACACTGAACATGATTAAAAGTATACCGATGAGTATGTGAAATCTCAGTTTTCTGAAATTTTTTTACATTTGTGTTGCTAAAATATTAATCAGTGGCACCCTTGCAGGATTGCTGTGAGGACTAAACAAGGTGACACTTACACAGGTACCAACACACCAAGTACATGCTCAATAAACAACGGTTTCCACCCAGGTCCAGTGGCTCATGTCCATAATCCCAGCACACTGGGAGGCCAAGGCAGGAGGACTCCTTGACCCCAGGAGTTTGAAACCAGCCTGGGTAACACGGCAAGACCCAGTCTACAAAAAAATTTAAAAATAGCCAGGTATGGTGGTACACAACTCTAATCCCAGCTACTTGGGAGGCCGAGGGGGGAGGATTGCTTGATCCCAGGAGGTAGAGGTTGCAGTGAGCTACGATAGTACCACTGCACTCCAGCCTGGGTGACAAAGTGAGACCATCTTAAAAAACAATCCCAATAACAACAATGGTTTCCTTCCTTAGGTGAAAGGGAGCTGAGGGTAAAGAGGCCCCTTTTCCATACTGACATTTCAGGAGCACACCAGCACTCCACTATCACGTAGGAAGCATGCTCTCAGACTGTGCTTACATCCCAGGCCTGAGCCACTGCCGAGCTTAACAGACACCTCCCGGCGGGGCCTGACTCCACGACTGCGGAACCATAAACCCCACCTCTAGCTGGCCCACGGCCAGTCCCAGCCCAAGCACACTCCACCGCGCTGCCCTGGAGAGGAAGCCTTGCAAGCACATGGCTGCATCTCACGATGGAAACCTCCACTTCTGGCCCTTAGGCCAGGATGGTACACTACTATTCACTACGCCTCTGGCATCCCAAACAAACATTCTGTGTAACTCTCCATGTGTTTAAATCACCCACATCAAGCAGCGTACACCATATGGAAAAACAAGATCTGCATGCTCCAGAAGCTATGCTTTGACTAAAGAAAGCCAATACTTGTGGAATCATAAGTAGAACAGGCTTTCCAAGTTCAATTAGTTGGGCATAACCATAGAAAGCAAGTTACTTCGTACCGTTTTGGTTTTTCTTTAGTTATCTTTCCCTTGATTTGAAGGAAGGGAAAGGATATGTTGCAAATGAATAAGTAACATGGAAACTCGGGGGTAGATGCAGCGAAGGTGGGCAGCTTTGAGCTCCCAGATCCTGGCTGGTGCAGAGGTTCACAGGAGGTGTGTGCAGGAGGG
The DNA here is from genome assembly GCF_000001405.40 of Homo sapiens. NCBI lineage: Eukaryota > Metazoa > Chordata > Mammalia > Primates > Hominidae > Homo > Homo sapiens. The sequence continues at coordinate 183,918,865 of NC_000004.12, read as the reverse complement.
AAAACCCACGCTGCTCCTCCAGCTCAGGCCGTCATCCCGGAGCCCCAGGCCTGGCTGCCAAACCGTCTGCTCGTAGCAGCTGAAATATTAACACATGTGAAGAGTGGACCTCCAATTCTAGCACCCTCCTTTATTTCCTAAGCAACCCAGAGGCCGTGCTGACCTGAGATTCCACTGGGCCCATCACTACTTTTATAAACTCACCGAAGGAGGAACATGCACTTGGTTGGCAGGAGAGAGCCTACTGGCTTTACTTTCAAAACTGGCCTTGAAAGATGTCCCTTCGCTTCACAGCTTTCCCCTCTCAACTGTGCTTCTGCAAGATTGGTTTTTACCACATATGCAAACACATAAACACGCAGCTGAACTCGCAGCTCAGAAGCGGAGTTTTCTCCTTTACCTTCAACTGAAAAGTCAAAATAAGTATCTCAGAGTAAGCTATGTCTGATTATATGGGGCACAATTTCCCTGATTTTAAGTAAAGCCAAGTTCTCCTAGAGTTATATTCCACGGGAACACTGACTACACTGACTGCACGGTGATTCTCTACCATTTTTCCTTAGTTGGAAGTTCAAGGACAAATGAGCCCACTTGGATAAATGAATAATTCTGTGAATTTCCTTAGCAGAGCACATACCAAAATCAGTAAGAAATGGAATACTTGATTTCTGATAAATGAGTACCAAATATCAGGCGAAGAATCCCATTTAAAGCCGCTTTTAACTCTATGTAGCACTAGACAAGTTGCCCGCTGGCTCTCTTCTTCTGCATCCTCAGGTGTAAAACACTTAGAAACCAGTCAATCCTGTATAGTTCTGTTCCAAAAGAAATAACAGTAGCAAAGATGTATTAGGTTCTTACTGTGTGTCAGGCACTATGCTAATTATTTTGATTGCATTTGCTCATTTAATCCACGTTTAACAACTATAAATTAGATACTATTTTATCCTCATCTTAAATATAAGAAAACAGAGGATAGACTGATAACATAGATTGTTAGGATTTCACAGCCAGCAAGTGGGTGCCAGCACCAATGTATGAATGTCTGATTTCACAGCCCTAAATCACAGCGCTGCCTTACCACATAAAGGCATTTGATGAACATAGACAGAAGCCACTCTCACAAATAAGGAAAAATCCACTTGACACTATGGCCATCTTCACTGTTCTGCTCTCTGGGACGTGTTCACTCTCTGGCTAAGCAGTCTTTTTAAAAGCACTGTTAAAAAGTTATCCACATCTGCCCCTTGTCTACATTATAAACAGCCAGTTTGCAAGTGTGGGGAAAATATGTCCAAATACTTCTTTCAGTTATTTGAAAACCAATGGAAATGAAAATCCAAATGAGTTCACTAGGTTAACAGAACGCACATTCCAATCACAAGCTCTAGCATCTAATCTAAATGGAAGTTTTATCTTAGACGTTTGGTGAATTCAGAAGACACTGTTTTATAATTTCACCAAAGATCCATGCCGGAATTCTTAAAAATCCTAAAACCAAAGTTCACATCTCTACAACCCGGTGGTTACAGCTAAACTACCCCAGTTTCCTTCAGTTTGCTCCTTCGGGCCCCTGTGAGTGGGTCACGATTACCGATCCACCACAATCACCCTGGTGGCTTCCTTCCATCAACCCCTGGGGCATCAACCACGCATATGGTTAGAGAAAGATGTGAAATACAGAGTCCACTGAAGCCACTGGGAATGCCAGCAAGACCATGTGTCCCCGTATCTATACATTTAAACTGCTGTGTACCTGCTACACATCTGGCACTCGCTAGACACTGGGAGTACAAAGCCACGTCAGACCCGAGCCACGGCCTGAAAGAGCTTCCAGTCTAGACAGAGGGTCAGACAAGAAAATGGCAGATGTGTCGGTTATTTCAGAGGTGCGCAAGAAGTGCTGCCGGAGCACAGAGAAGGAGCGGCTCGGTCACACTCCATCAGGTTTCCTCAAGGAACTAAGTTCTAAACTCTAGGAGGAAGCAGATAGGAAGTAGAGGGAAGAGGGTGTTATTGGAAAGGGGAAAACAAAAGCGTTCTGGAAAGGTCACCGTAGGAAGACGACACGGTTGCAAAGTAAAACTCAACTGTACTTTTTTGTGTAGCTTCTGTGCAAGTCACTCTTTATATCAATACTTTGAAGTGACAACGATCGAGATCCTGTTGTGATTCTATATATGTGTCTGATGGGATTCTACAGTTTTATACCCATGCTGGCTCTTTTAATATTACGTTGGTGCAAAAGTCATTGCAGTTTTGGCCATTACTTTTAATGACAAAATCAGTCATAGGGATATAATGCTTCCATTGTACCAAGCTTGGTTCTAAGAGCTTTACACATATTAATTCACCCAAAGCCCAAGGGGTAGGTACCATTATTATTCCCATGTTGCAGGTAAGGAAGCCGAGGTCCTGAGAAAATAAGTGATTTCTCCAAGTTTACCTGGCTAGTGATGGTAACATTGAACTATGAAGCCAAGCCATGAGGTCCGCATCTCTGCTCTAAATCACTATGCTACACAGCCTCTCAGGCAAAAGGATAGAGTAAAATACACTGAGCAACTCAAGGATTCCAGGGAGGGCTGGAGACCCAGGCTTGAAACATACAGCCACCACCAAGCACAAACCTACAGCTGGCACCACTAGCAAGGCACATGGGGCACCACCTGCCGGCTGCCACCCCTGGCCCGGGAACGCCATCATGCCACACCACCACGTCCCGGGACTCTGTCTCACAGTCTCCATCATCTTACCTTACTAGCACCAGATTAGAAGTCAGGAAGGGAATATCCACTGGGTGGAACCCAGGTCTCTGGCCCCTGCCCTCCATGTAAGGAAGGCCAGGAAAGTACCTACACAGCAATTTCAGCATCTTCACAGAGAATGCGGGCGCTGCCTGCCACCAAGGCTCAGAGGTGGCGGACTAGTGTCCTGTGGCCGCTGGAACTAGCACCGCACAGTGGGTGGGTTAAAGCAACAGAAATATGTGCCCTCCCAGCTCTGATGCTAGAAGTGGAAACCCCAGGTGTCAGTAGGATTGTTTCCTTCCGGGACCCTGAGGGTGAAGCCCTCCCAGGCCTCTCTCCCGGCCTCCGGTGGTGGCTGTCGGTCCTGGGCCTTCCCTCGTTTGTAAACACATCACTCCCATCTCTGCCTCTCTCGTCACATGGTATTCTCCCCTGTGTCTGTGTCTCTTTTCTTCTTCTTATAAGAACACCAGTCATGTGGATCTAGGGCTCACCCTATTCCAGTACTGCTGCATCTTAACTTGGTTACAGCCACAATGACCTGATTTCCAAATAAGGGCATATTCGCAGGTACCGGGGGTTAGGACTTGAACCTATCTTTTGGGCGGACACATTCGACGCGTAACAATGAGGAATGACACCGACATCGAAAAGAGGTTCAGATACTGGGCAGCCAAAAAGGAAAAAAAAAAAAGACAAATACCCCATGCACCTCAGTCACTCTGGCGGCCTTCGTTTTCTCTAATAACGAGACAATTTCAAAGCAAAAGTTGGATATGCCGAAAGCAGTAAATGGCATATTAGCTCTCTTAGGGGAACCAACCAGACAGGAATCTGTAGGGGTGAGAAGGCAATGTTAATTGCAGAGGATGGCTCCTCCCTCTGAAACTACGGCCATCAGACGGATAAGGCCAGGCAATAGTCCTGCTACCCCGACTGCCCACAGGCATCTGCCAAATCTCTCTCTTTTATCTTCAGAAAAAGAAAACTTGGCCTGGAGGGGCCATCACGGATTAAAGTAGAAAGATAAATGGAGACTTTGACTGTGTGTATGAGTTACCTAAGCCGTAATTTTTCAACGGGATAGGTATATGACAGATGTTTGAAATATACATTATTTACATAGCTGGCCTAGTCTTTTGTGCGGCTACTTGCAGAGCTCTGTTTTCAGACCTGACTATAGACATCAAAAACATATCCCTTCTATCAACAATGCAATGGCTTCTGAATAGATGAGAACACTAATAAAACAAATCCAAGAATTAAAGGGCACTTTACTTTCAGGAACAGGAAAGCGGACAATCTCCAAGCAATCCTAACCTCGAGTTTCCAGGTTTCAGAAACCCAAGGAGGGCTCTGAGTTCATGGAATCCAACTGAACCTCCTTCTGCTGGAAATAAAAATCAGTCACCTGCTCCCCTCCAAGAAGGGGAACAGAAAGCACAGAAAGCCAAGCTATTCTCGTGTTCACAACGAACACTGCCGCACAAATGACCTGCAACTTATACGCCTTTATTGTTCACCTGAAAGCCCTCTGTAGTTGGAATACCAAACCATTAGCCCAAAATGGAACTCATTCTCTGCTCACTTTCTGCAGGTTCCTGGTCATTTACTGCATTCTTCCAACAACAACAAAATCAGTTGCAGCTTTTTAATTTTTATTTTTATTTTTATTTTTGAGACAAGGTCTCCTTCTGTCAACCAGGCTGGAGTGCAGTGGCACAATCTCGGCTCGCTGAGGCCTCAACCTCCCCAGGCTCAGGTGATCCTTCCGCTCAGCCTCCCGAGTAGCTGGGACTACAGGCACATGCCATCAAGTGTGGCTAATTTTTGTATCTTTTGTAGAGACGGGGTTTCGCCATGTTCACCTTTATTTTCTTCCACCTCTTAAACCCAACCACTTACAAAGAACGGCCAGTTCCTTTGTTCTCCCAGATTCTCCCTTTCCTCTTCATAACCCTTTCCACCTTGTCCCATCCCTCCTCCCTTGGCCTACTCAGGTTTTCCACTACATGGTGTGAGTACCGCTCAGGTACATGGGTTCATTCTGGGTAGTACCTAGTTGAATATTTTTTACTGAACTAATTAAATGTCCATTTTACTAGGGATTAGAAAAAATATATAATTATCGAGAGAAACCCATAATTTCATAGGAAATGCAAAATTGTTTCTTTAATTCACTTAAATACAAAAGTAGATCAAGTTAAAGCGAAGTATTAAATAGGTTAGGTGGTATGTGGACATATTTTTAAAATCTTGAGGGTGGTGTGCTAATAATACCTAGCAGTGCTGGGACACACAGTTTTTTTGTTTGTTTTGTTCTCGACCCCTCCACCCCCACACTCCAGACAAAGTCTGGCTCTGTCACCCAGGCTGGAGTGCAGTGAGGCGATCTCAGCTCACTGCAACCTCCACCTCCAGGGTTCAAGAGATTCTCCTGCCTCAGCCTCCCGAGTAGCTGGGATTACAGGCACGCGCCACCATGCCCAGCTAATTTTTGTATTCTTAGTAGAGACGGGGTTTCACCATGTTGTCCAGGCTGGTCTCGAACTCTTGGCTCTGTAATCTGCCCGCCTCGCCCTCCCAAAGTGCTGGGATTATAGGCGCGAACCACCACGCCTGGCCCAGGACACACTGTTCTATGGCCGTCGTCTTACTGCTTGATCACCACATCAACCCCCACACACCTCCCCTCTGGTCTCCCAGCCTCTAGACGTTCACAACATGCATCTATCCTGCAAGCCACGATCTGACACCTCTTTAAAAAGGCTGCTTCCACCATTTCTCTCCCCAAATCACAAATGTGTTACCTACCCCATAAACTCTGAATCCGCCCAAATTTCAAGATCCCACACATTATTTCTGGTTACATCCCAGAGTTACAGTAAGACAAATTTCACACACCCATTTTCATTTCCAGCTTCATGCCTTGGTTTGTACCGCTTCCTCAACCTTCCCCAAATCCTTCTCCTTCTCCATCTCTTCAAATCGACCCACTTCTTCAAGACCCAAGTAAGTCCTCCCTCCAGGCAGCCTTTTCTAAGCAACGTCCTTCTGTTCTCGGAACTCCAGTTTCACTTGCAGCAACCACATCAACCACCCCAACTTGACTCTTGATTGTATCCTATTATTTAGTACTTTCTAATCATCCACTCATAGCTTGTTGGTCCTGTCTACCAATCACAATGGGAGATCTTTTCAAAAGTAGGATCTTAGCATACATACTTATAATTTCTGCAGTTACAAAAAGGTGACTCACATTAGGACTTCGAGACCTCATTCAACTTTCTAAGAAGTCATGTTTTAGTCACTCATCCCATACACATTTACTGTGTGCCGGATACATGCCAAGCTCTGTGGTTGCTGGCAAAATAGAGATGTGAATAAGGCAGGTACTATCAGTGAGGATTTCACCATCCAGACCGGAGACACACATGGGTTGTAAACTCGTGATGTGGCACAATGTGACCGTGTTGCTGTAACACAAGTACAAAACAAACGTCGTGGGAGCGAATCACTCTGGAAAGGATCTGAGAGACGATGCAAGAGAAGGGGGCATAGGAGCTGGTTCTGGAAGGCTAAAGAGGATTCTATCAGACCTGTAAGGATGGAGAACGCATTCTGGGCAAAGTCACATAAACTACAACAGGTACACAAGGTGACAGGCGCTGATGCAGGTAAAGAGCTCCCAGAGCCCAGAGCACAGGGTGAGGTGAACAGTGGGGGAAAGAGAAGAAGAGGTGGAAAAGTGAGGGAGGTTATACTGTGATGTGCCCTGGTCTATGATTTCATCCACAGGCGTGATGGATGGGAACACTGGGAAGGGAAGCAACACAAGTGATTTTGCTTTAGGAGAGATTTTAAAATAACAAAACCAAAACAAAACCATCAAAGCCCTCTGGGGACATAAGGAGGATAGATGGAACCAGAAGAGAGGTCTGTTTGGTAGATAGTGTAATAGAACAGAAGAAGGGTTCAGCAACAGAGATGAAGAGGAAGAGACAGGTTTTAGAAATATTTAAGTGGGAGGAACAAATAGAATCTTCTGACTGACTGGTTGCACACGCCTTCTGATGTTAAAGAAGACTAGCCTTTTCCTACTTCAGGAAAAGTGTACTCCCTACTTAAAAAATTACCCATGTCCTTTCTTTCTTGTGTTACTGTGGATAAGGTCAATTTGGAGTAGACTATATCTATACTCTCACAAACTAGAAGAACCTCTACTTTATACCTTATAGATTAGGCATCACACACTCTATCACTGATTTATAAAAACATGTCCTAAATTCAAAAGTTAGCATAGGACCTACTGGCAAGGGTCCAAGCAGATTTTGCTTTTAGTTATAACCTGCATGCAGCCTAAGCAACCGTGTACCAAAGAGTATACCATTGTCTGAATTGTCCTAATTCTCCGGGGTGTAGGGAATTTCAGGCCAGAATTGCTCTGGAGGTGCAGAAGTGCTAAGGTTTTTATACAATACACTCATATTCCTTTTTTTCAAATAAAAACATTAGAAAGAATGTAAAAGATATTGAAATATCAAGAGAGGTGACCTTTTGTAAGCCCACTCATGTTCTCCTGGGAAATAAAGAATAAAGTCATTCACCACCAAGTGTAATATTCCTCACTTCCACTCGCCTGATGAAAGGAGTCAACATAGGTAGTTTCAAATTAAAACACAGTTGGAGCGGCTAGGCTGAAAATGGATCTCGGCAAAGAGGGAAAGGGACGTGACAGGACGCTCTTTATTAAAACTTGCATATGATTATAACTTGCCAGGTCTTCATTTATTTCTTCCCCCCTCATTACTCTGGTCATCAGGGCGAGTCCTAAAACGCATACCTTTAATGTAACATTTCAGGATGATAGGGAATAGGATTGTATCGCAAAATGAGCACTATTCCCACAAACAGGAGGCACCTGACTCCAAAAAGTAGAAGAGGGCAGAGAAGTTTTGTCTAACAATTTATGTGTAAGTGTTCAGAAGTCTTGCACTTGCTCAAGACAGAGCCACTGCACAGCCCAATTCTGTAATGGCAGCATGGAAGTGGGGGACTCATTACAGATGGAGGGAGGTCATATTACTCGCCAGGGACACAGCTGGTTTGTGGCAGGCCCAGATTGGAACCTCCAGTGTCCATCCTTCACTCCCAGAAAACCCTCATGTCTCTTAAAATAACAGAACATAAGGAACTGGAACACACAGTCAAACGTGCCCCAGAATTAGTTTCTATAAAATGAAAACTAATAAACTAATCAAGGTGATGAGCTGGCCATTCTTCCCCAGCAGACAAAACTGCTTTCAAATTTCTTGCAATGTCAGTTTAGGGCTTTTGTTTTATCTTTCTTTTCAAAGGCTTTAAAACCGTAGTATTAAAAACGCACGCTTTACTCCTTAAAGATGTTATCAAAATGATAAGCATCAAACTCAAATGGGCCAGGACTTCGCTTTCTCATGCAGAAACAAAGCTTTTAAGGATCATGTGCTGTAGAACCTGTATAATGAAAAAATTACTTTCCATGCTTGATCAATAAGGATGTCCCCCAAAACTTTGCTGGCATTATACATGGAATATAAAGAGGCGCCCATCCCCAGGGCTGGGGGAGGGGAGAGGGAAGGAAATTAAAAGTTAGCAGCATCATTCGTGTGAAGAGCTTACAGTTCACATAATTCTAACAGAGAAAGCTCTCACAACTTCATCAACAAAAGGTTTGGGGCCTTGAAAATCATTTCACAGAGACAAATGAGCATGTTTTCATACATAAAGTACTAAGCGTTCATTATACAGATTTGCTCCTTTGTGGGGAGTTTTGCTTTTATCTCTAGTTCATTAATATCGTAACTTCTACTTTTAGAAAATGCCCAAGAATGATCCCACATCCATTTGGTCCAATCCCTTTTCTTCTTAAGATAACGCCATGCACTTTTTATTATTCATCTTGATTTGAACAAAAGGCAAGATCTTCCCCTTTCTGCCCAGAAACCACCACTGGGAAATTAATATTCAAGATGAACAATGAAGTCATCTCATGGCCTGTGAACTTACTGGTTGCTAGGAAGCTCATGAATTCTTAGGATTTCTTCAGATTTGGTAGCATGAGTTGGGAGCTTAAACAGTCACATAAGGCATAGTCTTCGAGACTTAAAGTTTCAGCATTCTCTAACTGTCCTTTTGCAAGAGCTCGCTAGTTTATAGGTGCCCGCTCTAACCTCTTGAGCTTAAGTGTAGTTTATCCTGAAGGTATCGGAAAGGCCAAGGCTAAATGTCAAGCCTATTGCTATAAATCACATTTCACACTGGTAATTACTTATTCGTGGAGAAAAGACTGTTTGAAATGGTGCTGTCTCATTTGCTATTATAGAAGCCTACAATTTTGCTTGAAGCACCTACTGTGTGGTACGGGATGCTAGACCAAAAGGAAAATTATTAATATCTATTTCTTGAAATTCCCAAGGCTCTCTCATGTCCTGAAGTTTAAAACTAAGTGACTGTTTCCCATAATTTTCAGAATATTTGTTGAGGGAGGGGGTCTAAAAATAGTCTCTTAACTGAAGTTATTTTAAGTCATTTAGTACATCTCTGAAAGGCTTATCTTGTCCTTTGAACCCAAGTAATTTCCCCACAACAAAAACCTTTTTTACTAAAAATCAAGTATAAGGATACCAGTAGTAATTAAACCAAATGGCTGAACAAACAGAAAGAAGAAATATGAAAGGCCTCATGTGTTTCTAAGTGGTTTCATTTTCTACTCAATATTTTATGTGACAAAGGCTCTGTTTGTATCCAAAGTCACTAACTTGATAAAAGTGGATCTCCTTTACATTTCCTAAAAGGATGAGAATGTCTTATAAATCATTTCCAAGTGTTTCAGTATATCATCTATTTCTATCAATACTCACATTTTGAAAGGAGCCATATTTGTAAAGGAAATAGATGAAGATACACATCCTTCCCAACCCAACCCCCAAAAGAGTTGCACATGAGAAAGACTCCACCTACTCTCCCAATCTTCATTGTAGGTGTTTGTCATCATGTTTACCATTTCCTTCCATAGCAGCAACACCTGCTTCTTATTCCATGTATTAGCTAACAGTTAAAATAAAGAATAAATGATAAGCCTCCCTCCCTGGGCAAGAACCGTATTATATCCAACCCTATAACCCCATGAGAATCCAGCAAGGCACTTCGCTCTTTGGGGGCACGCCATAAAAATGCTGAATGAATGACAGCACTTTTCTTCCATCTTTTGGTCTTCAGGTTTCTCAGCAGTAACCTAACATTGAATCTGAACAGAAAACCGCCAACCTGAAACAGGTTATCCTTCATTATCACCATAGGACCATCTTACCATTTGTAGATCAAGAAATAAAATAAGGGAATCAAGTACAATTAAAAGCTTCTTCCTCAAGCCCTCAAAAACGCCTCGCAGCACCTGCAATAGCAGACAAGTTCTTTTGCAAAGAATGCAAATGTGATAATGAGGTAATGCCAAGATAGATTAAAAAAAAAAAAAAAAAAAACTGGCTGCCTGGAAATGTGCCTGAATCATGAAACAGAGTGTTGCAGGTTTGTCGATGAAATGATGGCCACCAACCCTCCTATAGCTTCACAGTTGGTGTCAGGACCGGTTCCTTAGGAGGCATAAGAAAGGGGAACTGTGAAGTGTGGAATGAAGACATTCAAACCCTAAGTACATGAAACCCAGGATTATCTGAACACTTAGTGCAGCAATGGGTTTATGTACATATGTGTTTTGAGGTTAGGTTTGCATTTAGGTGTGTTTCAAAATTTACTGCCACAAGTCTGAAGAGTGTAGCAACCACAGCAGCGACTTAAATGACTGAAGTATAAACTGTAGTTGTCACTTTCTTTACGAATTTGGCTTTTCATGAAAGGGAAAATCAAGGGAGCCTTATTGCCAAAATAGTACAACATCCTTATGTCGCCTGACTTTGCAATAAAAAAGATGGTTCTTTTATTTCGGCTTTATGTTCGTGGAAATGCGGTCGCAAGGCATTTTTGAAGCATGAGATGCTGACCCCAGTTAAAAAGGACTTGCTGTTTTAGGAGAAAAAGAGTAAAGCTAGACTGTAAGTACCAACCACAAGCTTAAAATGATCTTCCCAGTTAAGACAGGGCTCAGAGTGATTTGGTACAGTATGTGGTTTAAAATAAAATCTCGGTTCTTCCATTACAGTGTGCTTAGAAGAAAATCTAAATTTTTCTCTGAATGAAAAATAAATAAGAACCGATGCCTTACACATCATTACATCCAAGTGGTTAAGGAGAAGTAAGGAGAAGGCAACGGAAGGTTTCCAGGCTTTTCCTCCTTCAGCATTTCCCTCAAGAATTTCATCCCTGGGTTCCCAAATCAAACCAAAGCCATTCCGTTGTATTTCCAAAAAAAGAACTGGCTCCTTCAGGAAGGCTTTTCACAGCACTGCATTTTAAGCGGAAATCTTTTTTGAAGCCTTCCCTTTCCATTTACCGTTTTGTTTGTCCCTCCTGTCTGACATGCAAACACATGATACAGCCTCCATTCTTTCCATACAGCCTAATTCAAAGCAACATATGTTAAATCCACACAGAATCATGTGAGCATTCAATCCGCATCCACACCATTACCCCCACAGAACGCGTTCAGTAAGCTCCAACACAGTTCTCTGCGTGCAAATCAGACCAGCCTGGGATGTCTGCAGGACTCTCCCCTGACTCAGCCCATCCAGAGCTGCGCATGGAACCTGTTCCTTTTGGAGAACAGGGGGCTGCTGGAAATACCCACTCAGATAACCGGCCACAATGCAGCAGCCAGCAAGCCTGGCACTGCAGGCAACCCTGGGCGCAGGATCCTCCACAAAGCTCGAGGAGGCTGCAGCGCCGGGGCTTGCAGTCATTTATCTCCCTGCAGCCAAAACGCCCGGCTCGTCCCCCCTCCCTCGTTTTACCTAACTAATAGCTCTCCAACCCCATATTGAGAGGGCCTGCTGTGGATCTTGGGAGGTACAAAATGGTGGATGGGAGCTAATTTTTTCCTGCTTTCCCCATAACTTATCGCATCCATCACTGCCCGTCCTCTCCTCCAAGCACCCGGGCCGCGGCGTACCGAGCACGTCCCGCGGCCCCGGCCCGGGGGCAGAAACGCGGTCACCAACCAACCTGATGTCATGTAGCCCCGCGAAGCCTGGGGCGCGAAGGCCGCGGGGAAACGCTTGTGCAGGCGGTAGTCCTTCTCGCTGCGGGACCTCATGCGGTCCGAGGCCCGGTCCGAGAAATCCGAGCTAGGCCAGGCTCGCCGCAAGGTTGTGCTCCGGGTCTTCTTCATGGTGGGGAGGGCGACCTGCCGCCCCGATCCTCGGGGCCTCAGCGCCGGGGCGCAGCGCGCTCCTTCATCCGTCTACGGCGGGCACGACCCGGGCGGACTCTGCGCACATTTTCCCAGCCCCTCCTCGTCGGCGTCTACACCGCCAGCGGCGGGTCCGGCCCTCCCCACGCCCCCCCACACCCCCACGGCGAAGGCTCCGATTTTACACACGTCCCACAATGCATTACACTTCATTTGCAATCCGCCCGGCTTATAGCTTCCAGATTCCTGGGGGGAAAGGCACGTTAGGAGGCTCCCCGGCCGGGAGGAGGCGGGGAGGGGGCGGGCGGGGTGGGGGCGCCGAGACTTGCAGCGTGAAGGCAATGGGAGCGCAGACAATGGCCCGATTCAGCGCAGGAGTGCTTGGCCAACTGGGAGCCACGGCACAAAAGACCCAAACAAATGAGGCAGCCGAGGCCTCCGGGGCTGACCCGGGATCGGGCGTGCGGGAGGCCGGAGGGGCGGCGGCAGACCCTCCGCGCCGGGCAGCTCAGCGCGAGGCGTGGGGATGACAGTGTCCGAGTCGTGTCCCCGCGGGCCTATCAGCCGCACGGCCCGCAGTCCCCGGCGCTGGCTGGCTCTGCCTCCGCTGCAGTCCCCGGGAGACAGTCTTCATCACAGAGGCTCGAGCGGGGGGCGCGTGTGCACAGGATCCGAGCAGGCTCTGCAGACAGCAGCTGCGGCGGGCGGGCTCCTGCGGAATCCAGGAAGAGCCCGCGTCGTCCCCGCGACTGCAGCGCCTCGTCAATCTTCCCCTTGCCGAGGCTCCGGGCGCTGTGCGTGCGCGCGGGTGGATGGCTGGGTGGGTGCGCCGACACGCATGTGCCCCCTACACATGCATGCTCCTACTTACTGGCCGAGGCGGCGCCGGAGCCATGGCTGCCAAGGACGCCGAGCCTGCGATCGACCCCCGCGCGGCGGCAGCGCTGCTCCGGCGCGAGCGCGCGGAACGGCTATTGAAGGGCAGGAAGCAGGACAGCCGCCCAGTCTCATGCTAATCACCAGGCTGCCTTAAGTTAGAACGCGGTTCCCATCAGGCTTCTCATTTTCATGTAAAACACCCGGCGGCGGCGCGGGGACCTTGGCAGCTGCCCCAGCCTGGAGCCAGCGCTTGGATATTTACATATTTTTAGGATGGTCCCTCCCGCTCGGAGAGAGACAGCGAGCCAGCCTTCGTGGGAACGGGGAGATCTGCGGTGCGCTGCCTGGCCCACCTGCGCCAACCCCAAAGGAAGCTAAAGCCAGAGGGAGGGGAGGCCACGGCGAGCTCCCCCACAACCGCACACGCCGGGGCGCCGGGTCCACGCAGCCTGGAAGACGCAATGCAAGTGGCCTGCAGCGCTTCCTCTCTCCCTCTGGAGTCCCGGTGTAAGTCACCGCCAGCCCGCTACGCTGCATTCAGGTCCACAGCTCTTTAGATGGCACGGCTCTGCACAGCTGTTTCTGGTCCAACAACCAATCGCTAAAGGACAACAATGCGCGCGGCGCGCGAGGGGAGGAGGGGCCAATGCGCCGCCCGGGCCTGGGCGCTGGGCCCGGGACGCGGGCCTGGGACCCGGAGGTCACGCCGAGTTAAAGGCGCCCAGCCACGTTGCTGCTAACCCCGACCACGCTTTGCACTGCCGTTCATTCAAAAACGGTTATCTCCTCGATTTGGGTTTTCAAAAATGCTTTGGTACAGTAAACAACGACAAAAATAAGCCCGATTTCCTTTTTCAGCGCTGCATTTGACATGTTGGTGCATTTTTTCATCTGTGACAATGCAACGTTCAAAATCATATTTATGCTGTTGTTTCATATTCACAGGTGCCAAGATGCAGAGACAGGGATATTAAATCTTTATAGGGATATGCTTCTAACAGGCTGATATCGCAAAAACAAGCCAGTGGATTCTAGCTGGTTAGGATTCAGGAAGTTCTAACACAATCTGTGCTATTCCAAGGCTTGAATTATTTGAGGGGGGTAGCAACTATCTTGAAGAACCAGGCAGAGCAGGATGGCGTTAAGCCACAGGCATTATAAAATCTAGAATTAGAGCTCTCCTCATTCAGATCTCAAGACCGCCCTCTATAACCTGTGGCCACTGTACTACCTCTTGGGATACCCAGGGTAAATAAATAAATAATCACTAAGTAGCCTATGGAATTTATATTTACATAATCAAAATGTATTACTGTCAACCAATTCACTAATGTTCTGTGGTTTTTATTTTTAATTGGGAAAGGCACTTCTAGTTCAATGTCTTCTTTCCTGTAAGAGAACTGCTAAGAACAGAAAGATTACAGCTTTAGAAGTTATAGAAGGCACTTTTAGTTCAATGTCTTCTTTCCTGTAAGAGAACTGCTAAGAACAGAAAGATTACAGCTTTAGAAGTTATAGAAAGCTAGCTGTATAAAGCAGGGATCCCCAATTCCCAGGCCATGGACTGCTTGGATATTTACCTACCCCACAGATATTTACGGACCCCGTGCAGCTTCTAGTCCTCGGCCCATTAGCAACCAGGCAGCACAGCAGGAGGTGGGTGGTGAAGCTTCATCTGTATTTACAACAGCTCTCCATTGCTTACTGGCATTACCTCCTGAGTTCAGCCTCCTGTCAGATCAGTGGCTGCATTAGATTCTCACAGGAGCACGAACCCTATTGTGAACCATGCTTGGAGGGATCTGGGTTGCGTGCTCCTTATGAGAATCTAATGCCTGATGATCTATCACTGTCTCCCATCACCTCCAGATGGGACTCTCTAGTTGCAGGAAAACAAGCTCAGGGCTCCCACTGATTCCACATTATGGTGAGTGTATATTTATTTCATTATATATTACAATGTAATAATAAAAGAAATAAAGTGCACAGTAAATGTAATGCACTCAAATCATCCCAAAACCTTCTGCTCTCCAACCCTACCCCCACCCCAGTCCAAGGAACAACTGTCTTCCACGAAACTGGTCCCCAGTGTGAAAAAGGTTGGGGGCCGCTGGTGTAAAGGACCATAAGGTAATAACAAGTTGTATTAATGAATGTAGGAGAACTGACATTTAGATATCTCAATTCAACAATTACTCAGTACCTCCCAAGAGCCAAAGGTGGTTATATGAATGATTATAATAGCTATGACTTAAAGCTAATGGTGACTGCTGTGGCAACTGTGATAGTCATTCATTCAGCAAACAATGGCTGACTGTCTAGAATACGCAAGCCCTGGGATGGGTGCTGGGCAAACAGAACACCACACATGACCCTGCAGCAAACCGTCTAGTATGGAAGAGAAACAGTAGGCAAATAAATGCAGAAATTGTGCTAAGTTCTATGAAGAACAATAATCTCTCTAAGAAATGACAGTTGAGCTGAGACCTACAGCATGAGGAGCCACTCAAGCAAAGAGTGGGGGAGATGGTGTTACAGAAAGGGGGAACAGTCTGTGCAAAGGCCCTGGGGTAGAAGGGATCTTGACTTTCTGTTGGAGGAAGTGGAAAAAGGCCACTGTGGCTGAAATTGGAGCACAGTAAGAGGGAGGTTTGTGATGAGGTCATGGAAGGATGCAGAGCCAGATCATGCCGGAACTTGCAGGCCATGGTAAAGGTTTTATATTCTATTCCAAGTGCAGTGTGAGCCGTTGAAGAGTTTGGATCAAAGAAGCAATGATATTTTTAGAATTTCTTTACAGAAGAAGAGGGAATCTGTTCGAAGGGAGAGATTGACTAAGAATTTTCTGGAAGTAAGTTTGAATCGCACTTGATTAAACTGAGAAAATATTAATTGTTCATATGAAAGACGGGAGGTGAGTTGATGGACATTTGGGGAGAAGAGCTATAGCTCCACTCAGCCACCTCCAAATGCAGACCTTGCAGAGGGGTGACATGATCCAGTGTTCGTGGCCAACTAGCCTGATGTAGAATAATCAGGTGGTACATAGGCTGAGTTAGCTGAATCGGATCAGATGGCAAAGTAGGTATGGGTGGTGTAGTAATTTATCCATCCAAACTGGGGACAATGCTGAATAGTGCTATGAAGGGAAGGCTTAAATCTAGCAAACAGCGTATTGTGAAACCAGTCCAATCTGAAGAAAAATGGAGTTCCCTGTTACTATAGCCACTATTAAAATCAGACTCAGTCTGTCCATCTGTGTTATGATGGAAAGAGTCACTCTGGTCATATACAACCCCTATGTCCCTGGGCCCAGTTTCAGATCTCTAAACCTACCTCAGACAATCATGTACCTGGGTCATGAGTTGTCCATCAAGCAAGCTCGGTTTTGTAAGCCAGTATTCAATATTAGGAAAGTTAGAATTAAATGAATGATAAAGCAAATCGATTTTATAGCATTAGTATTATTTAATCGGGCTTTTAAAATGTGTATATTTGGTATTTTCATATCAGACAGATTAGAGACACTAATTACACAGATTTGCTTTGTGACTCTAATTCAAATGTATAATTGATTTTAGACTTGTAATCTTAAATTGAAAGGTATACAAATTTTGACTTGAAATCCTCTTCATTTAAAACTTTAGTTTATCAGCTTTGCTACAGTTGAATGAATTTAGAGTTAGAAGAATGTAAACTCCATAAGGATGAGGGATATTTTCTGTCTTATTCATTGTTGCTCATTGTTCTGTTTTGTTCAGAGCTATATCCCCAATGGCTAGCAATGGTTGGCACATATTTGATGACTACTAAAGGCCCAATAGAGTACTGGGGAAAATTTGGGTTGAAGCCTTCCTCGTCAGATATATTAACTACTTTTTAAAAATCAAGTGTACCAAGTATATGACATCAAAGACACAAGCCACAAAAGAAAAAACAGAAAAACTGACTTCATGAAATTTTTAAAATGTGTGCATCAGAAGACACTGTCAACAGAGAAAAGACAATCCACAGAATGGGAGAAAATATTTATAAAGCATATATCTGATAAGGGATTGATATCCAGAGTATGCAGAGAACTCCTAAATCTCAACAACAAAAAAACAAACAACTAGATTCAAAAATGGACAAAGGACTTGAATAGAGATTTCTGCGAAGAACATATCCAAATGGCCAGTAAGCACATGAAAAGATACTCAGTATCAGTAATCATTAGAGAAATGCAAATCAAAACTACAATGAGATACCAACTCACACCCATTAGGACGGCTACTATCAAAAAAAAAAAAAAAATACCCAAAAACCAGAAAATAACAAACATTGGCAATTATGTGGAGAAACTGGAACCTTTGTGCACTGTTGGTAGGCAAGCAAAATGGTACAGCTACTGTGGAAAACAGTATGGCAACTCCTCAAAAACTTAAAAATAGAGTTACCATATGATCCAGCAATTCCACTTCTAGATATACCCGAAAAGAAGTGAAAGCAGGGACTCGAAGAGATATCTGGACCACCCCCATGTTCATAGCAACATTATTCACAATAGTTAAAACATGGGCGCAACCCAAGTACCCATTGAGGGATGAGTGGATAAGCAAAATGCAATATATACATATAATGGAATCTATTCAGCATTCTAAAGAGAGGAAATCTTGTCCAATGCTACAACAGGGATGAACCTTGAAAACAGAATGCTAAGTGAAAGAAGTCAGTCACAGAAAGAAAAATAATGCATAATTCCACTTATACAAAGTACTTAGAATAGTCAAAATCATAATGACACAAAGGAGAATGGTGGTGGCCAGGGGCTGGAGGAAAGGTGAAAGGAGGGGTTGTTGTTTGAGTTGTTGTTTAATTGGTAGAGAGTTTCCATTTTACAAAAGGAAAAGAATTACGGAGATAGATGGTCGTAATGGATGCATAATGTTATATATGTATTTAACTTAACTGGACTATATACACTTAAAAATGATTAAGATGGTAAATTTTACGTTATGTGTATTTTACCTCAATAAAAATAGTAATAAATTTTAAAAATTAAATAAATGAAATTTATAGATGCACTTTAAATGTTTAAGGGAATGTATTTAAAGATGTTTCTAAGTAGGGCTAATTGTTAAGTAAAAGGGATTTAGTCTTCCATTCAAGTTGATCAAATGATTTTCAAAGACCCCAAGAGTTATGGTTTTTATTTTTTACTTAAAAATACAAAATTTACAAATAGAATAAATTGAATGTAAAACCTTAAGGAAATTTTGATTTTTCAATTTGCATCTCTAGTAAAGGAAAACTTGCAGTTTGAATTTTTGAACTTGTATCTCTAGTATACGGAACATTCATTAAAGACCTAAGCATCTGAACACAATCTTTCCTGTGGGTTGGAATAAACTTCTTCCAAACTCCTGTTAATGTTGATATTCTGACCTCCTCCCATGGATCACAAATTTTCCTAATGGCATCTAGAATGGTGAATCCTTTCCAGAAAGTTTCCAATTTATTCTGCTCAGATCCATCAGAGGAATCATGATCTATGGCAGCTACAGCCTCATGAAACGTATTTCTTAAATAATGAGACTTGAAAATCAAAATTACTCCTTAATCCATGGGCTACTGCAAAAGGACGTTGTGTTATCAGGCATGAAAACAGCATTAATCTCCCTGTACATCCCCATCAGAGCTCTTCAGTGATCACTGTCACTGAAGTATATTGTCAATAAGCAATAATACTTTGAAAGAAATCTTTTTTTCTGAGCAGCAGGTCTCAACAGTGGGCTTAAAATATTCAGTAAACCATGTTGTAACCAGATGTGATGTCATCCAGGCTTTGTTGTTCCATTTATAGAGCATAAGCAGAGTAGATTTAGCATTATTCTTAAAGGTCTTAAGTTTTTTGGTATAGTAAATGAGCATCGGCTTCAACTTAAAGTCACCAGCTCCATTAGCCCCTAGTAAGAGAGTTAGCCTGTCCTTTGAAGGTGGTACCATTGAAGGCAGACATTGACATCTCCTCTCTACCTATGAAAGTCCTAGATGGCATCTCTTTCCAAAATAAGACTGTTCTGTCTACATTGAAAATACATTGTTTAGTATAGTCACCTTCATCAATGATCTGAGCTAGATCTTTGAGATAACTTACTGCAGTTTCTCCATCAGCACTTCCTTCTTCACCTTGCACTTTTATGTTATGGAGACAGCTCCTTTTCCTAAGCCTCATGAACCAACCTCTGCTAGCTTCAAACTTTCCTTCGCAGCTTCTTCATTTTTCTCAGCCTTCAGAGAATTGAAGCTAGTTAGGGCCTTGCTCTGGATTAGGCTTTGGCTAATCCAGGAAATGTTGTAACTGGCTTGGTCTTCTGTCCAGACCACTCAAATTTTCTCCATACCAGCATTAAGTCTGTTTTGCTTTCTTATCATTCGTGTGTTCATTGGGGTAGCACTTCTAATTTCCTTCAACAACTTTTCGTGGCATTCATAACTTGGCTGACTTTGGCACAAGAGACCTATCTTTTAGCCCATCTCAGCTTTGGACATGCCTTCCTCGCAAAGCCTAATCATTTCCAGCTTTTGATTTCAAGTAAGAGACATGTGACTCTTCTTTCACTTGAACATGCAGAGGCCATTGCAGGGTTATTAATTGGCCTAGTTTCAATACTGTTGAGCCAGAGCAGAGGGAGAGAGAGAGGGGAATGGCCAGTCATTGGAACAGTCAGATCGCACACAACACTTACGGATCAAGTTTGCCATCTTATATGGGCACACTTCGTGGAGCCCCAAAACAATTACAATAATAACATCAAAGATCAATGATTACAGATGACCATAACACATATAACAAAAATGAACAAGTTTGAAATATTGAGAGAACTGCCACAATGTGACACAGAGACGTAACGTGAGGACATGCTGTTGGAAAAATGGCGCCCATAGACTTACTCACCACAGCGTTGACAGAAAACTTCGGTTTGTAAAAAATGCAATATCTGCAAAGTGGAACAAAGCAAAGAGCAGTGAAACAAGGTGTACCCATAAACACATTTTTCTTCTTGCTAATGTAGCTAACGATCTCGCCACTGCCAAATCCACTCAGGACGTTGAATTTGGTTTCATCCTTATTTGGTTTCATGCTTGCCACTGTTGCCCACTCTCTCCCCTTAAAACTCTTCCCTCCCTGTCATTTTCATTGTCACTCTCTACAGGCTCTCCTCCTTATCCATGGTACCTCTGCCCATTCAGTACTGGGTGTTCTCTGGATTCCACCCAATCGCCCTTCTTGGCATTCAGAATTTCATCAGCTCAGTTCCTTCCACAACATTCACTGCTTTATTTCAGCGCTTGCAAGTGAATGATTTCCAAATAACTCTCACCAACCCAGGCCTCTCTCCTGGATCTCCAAATTCTTACTTCCTACTGTCAACTGAATATCTTTTCTGAATGCTCCATGGACAATCAAACTCAAGCTGCTCATTCCACAAAATGTATCATCTTTATGCCCAGTCTCCCAACCTCTGGGGTCTTAGCGTACATTTCCAGTCATGGCAAATGGGAGTCCCACTGTCCAGTCTCCCAGGGCAAGAACCTGGGAGTCATTCTCAATCACCTCCTCTCACTGCTCTCCCTGCTTCAGCCCACACACACATCGCTACACACAGTCCACCGCCATACTGTGTTTCTACAGCCTTCCTATCTCCTGAAGGCCCGAGTCAAGGCACTGGAGAAGGAGAGGGAGGGCGGAAGCAGAAAATCGGTGTCACCTGCCAAAGATACAGAAAATGTGACATTAAAAAATCCAATGAAATAAGACTATGCTACAAATTTAAATATTAAAAATTAAAATAAGATAGATGATAAAATATATGTAATCCTATGCCTAATATATTTGTTAAAATGCTTACTTCAAAATAAGCTTTTCAATTAAAAAAAGGAACGTGATAATCAGCAATTTGTTTCAATATTAAATAGTTTAAGGCAAAAATCAGACTGCATAATAATATGATTGTATGTTTCACTTTTTATGTTAACCAGCGTGGAGAAGCCCCAATGTGAATGCAGTTGGAAATCATGAAAAATATTTAAAGATCTTTTCTGATAAGGCTGGACACTGACAATGAGCCAGCTGACTTCTGTTCAATAAACCGTATTACTTGAAATGAACCTCAGGATCTGTTTTTATTCTGCATATGCTGTGTATTTACTAATGCATCTGAAGTGTATTACTGCCATCTTCTTTGGGAAAATATCTATGAGGCTCTTTTATCAAGCTCTCAAGCCTCTCCTCAAAATGGCTAAAATATTTTCAGCAAAATCCAAAGAGTTCAGAATAAAGTTGCTCATTTCACTAAAAGAAACTAGCTCACCATGACCTCAGTGTCCAGCTCCTCAGCCCCGATTTGCAGTCCCCTTTTTAAAGCTATCTCATACTGAAACCCTGTCTTTGACAATTAGCATGTACAACAGCTACATCTGCTCATCTGAAGAACCTAAGGTTATACCCACAAGACTTCAAGTAAGCAAAGCTAGCACCAAAATACAGTCATCTACAAAGCCAGAAGCACCCAGGCATGCTCTCACAGAGAACAGGCTTCCTCTAGAAAGACCTAATGTTTCTCTGAAACCCAAATAGACAAATAACGGGCTTTCTCCCATGAAAACCAAGAAGCTTCGGAATGAAACAATAGTTGATTTGAGTCACCAAACCTCTACAGGTTGAGGAAAAGAGTAGGAATTTAGTTGCCTGATTGACATGACTGACAATGTTAACAGTTCATGAAGTGAGTCTTTAGATTTTCCCTGTGCATCTCAGGCTTGCCCCAGGGAAACCGCAGTGGGTAACGCTTGCTTCCACTGCCAAGCTTCAACAGGCAGAGCAAGTTCTCTACTGGACCACCCAAGACTCACCACAATGTCTTTGTGAACTGCTTCATGCAGCTCATATTTAACTAACCCCCAAATGACAATATTGGTGGGTTCCTTGGATTATAGTGACTAGTACTAACATCGCTGTATTCAAAAAAGGTCAGCAAAAATATAACTCTGGACATTTATAAAGTAAAATGCATACCTTATCTTTATGTTGAACACCTCCTTAAAGTATTTTGTCACAATTAATCAGTGGATTTTTTGTGAAGTAGAAAAACTTTTCAAGGTTACTCCCAAACTCGTTACAAAATCGTGAAGATCAGATGAGCTGTAAATCCACTTAATGAGCACAGGTAAACTGCAGTAGGAAGAAATATACTAAAAGGAAAAGACGGGACTGGGTGATGGCTCATGCCTGTAATCCCAGCACTTTAGGAGGCCAAGGTGGGAGGATCACTTGAGCCCAGAAGTTTGAGAACAGCCTGGGCAACATAACAAGATCCCGTCTCTATGAAAAATTAAAAAATTATCCGGGTATGGTGGGGTGCACCTGTAGTCTCAGCTACTTGGGAGTCTGCGCAGGAGCACTGCTTGAGTCTGGGAGATGGAGGCTGCAGTGAGCTATGATTGTGCCACTATGCTCCAATCTCAGCAACAGAGTAAGATCTTGTTTCTATAAAAAGATAAACAAGGAAAAGACGACACGGAGCCACGGAGAATGGCCTGCGCCTGATGATACTCCCACACATCCTTCTGTAACTCACTGCCACCAGACACATTTCACCCAGCGCTGGTCCTGGTATCAGCTGTTAAGACTTCATTTATTTGGTACTTTCTACCTAAAAGATCACTATAAATACCCAAGTTCTCGCATTTTCTCCTGCTGACTCATTGAATCATCAAGGGCCCTTGTCACAATGTGCACCACACACCAAAATATGCCCAGTGGTCAGCAAGGTCATTTCTCATTGCAGGCCTTAGGAGCCGCCCTGTTGCTGTAAGCTGGCTAGCACCTCCTTGGCCTTCTGGAAACTCTCATGTATCCTGCTTGCAGGATTCAAACCCAGGTCAGTTCTCTGAAAGACTTTCCATCTTCTCCTTATCTTTGCCCTCAAATATCCCTGCAGATTTAGAGGCCCTTGTCCTGTTTATATAACAACAGTGCCCTTCCTATTACCCTGCTGACCTCATTGTATTAATAATGCAACACAACACCCTACAAAAATGTCTGTCTGCTTCCCTGGCGGTGTACGACTGAAGAGTAATGGCTGCTTTGTTCATCCAACAAATGTTTATTGAGCACTTGCTATGTGCTAATAATGGTTCTAGGTACTGGGGTACCAAAATTCAAAAATAAAACAATAAAATAGCAACAAAAACAAAATCTTCTGTCATTAAGGAATCTGCCTCCTAAGGGCAGGAGACAACAGTACACATATCAATTAGTGAACTGTGTCGAATATAAAATAGTGATGAATGGAAGAAAATAAGGCAGAAGACGAAGATTGAGACTGAGCGTTAGCAATGTAAAATGGGGTGGCCAGGGGAGATTTCACTTTATAATCATTTTATGCCTAGTGCCTTTCAAAAAATAGGCCCTCAATAAAGTGTGCCACAATGTGCTCATTTTAGGCCCTCTTCAGTGCTATGGTTCCCAGCAGAGGGGCATCAAATGGCCGTGGACTTCAGATCATAAAGGAACAAATATTGTATCTACTTCATGTCCCTCATATCCATTTATAGATAAGAATTCTATCTAAGGAAAAACAAATAATGCCTTATGTTCATATAGGACTTGACAATTTATTGAGCCTTATGCATAAGGCAGGCAAGGCAGGGGTTGCTATCATAAGAAAGGATGAAAAACTAAGGCTCAGAGACAGTCCACGATTTGCCCACAGAGCTTGAGGAACCAGCATTCCATTCTTGACATCCTAGTCCGCGATTGTACTCTCCTGCCTCACTCCATTGCCTCCGTAATGCCTGGTGCGAGCAGTTACTGGATTTAGTGTTTTCTTATTGTTGTTTGTGTCATCCAAACAAAGTCCATATAAATCTTTGCATTGCTAGAATAGCCCCCAATTTTTAGGATGTCTTATTAGTTTTTATGAATATACACGAATGCAAAATAGAGTACAAATGTATTCAGATGACTCAAATGACTTCCCCGCAGCTCGTTTATACAGATGGTGCAAGAGACCGAGAGAGTTAAATCCACAAACCTCCTTCACACTAATCAGTCTTGAAAGTTTTCTTTTCTCAATTCTGTTTGCAGGTCACCACAGAGCTGCTTCCCAAGCCAATGAAAAACCACACTATAACACAGATGGAGTTTAAAGGATGGATCCTTTTTCCAACATGTGGCTTCCTGTAATTTAAGGGAATGTTATACAGGAACAATTAAAATCATATATCAAAAAGGGAAGCAAAGCTCAAATAGTTTCCTGCTTTATCAAATTTCAATAACTGTTAAAAAAAAAAAGGTCCCATATATTTAAATCCCAGACACTATTAAGAATAACTTTTTAACTCCAGCAAATTACAGGACTTTTATGTGATATCATTTAATAATTACTAATAACATTTCTAATGCTAATATAGAATAAAAATACAGAGATGCTATTATTTAATAATTTCTGCTGAGTTCATCTGAAACATTTTTTAAAATTTTGTTTCAATATTTAGCAGTTTAAGTAGCTAGGCTTATGGGTAATAATCTTAAATCTTTCTATTATTTTTCATACCATATGTTAAAGGTGCTGTTTCAAGCACAGAGGATTAGCTATAATATAACTGTAGTTCGCAGTAGCTTCCATTAGAGTTACCATGTCAGTTATTATTCAATTAGGATATTTTTAATATTTTTAATTTTTTTTATTTTTTGGAGACAGAATCTCACTGTGTTGCCCAGGCTGCAGTGCAGTGGCATGATCACCGCTCACTGCAGCATTGACCTCTGGGCTCAAGTGATCCTCGTGCCTCAGCCTCCTAAGTAGCTGGGAATACAGGTGCACGCCAGCGTGCCTGGCTAATTTTTGTATTTTTAGCAGAGGTGGGGTTTCACCATGTTGCCCGAGCTGGTCTCAAATTCCTGGGCTCAAGGGATCCACCTGACTTGGCCTCCCAGAGCCAACTAGGATGTTTTTTAAAGTAAGAAGGATGCTACTAATTACACTAGAACAAAATGCTTAGACTAGTACCCTCCTGGACAAATGGGGACACAAGGTCACTCTACTTTTCAGGGAAAGGAGGCTAGTTTTTTGTTTTTTTTTAAGTTACAGTTTTGCTTTATAAGAGGAACAAATAAATCTAAGTGGGGAGACAGGAAAAATCACCTGCAGGATCAGACAGTTTTATATGTAAAATAATAGTGTATTTTATATGTGAAATATACACTTTTATATGTAAAATAATAGTGTATTTTATATGTAAAATAATAGTGTAAAATAAGAGTATCTCCATCCGCTCTTCTCTCACCCCGACTAGAAGGGTGAAGACTCAAGATCTGTTGCAAATGTTTCCAGTAACAAAAACATGAAGTCCAGCATCACTTGCATCACCCAGACTTTTCCTCCCACAGGTCTCTGAAGAGACCACCGGCTTCGTCCAGTCCACCAAGCTAAGATGCTGGCCGCAAAGGGAAGGGGCAAGTGCCAGCACTTCATGTGGAGCATGTTTCAGACCATAGACGAGGCTGTTAGGTCGGCTAACAGTCCACACTGGTCCCAGCCTACTGCAGGGTTTCCACGTGATCACTTCTGTACCGCCAGGGAACTGCCGCTTACCTGGGGCTGTGGCGTCTCAGTAGATACGAGCGGAAAATATCCTAGAAATGGGATAAGGCCTGAGCAGAATTAGAAACCGTGAGAAAGAACCAGAAGGCAATAAATTAAAGACAGTGAGGGAGAGGGGAAAAAAAAAAAAAGAAAGTTGGACCCAGAGATACGGTGGGACACATTTTGTTCCAAAATCTCAGAGACTGGTTTCCGAAGGATATCTGATGTGGCTTTCTGGCCCTAGATACTCTGTGCTTACACATCACCATGTCCCTGGAGACAAGCCTCCTACAGACTTTTCCAGAGCCATGATACATTTTTAAAGCTAAATTACTTAAGTTTTAGGTGTAAGGGAATCCATCCATGTTTGGTTGGACAAAGCAAGGTCTTCATGGAGTCACAACCTACATGCTAACTGTTACCTACTAATTGGTAGGTAACAGTTGCTCGTGTGATATCCTAAACTCAGACTCTGGAACAAGTGAAAAAAAACTGCCTCGGAGGAGAGGTTAAGTATATCTTAAGTATGTATCGATTATGAGAAGAGTGTCCAGTTTGCTTTTCCATGTCACTGCAGACTGTTGTCCCACACCGCCACAACCTCGGCAACTACGATACGCAGTTCAACAGAAAGTGCTTTGATGCCCTTGTCAGCGTGCATGCAAGAAGAGTGTGAATGGGCCGGGCGCGGTGGCTCACGCCTGTAATCCCAGCACTTTGGGAAGCCGAGGCGGGCGGATGACAAGGTCAGGAGATCGAGACCATCCTGGCTAATACGGTGAAACCCCGTCTCTACTAAAAATACAAAAAAAATTAGCCGGGCGTGGTGGCGGGCGCCCATAGTCCCAGCTACTCGGGAGGCTGAGGCAGGAGAATGGCGTGAACCCGGGAGGCGGAGCTTGCAGTGAGCCGAGATCGCGCCACTGCACTCCAGCCTGGGCGACAGAGCGAGACTCCGTCTCAAAAAAATTACACCTATGGAAGCAGGGCAAGGCTCCATACGGTGTTGTGTGCAGCCTCAGGGTTTCCCGAGGTGGCTCACAGGCGCAGCATAGGAGACGAGGGGAGGGCGGCCCGGAGCCATCTCGGAGGGACACAGTTCTCTTGACCACCTTTTCAGAATTTTGCTAAGACAAGGATTTGCTAAGACAAAACAAGGGTTTTACTAAAACAGTATAGCTCAGGGGTTAAACATGAACGCTCTGGAATATCCCGGACAGTGTGTGAATCCCAGCACCTCTACTCCCATTGTGGAGACCGCCGGCCTGTCCTATTGACGCTCTTCTCAGTTCTTCCTCCGGAACATGGGGAAAACAAAAGCAACCATCTCTTCAAAGACCTGAGACTAGTGCCTGGCGATTCATTAATGCTCAGTAAATATTAGCTATTTCTAAACTAATACACTATACCTGGTTCAGGGCTGAGCACACAGACAAATTCCTTTTTTTTAAATTTTCATTTTATTTATTGATTTTTTTAAAAATGATGAATACTTCTGTTCTTCCATAGGGTTTTCAGGAACAGGTGGTGTGTGGCGACATAAGTAAGTTTTTTAGTGGTGATTTGTGAGATTTTGGTGCATCTGTCACCTGAGCAGTATACACTGACCCCAATTTTTGGCCTTTTATCCCTCACCCCCTCCCACCCTTTCCTCCCAAGTCCCCAAAGTCCAGTGTATCATTCTTATACCTTTACATCCTCCTGGCTTAGCTCCTATTTATAAGCAAGAACATACAACATTTGGTTTTCCATTCCTGAGTTACTTCACTTAGAATAATAGTCTCCAATCTTAACCAGGTTGCTGCAAATGCCATTAATTCATTCCTTTTTATGGATGAGTAGTATTCCATCATATATATATATATATATATATATATATATATATATATATATATATATAAATTCCATCATATATATATTCCATCATAGATATATATATTCCATCATAGATATATATATATATTCCATCATATACACACATACACACACACACCAGTTTCTTTATCCACTCATTAATTAATGGGCATTTGGGCTGGTTCCATATTTTTGCAATTGCAAACTGTGAGCACACAGACAAATTCTGACAGGTGGTTAACCCCTAGACAGCTCAAAAAGTTGTGCCACATTGGATTATTATTTTTTATTGTCAGAGACAGGGTCTTGCTCTGTTGCCCAGGCTGGGGTGCAGTGGTGGGCTCATGGCTCACTGCAGCCTTGACTACCTGGGCTCAAGCAATCTTCCCACCTCAGGCTCCCAAGTAGCTAGGACTACAGGTGTGCACCACCATGCCCACCTATTTTTTAAAATTTTTTTGTAGAGATGGGGTCTCCCTGTGTTACCCAGGCTGATCTCAAACTCCTGGCCTTCAGCGATCCTCCCGCCTCAGCCTCCCAAAATGCTGGGATTACAGGCATGAGCCACCGCAACCAGCCTTATTGAATAACAAGCTCTCTCTTTTTCTCTAATTCCATCTCTGCTTCTCTTCCTACTCTTTCAATGATTACCCTTCCGAGCATTCTTAACTTTTGTAAAATCTAAAATTGATCACTATCTCCACCATTCTCCCAAATACAAAGACCTTAGACTGATTCAACTCTGTGCACAGACATTGGCTCACAGGTTTGAGTTGCTCAGTATTTTATTTGCTTGCCTCCTTTCTGCCCTCCATCATCCCTCCCTCCCTTCTTTCCTTCCTCCCTCCATTCCTCCCTCTCTCCTTCCTTCCCTCCTTTTCCTGTCCCTCTTTCTTCTGTTGCTGTTTTTTTTTTTTTTTTTGAGACGGAGTCTCACTCTGTTGCCCAGGCTGGAGTGCAGTGACGCAACCTTGGCTCACTGCAGCCTCCACCTCCCGGGTTCAAGCAATTCTCCCGCCTCGGCCTCCAGGGTAGCTGGGACTACAGGTGCAAGCTGCCACACCCAGCTAATTTTTGTATTTTTAGTAGAGACGGGATTTCACCATGTTGGCCAGGATGGTCCCGATCTCCTGACCCCGTGATCTGCCCACCTCGGCCTTTCAAAGGGCTGGGATTACAGGCGCCCGGCCCTGTTGCTGTTTTAAATAGTCAAACCTTGTTGAGTTTACCTGAGTTTACCGGTTTCCTTGTTCAGTATGAGCTGGCCAGTTCCCTCGGGTCTGAGTTGCTAGCTTAATGGTATGCGCAGGTGTATGGAGCTAGACCTGTATTTTAAATGAGACTGAAGAGCCAAGAAATACTATGTAATATTTCAGCTGGAAATTAATTTTTTTCAAACCTAGAAGCTTCTCAGGCTGTATAGTCTGCCATATTGTGGGAAATAGAAGCAAGTAGCTCGCTTTTTCTTGTATGGCCTCTAAACAGCAGTAATCCCTTAACAATCAATTATGAAATCCATCTTTTCATCAAAAGAAGAAAAAACAGAAAGTATTACCACAGAGAAAACAAAGGTTTCCAGCCATCCTTGAATATTCTCTCTCTCTCTCCACATATATATGGAAAGGAGGCAGGTGTAGAAAGAGGGGAGGTGGCCTGGTATGCCTGGCCTCAGACTCAGGCCTGCCGTGCCCCAGCAGACCCCATTCAAGTCCCCGGCCAGGCCCTTTCAGGGCTGGGCCCTCTGACTCGAAGTTGCTGCAGAAGAAGGGAAGGCCTCCTTCACGGAGGCTCAGGTCCATCAAACTTTGCTAACTTCATGCTTTTGTTTTGACTGTCTGTTTGTTGAAGGTGATTGTACAGGTTTGCAAGGGCTGCTGTAACGAAACACCACACACTGGCAGCTTACACAGCGGAAACTGTCTCACAGTTCTGGGGACCAGAAGTCTGTGATCAAGGTTAAGAGCAGGGCTGTTTCCTCTGGGGGTGCTGCAGGAAGAGCCTGCCCCATGCCCTGCCCCTGGCCTCTGGGGCACGCTGGTGACCTCTGGCATTCCTTGGTTCCTGCATTACCGTCCCTGTCTGTGCATTCTCCCTGTGTGCCTGTGTCCCAGTTTCCCCTTTTTATAAGGACACCAGTCATGCTGGATGAGGGCCCACCCTACTCCAGTACAACCTCCTCTTAACTAATGATATCGCCAACTACCCTATTTCCAAATAAGGTCCTATTTGGAGCTATAGGTGGTTAGGACTTCAACATATGAATCTGTGAGGGATGCAGTTCAACCCCGATCAGTGTCGTTGAGGACGATCCTTTAACTCCCTTGGACTGATAAACCAAAGCCAAATTCATTAAGGAAAAAAAATAAACCAAGCAAAAGACGGTCCAATAACGCATCGAGAACATCTTTGGCAGTTCATCAAAGCAAACCTTCCCTTTTGGGTAACTGTGTTTTCCTGACAGAGGAAGAAGCCAACTTGTTTTCTGTGCTCCAAAGAAAGGCAGCATTTGCCCCCTTCCCCAGCACAGAGCCAAATCAGCCCCAGGAACAAGCAGTAAGTCAGCATAATTGCGGGTTTGAGCACCATCCAAAAGAATGAAGTGGAGGAAAGGCGTGGGGAAAAGGTAGCACTTGAGATGTTTAATGCTCATTAACAGGAGCAAGAGTCTGTCTCATTCCTGTGCAGACTCTGCAAACCTCTGGCTTCTGCTTTGCCAAGCCCCAGGGCCCAGAAATAAGCAAGTCAGAATAAGAAGTAACCACGGGATTGGCAAGGAGCAGGCAAGAGAATTAATCCAGGTCCCAATTAGGCGGTGCTGCCTCAGTACCAGCCTCGAGCCCTCACTTGCAAAGGCCTCCTCCTCCAGCTCCTTCAAGGTCGGGAGGAAACAGGACATGGGCTCATGGTACCTGGGACCCAAGTGGCATGCCAGAGAGGTACAGAGTACAGAATGCAGAGCCAGCCTGCCTAGGTAAAGTGCGCTAGCCACTGACTAGCTGTGTGAGCATCCCTGGGCCTCAGTTTCCCCGGCTGTAAAACGGGGAAAATAATAGAATTCTCAAGGCTGCTGTGAAGCTTGAATAAGTGAATCCATGTGAACTGCTTAGAACAATGCCTGGTAGAGAGCATTATAAATGTTAGCTACTATTAGTAATGCTTAGGGGAAGGGTCTAAGGAGGGGTTCTTGCTCAGAGCTTTGAATCTTCATCCATTGAAACATGAAGCTGTCTCAGGGGAATGAAAGACAATTGAAGGTCTCCAACACCATATTTTCCTCCCGGTAGGGTAGAAAGATACACATGGCCCTAAGATATTTGCCTAGCATTCTACAGTATTAAAAAAGAGCACCAGGGCCAGGCGCAGTGGCTCACACCTGTAATCCCAACACTTTGGGAGGCCAAGGCAGGAGGATCACTTGAAGCTAAGAGCTCGAGACCAACCTAGGCAATAAAGTTGATACCCTGTCTCTACCAAAAACAAACAAACAAACAAAATTAGCCGGGCATGGTGGTATACACTTATAGTCCCAGCTACTCAGGAGGCTGAAGCATAAGGATAGCTTGAGCCTACGAGCTCAAGGCTACAGTGAGGTATGATTGCACCACTGCACTCCAACCTGGGCAACAAAGCAAGACTGTCTCAAAATAAAACAAAATAATAAATTTTTTAACAGCATCAGCTTTGGAGCATGGATGTAAGTCCTGGATCTTGCACTTATTAGAGGTATAACCTTGAGCGAAGTCCAAAATCTCTGCTAAGGCTTTATTCCCTCCAAGGCAAAATGGGAAACAGAGCTCTCTCCTAATGTTGTGTGAAGAGTAAATAAGAGCGTGCATGCAGGGCGCTCAGCAGGGAGTCTGCTAATGATGTGTAAGTGTCCTTCATTAGTAGGGATATGTCTGATCCTAAAGGGGAAAGGCCTCCAGTAGCTCACACAGTACCTTTTGGACAGTTAGAGGGAATAAAGAGTTTCCTTTCTAAGGAAACATTAATCCATCTCTCCAAATACTATAATCTCTCCAAATACTAAATCACTAAATTTATAACGGCCTAAATTGATGGTGTCTCTGACAAATGGTTGTCCTCTTAGCTATGACGTCCCTGTACAGGGAAGAAGTACATAACTTTTTTTTTTTCTTTCAGGCGGAGTCTCATTCTTGTTGCCCAGGCTGGAGTGCAATGGCACAGTCTTGGCTCACTGCAACCTCCATCTCCCGGGTTCAAGCGATTCTCCTGCCTCAGCCTCCCGAGTAGCTGGGACTACAGGCATGCACCACTACGCCAGACTAATTTTTTTTTTGCATTTTTAGGAGAGACAGGGTTTCACCATTTTGGCCAGGTTGGTCTTGAACTCCTGACCTCAGGTAAACCTCCTGCTTCAGCCTCCCAAAGTTCTGGGATTACAGGCATGAGCCACCGTGCCCAGCCAGAAGTACATAACTTTATGCAGTAGCACTGAGTTGATCCACCATGAAAAAGAATCTCAAGATGGATAGGAACATAGCCTTCAAGAATCTGGCATTATTCTTCGTGTGTAGAAGGTATTGAATGCACATCTGTGGGAGGGAGGATGAGAAAAAAGATGGCAGAGTGGGGTTGTTTTTAAGGACTGCTTGCTCTGTGTTCAACTAATGAGACGTCTGTGCTTGGGGAATGGCTGTTCAAAAAGAAAAGTGGTATTGCAGAGAAAGATGCTTAGAAGAAAAAGACCTGGTCTTTTTCTTACCACACTACTTACCCCACTACTACTTGCATCTTACTCCAGGACTACTTGCTTAATTCCAGTCTGGCTGCCTTTCATTCTGCACCTGGACGGTGCTGGAACAGAGTGCCAGGAGCTGCAGACACATGGTTATTGCTCAAACACTAGCTTTTTTCCCCTTTCTCTTGTGTCCCTAAGTGTCCTCAATGGACTCACAGACATGCAGGCAGAATTTCTTCTCAGTCTGTATTACTGAAAAATCCAGGTAGTCCCCTGCTTAGAAACATTCGATTGTCAAATCATCTCTTAGGTACAAGGCCTGTCTCCAAGGAGGCCTTTCCTCATTCCCCCCCCTTTCTGTTGTGCAATCCTAGTGACCCTGATCTTGCATCTGCCTACACCATCCAGCAACCATCTGAACCTTCACCCTCCTGATCTTGCATCTGCCTACACCATCCAGCAACCATCTGAACCTTCACCTTCCTGATCTTGCATCTGCCTACACCATCCAGCAACCATCGGAACCTTCACCCTCCTGATCTTGCATCTGCCTATACCATCCAACAACCATCTGAACCTTCACCCTCCTGATTTTGCATCTGCCTACACCATCCAGCAACCATCGGAACCTTCACCCTCCTGATCTTGCATCTGCCTACACCATCCAGCAACCATCTGAACCTTCGCCCTCTGGAGGACCCTTCTCAGAGCCCTCGTGTCCACCCTGTTATGTGGGCCTCCATCTCTGCAGACTCATAAGCTGGGGCCAGGAAAGGGTTCCCTCCCTCGGCCAACAGTTTCAGGTAATGGGGCAATGAGATGCGTGTTGACACTGGAACTCTTATTTTTCCACGCAAACATTGTTATAAAGGGGACTAAGGTCCTTCACGGGTTTTGGGAATTTGGCTATTGGTCAATTATCATCAATGAACTTTTAAAAACAAAATTTAAAGAGGAGGTCCTGCAAAGCCCACAGTAAGAGCATTAAACACCAGTGTATATAAGGAGCAGGACCTTGGATGAATGGACTATCGGTGAAGGGAGATACAGAAACTCCACTCATCCATCAGGCTAGACATCCACTTTGTTTAGCTTCCAGAAGCTGAGGCATTTCCTCTTTCTTCCTCAGCACCATTAACAAAGCAAATGCGAGGCAGCCGGCACCCTGCACAGCCTCCACAGATGGAGGGGCCTCATTTGTCTCGCTGCACAGAACCAGAATCATCATCACTCAAATACAGCAAGGAGGCCACAGGCAGGAGGCAGTGACCACGAAATGCAGGCCTTTGGACATCTGAGTGTTCAGCCCTACAAAACAGCTGTTCCCGCTCTCGGACTGATCAGCTACATAAGTCCTCTGTCTCTCTGTTGCTCTCTCTATATTTTTTCTGAAACACTTGTCCTTCTTGGACCAGCCAAAGCCAATGGCAAAGAAAGGGTAAAACAAATACACACCAACAACAAACAGTATGAAAGGTGAAGAAAAAAAGGAGCTTCTCCAAATTCTGAAAGGTGGGTGGGGGGCGGTGGGCGACTATACTCTGATGGGGGAGTAGGAGGAAACATTTTAAGCAAGTCACAAGGTGCGTCTGTGGCCCCAATTACCAGAAGACACGGGTTTTTATTATGCCCTGGAAGTCAGTCTGACCTAGATACAGCAAGCCTTAAACTAGTTTCAGCTCACATGTCTCTGCGCTGTTAGGTCTGGGATGTGTGGCGACGGGGACGCGACGCCCAGGCACACAGCTGTACTTGGCTGGTTTGTTTTCTTCTTTTCTCCCAGTTGGCTCATTCACCAAGGTTTACTTTCATGACCGCTGCTCTCAGGAAAATCCTGCTTCTGGATTCTCACTCCCGGGATCCCACTCTCCCTAACGTTTCTCTAAGGCAGACAATCTGGTTTCAGCCAACTTGACAAACTTGTAGCTTTCTCATCACAACAGACAAGTGATGAGGACATTTCGGTTTTGTACCCTATATTCTGCAGCACAAAATGTCACGCCAGCCTAAACGTATGAATGGGATGGGATATTCATTCAACACCTGCTCGCGGCTTCTGTCACTAAAGAAACGTAAAAGCAGAAGTCAAAGAAATGAGAAACGCCTTCACAAAAGGATCCCACAAAAGGATAAACCTGTCTCCTCTAAAATCCTTCCCTGGAATATAGTTTGTAGTGAATAGGACATGTATCTAACCATAAATTATTTTATTTGTTCTTCCTTTTAAAACAGAGACAGGGTCTCACCATGTTGCCCAAGCTGGTCACGAACTCCTGAGCTCAAGCGATCCATCCGCCTCAGCCTCCCAAACCAATAAAATATTTTCTATCTCATGCTACTAAACCGGACCCTAGGAGCTCAAGGTATTCACATCTGCTCACACTAAAAAAAAAAAAAAATTAGAGACAACCAACAAAGATGACCCAGTCTTTCTCCTTTTCTGTGGTGACAAGTTTTTTAATATACTGATACTCAAATGACTTCAAGGGATATAAAAAGAACAGCTGCAGTGCCTTAGAAAAGCATCATGTTAAAATTTACTAGTTTTGGGCCAGGCGCAGTGGCTCGCGCCTGTAATCCCAGCACTTTGGGAGGCCGAGGGGGGCGGATCACCTAAGGTCAGAAGTTCAAAACCAGCCTGGCCAACATGGTGAAACCACATCTCTACTAAAAATACAAAAAATTAGCCGGGCGTGGTGGCGGGCGCCTGTAGTCCCAGCTACTCAGGATGCTGAGGGAGGGAGAATCACTTGAACCCAGGAGGCGGAGGTTGCAGTGAGATGAGATCGCACCACTGCACTCTAGCCTGGGCGATGGAGCAAGACTCGATCTCAAAAAAAAATAAAATAAAATTTACTAGTTTTGGTGGAAAAGAGAAAACACTCCAAAATTAAGCGACTATCTAGCAAATTCTTCATTAATTGTAAAGTCGTGTCACATTTCATCAGTGATACTGAAGAAGACCTTTACAGCACCTCTCCTCATTCCATTCACCTAAAACACCCATCATTCTTAACAGTTTGTTTCCTCTTCGAAAGGGAAAACACATTTGAAAATAAAATGACTATATAATATTTATAACAGGTCGGCCAGGCGCGGTGGCTCACACCTGTAATCCCAGCACTTTGGGAGGCCGAGACGGGTGGATCACAAGGTCAGGAGATCGAGACCATCCTGGCTAACACGGTGAAACCATCCCTACTAAAAAACAAAAAATTAGCTGGGCGTGGTGGCAGGTGCCTGTAGTCCCAGCTACTCGGGAGGCCGTGGCAGGAGAATGGCATGAACCTGGGAGGCGGAGCTTGCAGTGAGCCGAGATCGCGCCACTGCACTCCAGCCTGGGCGACAGAGCGAGACTCTGTCTCAAAAAAAAAAAAAAATTTATAACATGTCAAACAGAACAACTATGGGGTATTTAATAACATTATGGAATTACTTCTAATTTGCTTAGGTTAGTAATAGTATTGTAGCTATTTTTCAAGGGTCTTTATCTTTTAGAGCTACATGCTGAAATATTTATGGATGAATTAATATGATGTCTAGATTTGCTTCAAAATAATTGGGGGGAGGAGGGAGTAGATGGGGATATAAATGAAACATGATGACATTGCTGAAGCCGGATATTGGGTTTGTTTTTCTATTCTCTCTACTTTTGTGTATTTTAGAAATTGTACGTGATAAAAAGAAAAAAA
Organism: Homo sapiens; assembly: GCF_000001405.40. Classification (NCBI taxonomy): domain Eukaryota; kingdom Metazoa; phylum Chordata; class Mammalia; order Primates; family Hominidae; genus Homo; species Homo sapiens. Next base: position 183,883,010 of record NC_000004.12, on the reverse strand, counting down.
AAGCAACAGTTATATAAAATGGTCTAAATTTTAAATCTCCAACAATAACATTTAGCATTTCTTGGAAATGTTTCCACTGAGAATCTGGACAGAGGTAAAGAATATCATTAAATCCTGTTCAGAAGTAAGCTACCAAAAACACTGGTGCAAGAGGTGGGAAATTGCAGTTCTAGCCCCGGCTTTGCCACTGTCTAGCTTTGTGACCTTAAGCCTGTCTCTTAGCCTCTGTGGGCTTCATTACTTCATTTATATAAAACCAGTGCATCAGACCAGAAGGATTCTAAGGTCTCTTCCAGCTATAAGATTCAATGAAATATGAAGCCCGCTTAAAAGGAAGCAGCAAAAGTGTAACCCAGGCATAGTAAATCCTAACAGCTGCTACAACTCTACAGTGCATTTGGTCAACTACAAAAACTAAGCATTCAATCTAAATGTTGGGAGAAAGATATTAATCTGACATTGACCAAAAGCTTGGCTTTGTTCCACTTAATGCAGCTAAAGGTATACTCAAAATTGGGATAGAATGAAGTGATAGAAGTTAATTGAATTAGGTTTCACTGAACTCTTGCAATATCCCGGGATTAACCGACCCACTGGGAAATGAGAAGGAGTTTTACGTCTGGGAAATGCCCTGTTTTTTCTTTTATAATTGCTTTAAAAAGTGGGAACCTAGCACTCAGGAACCCATAAAGATCAATGTGTATTCAGAGTAAAGGGCCAATTAACAGAAAATTCCACACACAGAAAAACAGGGAAGGGTCTAACTGGGATCAAGGGAATGGCATTTTATCTCAGGGATTCAGTTTCCCAAATTCCATTTTGGGAGTCATTGTAAAAAGAGAACAGGCTGGAATCTGTTTTCGGACAAACATTTTCACTGTGATTTTCCAGAACAGTGAGCTGGGTATCAGTGTACAGTAGACCTGAAGTCCTAGTATCTGTCACTTACTCATACTTCTCACATAGCCCTGCTGGCCACAGCGCATATGTCCGAGTGGTGCCTTGGCTGGGGTCCTCATTACATGTAATTAATTCAGTTCTAGGTCAGCTCAAGTTCAAACCAGTCGAAATACGTTACTTTTAAAGTTGTTGGTTCAAATTAAGTTCCACTTCTAGAATGGAGAATACCCAAAGATGTCTCGATCTATGATAATTCTGTTCACTATCCGTCAGCTTTCCAAAGCTACGCAGATGATGGCACGCATGCCACACAGAGAATGAAATCAGATGAAAAGTCTATTTCGTGCTACGAAATTGGCTTGAGTGAGGATGAGAGCAATACAATTAAACATAGAAAAATTACTCTTTCCATGTATTTCTGCCTAAATATCATCTTAAACAGAGATTTCAATATTTTTATCAGGTTTTTCTATGCCCCGCTGTGTAATAATTCATGTTGAATTCTAGTTCTCAGAAGAAATTCCATTTAGTTATTTAACAAATATATAAGAGCTTAAAATGTGAGGCAGTGATGTCCTTTCCATTCACTGACCAAGCCTTTTCTTTTTTTCAGAAGGAGTTTTGCATTGTCGCCAGGCTGAAGTGCAGTGGTGCAATCTCAGCTCACTGCAACCTCCGCCTCCCAGGTTCAAGTGATTCTCCTGCCTCAGCCTCCAGAGTAGCTGGGGCTACAGGCGCACCACCACACCTAACTAATTTTTTTTGTATTTTTAGTAGTGACGGGGTTTCACCATGTTGGCCAGGATGGTCTCGAACTCCTGACCTCGGGATCCGCCCACCTCAGCCTCCCAAAGTGCTGGAATTATAGGTGTGAGCCACTGCACTCAGCCAGCCTTTTATTGTTCTCCACGACTGGGACTAAGATTTCCTCACCTCTTGATGGTGTGGCTGCACCTCTTTCCTAGACAATCTCTGAGCTTGCGAGTAACTTCAGCAGCCCTTGGGGAATTCAGAAAAGGCAATTTACTTCAGTCTCATTGAAGGCAGAAAGGCTCTTGAAGAGACCTGTACCACCCTACAGCTCTGTTGATTATATTTAGAGAATGTTTTCACTCTTCTTCCCACAGCCAATGAGACAGACGTTAACAGCTTCACACAATGGTCTAAATTTTAACTCTCCAACAATCACGTGTATTTCTTGAAAAAATTTCCTCCTTAGAGTCTGTACACAGGTGAAAAAAAAAATCCTGTTCAGAAGTAAGTTATCAAACAGGCAAAAATATTACCCCACAATGTTCTTTATCTGTCCAAGGTAAAATGCTAAAATTTCATGTTGGTTGTTCAAATTGTAAAATGAGAGGAAAACATCTAACAGAGACATTGTCAAGGCTTTCTGCTGTCTCTTTCACAAACTTTGCTGGCTCCATCTTTTTCTCTTCATCTCTCATTTTATCAGACGAAGGCCCCAAGTTAATTCTAACCTAAACATTTTAGTGCCATCTTTTCTGTTCTCCTAGTCTCCAAACATACTTTTTCTGGACATGTTGAATGTAGATGAAAAAATTATCTTTATCTCTGATCTGGCTGTGACATTCTCTTCTTAAAATTCTAACAGTAGCTTTCAATCAATCGTTCTGCAAAATTCACAGTTTTTCTCCTCCATGAAAAGACTTCTGGCTTGTTTGATCAGTTGGTTGGTTGGTTGATTGGTTTATACCTGGATACTTTAGAATCAAATCGTCTAATAACTGAAAAAGAAGACTTTTAAATCTGAAGATTTTTAAATCCATCTGCTCCTGCACTCACAGTATATGGATAAAGAAACTCAGCAGGGTACGGTGGCTCATGCCTGTAATCACAGCACTTTGGGAGGCCAAGGCGGGCGGATCACCTGAGGTCAGGAGTTCGAGACCAGCCTGGCCAACATACAGTGATACCCCGTCTCTACTTAAAAAAATACAAAAATTAGCTGGGCATGGTGGTGCATGCCTGTAGTCCCAGCTACTTGGGAAGCTGAGGTGGGAGAATCGCTTGAACCCGGGAAGCGGAGGTTGCAGTGAGCCAAGATCATGCAACTCTGGGCAACAGAGCGAGATTCCGTCTCTAAAAAAACAGAAAAAAGAAAAGAAACTGAGGCACCAAATTCCTTTCCTAAGGCTGTAGCTAGTTAGCAGCACCAAGTGGACTAGGCCCTAGGTCTCTGACTTCCGACGTGGTACGATTTGCACCATGTCGTACTATCGCCTCTCATTGCCATGCGCCATCCCCCCACGTTCTTCTCAAGTACACCCCACCCCTCTTCCCTGTATTTAGCATCCTGCTCCCATCCCCCAAGCCTCCTCCAAAGCTGGCCATAGACCCAACAGGTTCCCACTAACCCTTCCTTCCACTCATCAGCAGCAAATCAACTATGCCACTTGAGCCCCCTAAATCTGGGCTCCAGATTTCTCCAAGAAATTAATAGATGGAGTTGTCCGTGGAGAAATGGTGAAAGGTGCCACACCAACGCGAGGCATCTGACATTGCCAGGGACAGAAGAGATCATGGAGATGCGGCTCACTTAACTTACGGCTACACAAGCCTACCTGATGTTAGGGCCCATGAGAAGAGAAAGTCACTCACTGTATCCCAGCGCCCAGCCGCATTGTGAACTCGTGCGATGCACAAACACCCGAGAAACTATTCATTGCCGGAGCTCTGTGGTTTCCTCCAGAGTGAGGCCAGCATAGAGCCACCGTGTGCTTCTGTTTTTGCTCCGTGAGGACACTGCACAAATATGTCCATGCTTGATGTATGGGCCGAGAGCAGAAAGGCGTACAAGGGATGTGTGTAGGGCTCATGGAGGTGAAGAAGGATGAGATGGTGAGAGAGAGGGTGGCAGTGAGCCCGGGGACATGCCTTCGCGAGGCTGGCCTGAGGCTGCCTGGGGTCTCTACACATAATTCTCACCAACTCCTTCACCCCATACACACGTCTAATCTTCAAACACTAAAATAATAACAAACACAGATAATTTGGGAGAGATTTATGGCTCTTGATCTTTTACAGAAACAGGCTGTGGGCACATGAAATTGATCTGTAAGTGCCAAGTCCTTTCATTACTGTGGCTGTTCTTTTTTAATAACAGACACCATTGTGCAGATTTCAAAATAGTTTAGACCTAAAAAAAAAAAAAAACTATCCATGAGTAAAGAACAATTCTAGAGAGCAGAGCTTTCACTGTAAATCTTTAGGGAAAAGAAAAAGAAAACAAAATAGAAAAACTCAGCTCACCCCTTACGGGCCATCCTTTGTGCTCCTAATCTCAATACAAAGGTTAGGATTAAAAGCATTGGCATTAAAATAGCCTGCAGTTTCTGCTTTGAAGTCTAATGATGACAATAGCTAAAATCTTTGACAACTTTTGAGAAGGCAGAGTCCTTCAAAGTCCTTTGAAATGTTAAATACTAAATTGAAGAGGTCGTTATACAGAAAATTTTTTCATTAAAGGTGCACAATGAACATGCTTTTTAGATTCACACTCATTTGGTTTTCTTTCAACACCAAGATTGCATGTATGTTCTCAATTTGCTATTGTCTGTAATTCTAATTCCAAATCAAAATCAGGACCCAACTTGCTGGATTAAACCCAGAAAACGACTGTTAAAACAGAATAATTGGTCCTTATGAAGTGACAAATATTTCTTATTTTGTAGCTGCTTTTCCGTGGCCAAAACCACCAATGAAAGCTTAAGTAATAGCTGTTTCAAAAAACACCAAAAAACAAAACATAATGAATAAACTTGGAGCAGCATTACAAGGCCTGCATTTTAGTTTTTCTTATTCCTGGGAATTCTACAAATGGCACCTTTACCAGGCAGGTTCACTGAATCTAAAAATGTCTCCAGCAAGGGCAGGCCATGGCAGAGTTGTATAAATGAAGCTTGCACTGGACAAGCTCTTCTTAGATCTCCTGGGTGCAAATCACAGCTCTTTCCTCTCCTAGCAAGCAAGTGGCCTTGGATGGTTCCTCAAGCTTTCTGCAACTCAGTTTCCAGGTCTAAAAACTTCAAGTGATAATTCTTACCTCAAGATACTGTTGTCAGGGCTTAATAGGATAAATTATGTGAAAGTGTGGCATAAGCCAGGTACTGTGGCTCACACCTGTAATCCCAGCACTTTGGGAGGCCGAGGAAGGCAGATTACTTGGGGTCAAGAGTTCAAGACCAGCCTGGCCAACAGGGTGAGACCCCGTCTCTACTAAAAGTAAAAAGAAAAAAAAAATTAGTCAGGTGTGGTGGCAGGCACCTGTAGTCCCAGCTACTTGGGAGGCTGAGGCACGAGAATCACTTGAGCTCAGGAGGTAGAGGTTGCAGTAAGCCAAGATCGCCCCACTGTACTCCAGCCTGGGAGACAGAGCGAGATTCCTTCTCAAAAACACAGCAGCAGCAGCAGCAGCAGCGGAAGTGCGGCATGAGGCAGGTGCTTAAAATTCTTAATAAAGTTAATAACGCTTTATCCTCAACCAGAAACTCAAAGCTTCCATGCGTCCCACTCCACTGTGCAGAGCACGCATACAGAGCATGCAAAACGGCTCTGCAACAAAGTTACAGACCCTATTTTCTCCCTTGGTCAAAAGTAATCTCTATATGCTCTGATCCATTGATTCTTTTGGTCAGTGAATTAACCTGAAAACCAGATTCATGCTAACATACTGGCTGGTGTTCATGTTTCCCCTACTCCAAAACATTTTAGCATCATCTTTCTGGAAATGTTTGGGATCTGGTTAAAATGCAGATCCTGTAGGTCTGTGTGCGGACCCGAGATTCTTCATTTCTCTTGAGCTCAAAGGAGATGCTGACGTGCTGGTCCCCAGACCATACGCTTTGAGTAGCAGGACTTTAGTTCAGGGGATAGCAAGAATCAGAGACTCACAGAACTTAGAGCTAAAAGAGATTGTTTTTATCCCAAAGATGGAAGACTCAGCAAATTCTGCCCACATATAATTTTTTTAGTTTTGGTCCTCATCATATTTTTTGAAATTGGGTAAGTTTTACAGATTTATAGCATTAAAAAAACCCAAAAAACACAGTCTCATAGTATGGGCCTTTTTTCCTGAAGCCGAGTGGTGGCCCTATAGAGGGGCCACACATTCTCCAAGACCCTCCCCAACACAAAGACTGAACGGCACGGCCATGTTCCAGGATGCAGGAACTACTGTCAACCGTTCTCAGTCTAGAAAACGCTTCTCCATTCGCACTCACAATGGAACTCACAGGGCTTTGTGCACGTTTCAAGAAACGTCAGAATAGAATGCCCGCTTGGCCCACTTCACTGGTTTACATGACCTTCCTGGCAACCCCACTCGCTCTGCAGACAAGAAAGTGGGAGGCGCAGCCGTGAACGACTTGGCTCAGGCCACAGGGCTGGGCAGCAGAGAGGAGGGGAGGTGCTGGGTCCCCTACGGGACAATGAGAACTACTGACAGCTCAGCAGGCACCCTGAGCGGCTGCCTCCATACAGGTGGGGCCTCAGCACCTTTCAAACCACTGGCGCTGGCAACCTCTCCTTGCCATCCCGGCTCAACATGACTAACTACTTTCACTTTTAAAAACCTCCTTTCTGGTGCAGTTCCATGTCTGGTTATTAATACCATAAACAAGGAATACCAAGAAGCCTATCCGTCATCCACTTACGTCATCCACTTATCTGACCTCCTGGTCAGAGCCAACCAGGAGGCTGAGCCAAAGCTGGCATCTCCCCCAAAGGAAAGGAGCCCAGGCCTCCCGGGCCTGCTGCACACTCTCTGGAAAGCCATTACGCACAGCCTTTGCAGTCTGGGAGGCTGCCAAGAGCTTGGGACCTGGCCAAGTCAGGGGTAATGCATCAGACCGCCTGGGAGTCGCCCCTTGAAGTTCAAATTGTAGACAGTCTCTGTCAGAGAACTGTGTGGGCCAGACACAGGGTTCAGGTGTCTGCAAGACGCAGAGCTTGGGTCATCAAGAGATCTGCACCTCTTGGAGAACTCATGGGGATCAAGGTGAACATAGGCAACATGCACCTGCAACAATTCTAGCTGATATGGGGCCTCTGGTCAACAGTATCTAAAGTATTCATGTGGCCAGGTGCAGTGGCTCACACCTGTAATCCCAGCATTTTGGGAGGCTGAGGCAGGAGGATCACTCCTCCCTGGATGGACCTGAGCAACATAGTAAGACCCCATCTTTACAAATAAATTTTTAAAAAATTAGCCCAGCGTGGTGGCATGTATCTGTGGTCACAGCTGCTCGGGAAGCTGAGATGGGAGGATCGCTTGAGCCTGGGCGGTCAAGGCTGCAGTGGGCCACCATCATGGCACTTGACTCCTGCCTGTCTCCAATAATAGCAACAACAATAATGATAAAAGTACTCATGTGAGACTAAAACGAGCGGAGCTCATCCTCTCAAGACCCAGGTTTTAAGTATACCCTCCTCTTCCATCCTTCTTTGACAAAACACAGGCTGCCACTCAATTTTCTTAGAGGGCTTTGCAAAGGAGACACCAGCTACTGCTGCATGAAAGGAGGAGGCTGCAAAGCCCGCTCCACCAGGCCTCGGGCTCCCACACAGTGAGAGGGAGCCCTCCAGGGAACACAGTCCCGACTATCACAGGCTCCTCCATAAAATGGGAGGCTTCGCCTGGGGCAAACACAGACTCTCCCTAGAAAAGCCACTGGCCTCTGCGGAAGTGCTATCAATAAGGAACAGAAAACAAAACCACAATTGCCTCCTTCCCCTGCCCCATCTTCTAAAACCCCAGCCAAGGTATTCACCACCACCTACCATGAAAGCCTTGAGGAAGCGGAGGGAAGGGAGAGAAAGAAGGACTTTCCTTATTTTAAGAGAATAAAGACAAGAAGAGAAATTTAGAACTCAGTTTCTCCACAGTCCCCATCACCCTGTAATAATATGGGCATTGTTGGTGACTACTTGAGACAAATGTTGGTCAGGGAAAGAGGCAGCCCAGGGCCACTAAGTCTGCAGACAGTGGAAGGACAGGAGCTCTTGAGATGTATGTGACTCTGTTCTTGAGAAATCACAGAAACCAAAGCTATCCCACAACATGTAAACTTAATTCACACTGCAAAATTCTAAGTTTTATATATATATATATATATATATATATATATATATATATATTTTTTTTTTTTTTTTTTTTTTTTTTTTTTGAGGCGGAGTCTCGCCATCGCCCAGGCTGGAGTGCAGTGGCATGATCTTGGCTCACTGCAAGCTCCGCCTCCTGGGTTCACGCCATTCTCCTGCCTCAGCCTCCCGCGTAGCTGGGACTACAGGCGCCTGCCAGCTCGCCCGGCTAATTTTTTGTATTTTTACTAGAGACGGGGTTTCACCGTGTTAGCCAGGATGGTCTCGATCTCCTGACCTCGTGATCCGCCCGCCTCGGCCTCCCAAAGTGTTGGGATTACAGGCGTGAGCCACCGCGCCCGGCCAATATATATATATAGTCTCTGCATATATAAGTGCCCTGTTCTACAGATCAAGAACAAAAATGCTATTAGAAAGAGTTCTGTATAATTGCTTAGAATAATAAGTACATTTTAAAATACACAACAAAGGTAAAAGCTCATTAATAATCTTCAGTCCTCCTGAGACTCTGAGCTTTCCAGGAGTCAATCAAATATTGCAGTTGCTTAAAGAGAACCTCTGTAAACCTAAGGACTGTCCTCCTTCTCTAAAAGGGAGCAAATACAAAGAGACTTTCTTATTCAGTTATGACTGCAGGGAGGCTAGGGTTGAAGAAAATAATAAAACCCCCTGCACAACCAAAGAAAAATGGCATGCAAAAGGGTCACTTTTACCAAGGGATGAAGCCTTTCTCCCAGTGTCACTGATAAGAAAATATCCCAAATGGGGCTACAGCTCCAAAAGTGGGTTGGACACATCCGTGACATTTTTTTTTCTCCAAGTCTCTGCAATCTGTTTCTTGCCATCTGCTAAGATATTGGTACAACCACATCTGAGTCAGAATGCCCATCTCTTAGGAAAGCAGAATGATTGTCCGCTCGCCACTTACTTATGGGAGCCACAGGCCACACTGTCTCAGATATCCAGCCCATGTAGGGAAAAGGATGAGGTCTCATGAAACAGAAGGCAAGTACCCGGACCTCAGCTGAGCAGACCACAAGTCTGGAGGAAGCTCATCCACGCTCTCCAATTGGAGGTGTCGTTTCAGAGTCATGACAGAGCACTGGAGTTACAATCCTGGGGAAACCACCATTTCCATGGTGTGCAGCCCTGGCAGCTTTGTGTTTGTACAACTACAGCCCTGCCTTACTGTGGAGCTTCCCTGGGCAATTTTCAGGAGAAGCACACACATAATGGTGATGAAACTAATTATATGCCTGATTTAAGTAGCTTTCTTCCAAAGAACTCAAAGCATGTTCATGTGCATTGTCTCACTTCCCGGTTTCAACATACCCAAGAGACAGTAAAGGGAGGCATTACTATCCCACAATATCTATGGAAACAACCCCCAGCACAGTGCTCCAGGAGGAAGCTTGCATGCTGCGTGTGTTACTAGCACAGTCACCATTTAGTGCTTGTCAAGGCAGGCTCAGCACCTTCTGGAAACCTAGAATGCAACACCCAAAGAAATCAACCAATCCTCCCTTTTTTTTTTTTTTTTTTGAGACAGAGTTTTGCTCTTGTTGCCCAGGCTGGAGTGTGATGGTGCGATCTCAGCTCACCGCAACCTCCGCCTCCCAGATTCAAGCGATTCTCCTGCCTCAGCCTCCCGAGTAGCTGGGATTACAGGCATGTGCCAACACGCCTGGCTAATTTTGCATTTTAGTAGAGACGGCGTTTCTCCATGTTGGTCAGGCTGGTCTCGAACTCCCGACCTCAGGTGATCCGCCCACCTCGGCCTCCCAAAGTGCTGGGATTACAGGTGTAAACCACTGCGCCCAGCCCAATCCTCCCAATTTTTATATGTGCCCAACACAAAAATGCTTATAGACAGATCTGAACATACCAACAGGACATAACATGCAGGGAAAAGACTTAGACTGTCTTTGTATTAAAAATAAAGAGCCAGCTTCCAAAAAGTAAGTAACACTTTAAAAATCTGAGAAGTAACATTCACAGCTTATAGACAAGTTTCAGAACGTGACTTTCTGAAACGTTCTGTCTTATCATTGATTCCATGGCCTTCATGGTTTTTCAAACTTTCACTAAAAGCAAACAGCAGAACACAAAGATGACGGACTAATCTCATAGAGCAGATCTGAATTCCAAAGTGTCAGATACATGGACATTGCAGGGTGAGAAAACCCAGGATTAAAAAAAAAATAATAAGCAGATGGCCAATGAGTTAGGAGGACCAGAGCCATCAATTTACGTGGGTTTATCTTGTTTATTTACTCAGCTATTGGCCCAAAGCAGCACGCTTACCCTAGCAACAGCTATGTCATATGCTTCTGAGCTTGCCACACACCCGGCTTCTAATTTTAAAAACCACCACTTCACAATCTGCAAGAGGCCCCTTTTATGATCGATGTTAAATATGCTATTTCAAGTCTCTGACACATAGCCTTGATATTTCTGCCTTTATTTACATTTTTAAACACACTTGTGATTTTTTTTTAAATACATAAAAAGTTTGTACATATTCTGGAATCTGGCTATAATTCTTCCTTTAGAGTCTATGCAGCAATATAATCCTAAACTGAAGGTGTTTCGAATAAGGCAGTCATCTTGAACAAGGTCCAATGGTTCCACTTGGCCGGGCACAGTGGTTCACGTCTGTAATCCCAGCACTTTGGGAGGCCGAGGCAGGAGGATCACCTGAGGTCAGAAGTTCGAGACTAGCCCGGCCAACATGGTGAAACCCCGTCTCTACTAAAAACTACAAAAATTACCTGAGCATGATTGTGGGCGCCTGTAATCTCAGCTGTTCAGAAGGCTGAGGTAGGAGAATTGCTTGAACCCAGAGGCAGAGGTTGCAGTGAGCCAAGATTGCGCCACTATACTCCAACCTGGGCAACAGAGTGAGACTCTGTTTCAAAAAAAAAATGATTCCACTCGATGCCATGCTGTCTTGGCACAACTTATAGTTTATCCAGATGATAGGGTTTTTTTAATACCTGCAGCACTTCATATTAAGTTATTACATTAATATATGAGGCGCAAATTTTCATCCTTACAAAAGAAATTAAGTTGGATACATAAGATCCTCTATCTCTCTTACAAACCCATACTTCTGTAGTGAATTATAGCTGCATATTTTTTTTTTGGTATTGAATGTTTCATAAGAAGAGCTCACGGTCTGTCAGAGAAATTTTCCAAACGATCACTTATTACATAAGGAATTCATTTTTTCCCCTAAAAAGAACTGGGCCTGAGGTGGTAGTTACAAGGCAGAATAATCACAAGCAGATGTAAAAATACTTACACAAAGTAAAAAAATAATAATAAAATAAACTTCATATGTTTTGCTCCCTTAAAAAATATCAGATACAGTGAGCAGTGAGTTGGCCGCTGATTGTCATTAATTGCCATTATTATGTGCTGCTGAGGGCTCCTAATGGCACTATTTTTCTGAGCAATGGTTTTATATTATTTTTCTGGCACAAAAGCCTGTTCACAAATACCAGAATGTTCTCATACCAAAACTAAAGTGACTAGGAGATTAAAAGCAATTAGTGTAATTTTATCACTGGCATTAGTACTGAAAGCAGATCAGGATACCTGCTTTTCAAGGTTCAAAAACTTTTTCAAGTTGAGCAAGACTTGAAAACAGAGCAGGAAATGCCTACCAAAGGCATTCAAAGAAGAAAGACATTTGCTTCTGAAGGGCGGCCAAGGAGAGGACAAAGAATTCTTATTCCCTGAAGAGAGTCCACAGTAGTTAGAGAAAGACAGTTAACAAGGTGTGGGCACACCTGGAGAAGCAGGTCTCACTGCAAGGAATAAAGACTGTGCTCCCTGCAAGGATGGTATCTCCCTGTTAGATCCAGCCAGGAATGGCACCCACTCACCAGAATAACACTCACTGCAGTCTCGTATTAGTTAAAGCAAATAAGGCCATCTAAGAATAAAAAGGTCGTAAATAATTTTAGGCAGCCATCCAGTAAGCCACATATAACCAGTATCTTCATGATTTCTAGGCTTCTTAAGTTTAACTTTCAGGATAGAATCATATAAGATTTCAAGCAAGAACATTTTTACATTCAGTAGACTATGAATGTGGACTTGTTAATCTGAGAGAGAAGGAATCCTCTTAGAAAGTTCACTTTTATATTTTTAAGAACAACAAATGGGGTTCTTATACAGCATTTCCACGTTCAATATAGTAATTACTGAAATTCTTCTCCCCCATCAGTGCAACAACTGAAATTCATAACTATGTCTTTGAAAGACCATATAAAGACAAAGCAGCTATGAAAATCACCCAAAGAACATGTTTTAAATTTGAAGATTTTTATTACTAAGTATATTGTACTCTCATTCTTATAATAAATATTTTTATAAATTTTAAGTGAAAGAGCACACAGGTGCCCTAGACTTAAAATTTATAAACCACCATCATTTGTAGAATGCATTGTCCCAATAAACAATATTATAAAGGGCAACTCATGGTGTAGTTCAGAGTACAAAAAACCAACATAATCTCTAATGTAGGTGAAATGACTAAAAGTGCAAGGCTATTAATATACTACTGGTAGTTAAAATAGCTAAAAACCATAGTCATCTAAACTGTATTTGACGACCTAGAAAGAAATGGTTTTAGGGTTGAACAACGCTTTTCGTTACTACAAGCAGTCATTTACTCACAAATGAACTCTTAGAACACAAACACTTTTATACAAAACACAATCACATGTAGTGTTAAAAATGTCGCGCAAGTTCCCAAAGCCATTTTAATCATACTATGGCTCTGGTATTTTAGTACTGGTAGAGTATATAACAACATAACAGTTTGGAGATACTAGTATGAGACTATCACAGCTGCATATGGAATAAAATGGGCTTCATTTCATCGTAAGTACTGAAATGTATTCACTACTACTTACAACGATTTTTTTGCCCACGGAAGTATGAGTTCTGAGACATCCCAAATCAATCAGGCCATAAACAAATTTTGGGAAAGATACCTTGGCTGCTTTACGGCCTGCTTGTGAATCAGAAGCCCATTCCTTGGTCCCGCCCATTCCTTGGTCCCACCATAATTAAGCCCAGAATACAGTACAAAAAAGAAGCAAGAAAAAGCATCTCTGGGATTCCACTGATGACTGGGAAGGATTGTTTTTAAATAGCTTATCAATGTTTCCAAGTATATGGGAACTTCCAAAGAATGGTCTCGTACATAGCTTTAAATAGTCACTGATTGTTTCTACTTACACAGTTACAGAATCTCACAAAAGTAATTCTAGTCCAACTTTTGTCTAAATAATCACAAAATTTAGAATTAGTGAAGCCAAAATTAATAAAGGTAAATTCTGAGATGCCAAGCTAATAGTGTGATAAATGACTATTCTAAGTATTCTGAGAGTTGGGTCTAATTTCACCTTTATTGATTTAATCTAAGGAATGAAAACATTTTCTATTTTCAAGGCTGTGTAATCATCTGTTATACAGATATATTAATACAGATCACCTCAGATAATAAAAATATGACTTAGCAAGTTGAAAAGGTGATCCATTATAGCTTTTAACCTTTCACAGGATTCCCATGCTTATATTAAAAAAAGAGCTTTAAAAAAGCTGCTTCTACCCCTCAATTGATATGCACCACAGATATGGACATGGATTCTGAACAGCTCTCAATGACAGTCAGTTTCTAGGCCCATCGAACAATTCTGACAGCTTTATTAAGTGGTGGTTTGTATTTTCTTTATTGTCCATTTTCTTTCCTCGTCATGGAAAATTGTGTTATAAAGATAGCACGGCTTGCTTTCTTTTGTTTGTCAGGTATACTAAAAAGAGTCTACATCATACCATACTGGGAAGTTTTAATTTCACTATCCAGAACTTTCACACAGCAAATAAATACATAATCAGTGTTTATTATTTAAAGTTTCAGAAAATAATCTGAATCTCCCAGAGCTTCATTCTCATGTCTTACCATGAGGAGTAATATCAAAGTCAGAAGAATCTGGGGAAATCCTCAAAACACCAAATAAACCAAAAAGGTTCAAGGATATACTCACTGTATTGTATTAAAGACATATTTTTATCAAAAGAAAAGTGGGGAGTGACTTACCCTTTTTCTTTTTTAATAAAAGGGCTTACTCTTAACAGAAGGGTTTACTTTTAATAAACTAGAACATTCAGTTAAGCCGGACATCTTATTTCCACCCATTTGAGGTTTTGCTACGAGGAGCTATACACAGCTTGCTGCATTCCATGAAGTCTTGAATTCGAGTAAGACATGAGAATTGTTGCACTCAGGAGAAAAACTGAGCATCTAAATTTTTCCAGCCGTCAGGGTCACAGTGCTGCTATATTATGCCTCCTCGGGCTTAATCAGCTGTTCCTGGTTTCCCCAGACTTTTCAAGTCCACCTGAGCAACCTTCACTCAAGTCGGGACATTCGTCTTTGGGGCAGGTTCTGCCACCTCACCAGCATGCCCAGATGACCTGAGGAAGATCTAGGTAACTTCCATTATCCAACTCATACATAGAGAAACAATTTTTTTTTCTTTTTTAAAGAAACTGAGTCTCCATCTGTTGCCCAGGCTGAAGTGCAATGGCACAATCATAGCTCACTGCAGGCTCAACCTCCTGAGCTCAAGCAATCCTCCCTCCTCGGCCTCCCACAGTGCTGCGGTTACAGGTGTGAGCCACAGTGCTGGCCCTAGAAACAATGTAAAGAAATGGTTGTCCATGGCTCTCTGGTATTCTGGCCTCCTTTCTAAAAATGTCACTAAACTGTATTAGCAAAGTAGTTTCTATGATCCACTGAACTGCCATCTAAATGTTTTCCTAACATTTCTCCTCAGATGCCACCGAGAGGCTTCAGTCATGGCTTCAGAAAGGCTTTCAGGACAATTACAGACTTGCTGAGCAAGTGGTCAAGCCCCAGATCCAGAACACACTCTAATGTTCGAGAGGCATAGGTTGACACAACATGTTAACTTGCTTCTTTATTATGCAAATTTTACACTACAGGAATAAAAAAGCAGAGGGAAAATTCTGACTGTCCCCAGCAATCAGTTCTTCCTTCTTCTGCATCCCCTGAGCCATACCGGTGCTCTATTCTAGCTCTTGGCACTTGTAGTGAATTGCATTCCTGTCTGCTTCCCCCTTGGGGCTGTGAGGTACCTTTCAGGAGAAGCTACTCAACCTTTGTGTCTCTTGAGCCCAGCACAGAGCCTGGAGCAGCAAGGGAGCACGATTAATACTAATAGACTAAAAGTGATTGCACACGCCAAGAATTAACTATATGGGAAAAGAGCTAGGAAGGGAAATATACCCCGACTTATTAAAGGAAACTCCTTCTCAGGATGACAAACGATGGATAACCTCAGATCTCTGGCCTCATGTCCCACGGTAAAGCAGGATCATGGTGGGGTGGGCCACTGCTCCGAGTGACTATGACACTTTAATATGCTTTTAATGATGAAGGGACCAAGAACAAATGAAACACAGCATTCGCTGAAAGCTCATCTGGCAACGTTCCCTCAGCAGCCCTGTCCAGGAAACGTATCTGCTGTGTCCCGATCTTGGCCTTTCTCCTCGGGCTCTCGGCTTAAGAAGTGCCAGCCTTTCACCCTCTCTTCCATGTCATATTTTTGAAATCTCTGTTTATCCTCTGGGCAACCAGTCTCCCTAAGTTTTAAAGGTAATCTGGGAGTTTCAAAACCTTCTGAATTTTAGTAAAATTTCCTCAAGTGACAGCGGCAAATGGAGATGTAGAGAAAAACTATTTTCTAAACACTGGGTGTGCCCACATGGGTAATAGAGAGGGCGAACATGTCACCACCTTGATCCACTCTAAACTCTGTACAGTTGCTTATAGGCAGCTCTAGAGCCGAAACAACATGGTGATTGAAAGCTTGGACACAGATCCTTCCACATGTAAATAGTGCCCACTCATAGGGGGAAAAAAAAAAGAACTATAAACAAGAGATGACCTTTTTCTAATTTGTATCACGGAGTATCAAATGTGAGGGTAAATTGCTTCAACTTCTATTCATGTTGATTGACAAAATAAAATACATTGTTCTTTTTGTTTGTTTGTTTGTTTGTCTGTTTTGAGACAGGGTCTCCTTCTGTTACTCAGGCTGGAGTGTAGTGACCCAATTGCCACTCACTGCGGCCTCCAACTCCTGAGTTCAAGTGTTCCTCCCGTCTTGGCCTCCCAACGTGCTGGGACTACAGGCATAAGCCACTGCGCCTGGCACCTGTCTAGGAGCTCCAAAAACACAAAGTGTTGAAGTTTTAGAAACACTAACAAGAGGCTCTGAAACTTTAAGATAAAGAACAATGAAAGGAAAAGCAATGACATTCAATAATGCAAACACATCATTGCCGGGATCTGGCACAGTAATTCTCAGTAATTCTCATCTAACTGGGAGAATATAGTATATCCCAGCCCCTCCCCCTCCACCATCCTCTTCTTCATAAATCAGGCAAAATGCCTGATTAAAACAGATGGCTCTTAAATCAGATGCCCTGCAGCTCTGAAGGCTGAAGCATCCTACTCAGAACACCAGGAGAAACAGGATCTTAAGATGCCAGAACAGGTTCTCCATGGAGAACATTCTTTCCTCACTCATTATAATATGATTTCTTCAGGCTGCCAGTGAGAGAAACCGGGAGAGAAAGACCACTAGGAAAACCAGCAATTAGGGTTTTTGGCAAGGAAAGAACAGGCTCGGGGTGGGCTTATCTTCTTGAAATAAGCTGAGCACTGGATATAAGAGAAGGGGCAGAGGGGTGGCCACTTGAAGGGGGACAACAAGAGCTTAAGGCCCCTCCCTATATTATTCCTTCACCGCAAAGAATTAAAATTAACTTTGAAAACAATTGTTCATCAGCACGTGTATCTTTCTCCCCTTCACCTATGCTGTGGGTTTTCTCTGCTCCTCATACCCAGGTCTGCTGGGAGTCACCAAGATCATTAGATCCATGACAATCTCAGTGGAACCCTCATTTTATTCACCTGTGTCAACTCCGTCTTCCATTTTTCCTAAAGCCTAATCTTTATCACGCCACTCATCAGCTTAAACGTTGTTTTAATGGACTCACAATGCCTAAGTGGTTAAAAAGAAAAAAGCCTTCCAAAAAATGACCCCCAAATCAAATTCTGTCTTTGTCTCCACAAGACTTCTCCATGCAACCTACAACCAGGGTTTTCTTGCCTTCTAGCCTGTGTTCATGCCATTTCGTTCCCCTCCTTGCAACCTCCGTCACCTCCTCTTCCCCATCCAAACTCCTAATTCTGTCTTATTCTTTTAGCATAAATCACTACCTCCTCTTCAGTGAATTTTTTTCTTTACATCCCATAAATTCTTTCTATCTACGGTCCTGCAGACTCACCTGAAATTAGCCATCCTCATTCCTGTATCCTATAATGCTTTTTGATACTACTAACAAGGTCTTTTATTAAATTGTATTATAATACTTATCTCCCCAAACAGACCGTAAGCTCATTTAGAGAAAATACGGGCTTTTTATTCATAGATGCTGACACCCTCTATGTGCTTAATATGTTTGTGGCAGTTTCTATAGTAATTGTTCATGCCTTTTCTATAGTCTCTGCCTAACTCATGAACCAAAAGACAGGTAAAACAGCAATCCCACCCACCCCAGTCACTTTAAAACCGAGTATCTAAGAAGAGAGAGAATAAATAATCAGATTTCAAAACAAAATATAAACTATTTTTTTCATTCAATGGAGTTTGTGCTGTGTACAAAGCCTAACAAGGATTAAACACATGGGCACACAAATGCACATACAGGTGTGAGCCTCAAGTAGCAGAGACAGTACATATGTGATAAACCATAGGCAGCAAATATTCATAATACGGGCTAAGGCAGGGTACAGATGATAACAGCTCTAAGAGAGATTCTTTGTGGATTGTGATGGTCAGGAAGGTGTTCCCAGGGTAACTGGGATTTGGAGAACTGTGATCTTTCATACCGGAGCAGAAGAAAGAAAAGCATTTTAGATTTGCTGGGTAAGAATGGAGGAGAGAAAGAGAGTATCATAAGAAGAGATTTAAAAGTAGAGAAACCTGAAGTTTTTTGGGAAGATTATAAAACAATTAGTTTTGCTGGGACGGATAAGTGAAGTGGTAGTGGGACACATTGCTAGAGGAGTGGTTGAGGAAAATCCAAGTTGAGAGGTTTGGGTTTGATCTTACTTCAGCATCAATCCTACTTGGATTTGGATTGTTATCTACAAGGATATATATTTACATAAAAAGAGTCCATTTGGCCGGGCGCAGTGGCTCTTGTCTGTAATCCCAGCACGTTGGGAGGCAGAGGTGCATGGATCACTTGAGGTCAGGAGTTCGAGACCAGCCTGGCCAACATGGAGAAACCCCATCTCTACTAAAAATACAAAAATTAGCCAGGCATGGTGGTGGGCGCCTGTAATCCCAGCTACTCGGGAGGCTGAGGCAGAAGAATCACTTGAACCCAGGAGGTGGAGGTTGCAGTGAGCTGAGAGTGCACCACTGCACTCCAGCCTGGTGACAGAGTAAGACCCCATTTCAAAAATAAATAAATAAATAGTCCATTTATACATCACTTGTAATCATCTGCACCTGTTTTCATAGAGATTACTCTTCTTTTAGTTTTTTTAATCCAAAGTAGGATTTGCAGAATAACATTCCTGAAAGGGGCTGAGGTAGGCATTCAGGAGTTAAATAAGTCTGGAAAATAATAACTGTTTTATCTCCGTTCTGGAGAATAACAGTGCATGTTAGGATAGTAAAGGCATGAGAAGTCCTGCAGTAAACAGCCTCGTTTACCTCTGTATTTCCTCATATTTCAAAACTTTTTTTTCTGAGAACCTAGTTTGGGAAATGCAGAACTCTAGGCAATACAGACTATTAAAAAAAATAACATTCACATACTTTAAAGTGTGGACCACAGAGTTAAAATGAAGGAGGAAATACAGATGGAGCTGGAGCTGGAAAATGAAGAGAAATGAAGGTGCTAAGAGGTCTGAACATTCTGTTTCGAATTAAAGTCAACCAGACACTCTTCCACAAACTGCCAGAGCTCAGTGGTTCTGTGAACACCTATCAAAAACATTTCCTCCAAGTTCAGATACGGTTGTGTAAATCCCTAGGCAAGAGCAAACAAAAAAAATTAAAAGAATAATAATCTGTATGAAAACAGGTATAAATGGTTACAAGCAATCTAGAAATGGACTCTTTTCTATGTAAATATGTAGCCTTGTAGGTAGTAATCCAAAATCAAAGCCATGTGTGGTTTAGAACATTTATCTTTTAAACCAGATAAGACTGGTTCCTGCTTTGAGATCCTAGAGTCCCGAAGAACAAGCCAATCGTCACGCAATACTAATGGAAACACTATGAGTTCAAAGGGCAAATTAACATTCGTGTACAAAACAGGAGTGGATTTATGATTTTCAACACTTTGAATCTCCATTCATCCAGAGTCTTCATTCTACGCATATGGAAGTGCTTTACAAATGTTGTTTCTAATCCTTTCACACAGAGAAGACTTTCAGGCTCAGAAAATCCTTGAACTCTTTCAAGAGCTCATTTAGTAAACACTCTATAGCAGCTCTCTCAGCTGGCGTTTTCCAAGTGGCACCTCCAGAACTTGCATTCCTTGAGATGTCAATGGACATGGCATACAAAAGAGCTCCTATGGCCTGGTGTGGGGGGCACAGTTCATGGGTTTCCTTACTGCAGAGCTTCTCAGAGGCTTTACAGCGTTCCACATTGGGACTCTCCAGGGCTGGGAGGCACTGTGCTCCATGTCCACGTCACTCACCCAGGACCGCTTCTTTCATGAGTCCTGTACGCCACCGATGTTCTCAGATGACCTTGTGGGAGACACAAGGCTACCTGCTTCCTGCAGGAGTTGGCTTGTTTCTTAGGTCGGAAGATCCTGAACTACGATGACATGAGCAACCTAAACATCCCCAGTGAGATTGGTGGGCTCCCTGGTGTGGTAAAAGGAGTTCTGCAACAAGCCTTAGGCCCTCCCAGTGTCTGTCACCTCCTGTCTGACCGGAAATAACCACGCCTTCCTTGTAGGCCTCACGAGGTGGTAGTGACGGTCCAGGGAGGCCCTGTGTTTACAAGGAAACCACACTGTCCAAGTCCCACAGGGCACCGTTAGAGAGAGGTGGTGGGGCGCGATCCCTCCCTCTTCTGAGTTTCCTTGGTTTTTCTCAGGACACTAATTACCCTTGATCTTAAAACGCAATTTGCCCCCAAAGCCTGTATCGAGCCCTCAGGGTGTAAACCCTGCCGACTCTCGCATGGCTTCTTCTTGCCACTCAAATGCGTGCCAGCCTCTCCCGCCCAGGGGCCTCCCACTGCTCCCTCCCATGGACAGCTCCTCCCTGGGTCTTCCCATTGTCACTTCTTCAGAAGGGCCTTCCCTGGTCACCCTTGTAGAGGCACCCTCTGACAGCTGTCTTCTGGCCCATTCGGGTATTTTATTTTCCTCATAACACTTAACATTGGCTGGGCACAGTAGCTCATGCCTATAATCACAGCACTTTGGGAGGCCGAGGTAGGCAGTTCAAGACCAGCCTGGCCAACATGGTGAAACCCTGTCTCTACTCAAAATACAAAAATTAGCTAGGGGTGATGGCATGTGCCTGTAATCCCAGCTACTAGGGAGGCTGAGGCAGGAGAATCGCTTGTACCCAGGAGGCAGAGGTTGCAATGAGCCGAGATCGTGCCACTGCACTCCAGCCTGGGTGACAGAGTGAGACTCTGTCTCAAAAAACAAACAAACAAACAAACAACAACAACAAACACTTAACGTTATCTGAAATCCCCTCATTCTCATATGCTTTTGTTGTCTGGCTCCTGCCTCTGAAACCTAAGCTCCCTAGGGCAAGAACTGTGTGGTCTAGAGCCTGGGATCTAGGAAACCCTCACGAAGTATCTGTTGAGTGTTAGAAGTTTAGGAAAATGGCTACATTCGGTAAGAAGGGAAGGGGAAATCGTGTGGACGGGGAGGGATGAGGCTCCTGTGATCCTGTAATGTTCTAGTTACCACCTGGATGGTGGTTACGTGGGGCTTTGCACTTTGAATCATCCACTGAGCTGTAAATTAATATTTGGGCTCTTCCGGGTCCTAATTTAAACTAAAATAGTTGTTGGTATATTAGCGTTTAGATAATCATAAATATAGGAAAAATGATAACTGCTACTATTTTTGAGGACCCACAATGAGCCCTACGCCCTGCGAGGCACTTTACATATATTGTCGCATTGTGTCTTCCAAACATCCCTACCGGTAATCACCACAACCCATTTTACAGATGAAGAAGCTGCGGCGCCCAGGGACCAGGTGACTTGTTCACGGTCACACAGCTAAGATGCAAAACTGCAATCCCAAGCCAGTGTGTTCCAACTCCAAAATCCACACGATCTACAAAACCCTGCCTGAAAGTCGCTTCTCACGTCAGAACTGGTATTTTGAGGTGTCCTTGTCTCTCCCTAGAGGCTCTCGCAGGCTGAGAGGCTGAAAGCTCCCCGGTTCTCCCTCTTCCTGGGTATCTATGAACATTACAGTGCAACAAACTTCACCATGGCGGCAAACAGCAGCAATGGCCAGACAAAGACAGGGGCCCCACTGCAGCAGGGTGAGGACCCCCCCAAGGTAACGGGACAGTCCACTCCCACCTGGGGGTTTTGTTGAACCTCAGTGGTGGGGGGCAGCTCCTTCTGAGATCTAGGGGGTCCTGTCTGCTCCTGAATTTGAAATCTGACCAGGTTCTGTGTTTTTCTCCCTGTCATTTTGAACTTCTTTGGAAGAAACAGCACTTTTAGTTAGGAGCGATCTGGAGAGAAAGAAGTAGTGGGGAGAAAATGCACTTTGATAATTTTTTTCCCAAACAGCTACTTGCATGGTTGGATTAGTGTACCGTAACAACAACTGAAAAGGATTTGTTTCTCCAAATAAAGGGTCACCTTGGAGCGATTAGCATGGCTGCCAAAGCGTAATCCCTTTGCAAACAACTAATGGCGGCACTGACAAGTTCCTACAGGAAGATGCTTGGCAGGCGAGCACTGTGGGAAAGGCTGTCTTCCACCTACGGAAACTCGGATGGAAATGGAATCGTTTGCTTTTCCTTCCGTGTGTCTGAGAGATTCCCCCAGTGTTTTTCATACAGGGGGTTTTTCATAAAGGTGTCAGGCCCCATCAGAACTTTGATGACAGCCACAAACATTATCAAATAAATAAAAAGAACGGCCTTTTGTCTTACCTTTGAAGTTTCCTTAAGTTACTCTGAATAGCATCTCCCTCTGCCACGTTTCCTGTCTCTCGCATAATGAGATACTTTCTAATTAGCATATCACAAATATTCCTGATTTTCTTTACAAGTCCCGATACATTTTTAAGTGTTTCTTTTAAAGCATATCAGGATTTTTCACACTCTATAAAGAGGTAGGGGAATTCAAGCAATGTGTCAACTCAATTCTCCAATTTTTTCTTCTTTTTCTTCTTTTTTTTTTTTTTTTGTTTTTTGTTTTTTGTTTGTTTTGTTTTGTTTTAAGCCAGCTGGCAGCATGGAATAGTGGGAAGGTCACAGCACTGAAAGCCAGAAGTCCTGGATTGGGGTTTTGGCTGGGCCACTAATTAGCTACGTCATTTTAGGCAAATTGCTTCACTTTTGAGGGCCCGTTTCCTTTTCTGTATAATGATGAGGCTGGACCCAGTGAGAAGTCCCTCACAGTTTAAAGCACTATGTTCTATTTGTGAAGCTTAAATCATTCCTCATCTCCCTTTACAAAAACTGGAAGAAGTTATTTTCTTTGATTTAAAAATTCACAGTGAACTACATCCTAAATAGGTAGACATCGGTAAAAAAAAAAGAATATGATTTTAAAGGGACACAGATATTTAATTGCAGAATTATATATTATCTTTAAACAGCAAAGAGGCTTTTTGACTAGTTTTAATATACTAACAAATACATACACACACACACATTCTAATCTGCCAGGAAATTCTGTCAGTAAATATCTAATCTAATCTAATCTAATCTGTCAGTAAACGCAACTGACATGAACAAATCCTAATATACAGAATATTGTGACAAGGAAAATAAAGTCCTAGATATCAAAAGTCTTTCTAGTCTTTGGTATAATAGGAAAAAAAAATCCATTCAGTTCGGTAAGATCATTTGGATCATCCCAGTGACATGTGGGTTTCAGGATTTGACTTGTGATATCAAAATCATAAAAATACAGAAATTTATCTTGGTTTCAACAACAAGTTCCCTGCATGCAAGGGCCATGCTGGCCTTCTGTGCGTCACCATTTGCTTTGTCTCATCAAAACTGTCCTGTGGGTGGGTGGAGATGGCTCCGTAAGCCTGTTCATACCCTGGCCCCGCCGCCTCTGTCATGCCAAGCCACACCAACACCCACCATCTGGCCCCTGCCCTTCCCAGGCTGCCCACTGCCCCCAGTCCCCTCTGCCACCCCTGAAATGCCTGCTGTCATCCTCTTTGGTCACTGCCAGCTGAGCTCTGTAGGTGCCTGTCACAGGGCAAGACCAGCTCCAATGTCACCCGATGGACACCCTTTCTTCCTCCCCAGCGTCGTGATCTTGCCCTGTTGCATTTGTCTGTTTTCATGGCTGTATCTGCCCTACTGCGGTAGGAGCTGGAGTTCGGAGGCACTTTGGTCACCTCTTCAGTCCCAAGACCTGGCAGCATGTGACACCCTACAACACTGGGAAGAGGGAGAGAGAGAATGGGCCAGAGCAGGGGCACAGCGATGAGCAAGGCACCGTGGGATCCCAGGAACTGCCCCTCCTAATCCCAAGGTGTAGCCTATGACAGCCACCAAGCTTGGTCCAAATAATAGATCTTATTCAGAGGAGAGAAAGAATCCTGAAGACTGAGAAAGGCATAAAACCTTTCCTATAGAAGAGGAATGTGGGGCGGGTGGCAGAGGGCCATAGGAAGCTGCCTGTGCTTTTCAGCAGAAGGGCAGCAAGACCAATCAAGTGTGAGAATGACTTAGGGGCGGTGTGTACAGTACACTGAAATGACGTAGAGATGAAGGGGCAAATTGCTTCCAATAATTATACAGCCATGAAAAAAAAGTATTATATTTCTAGATCCAGAAAAGCAATCATAGAAGCTAAGTATAAAGAAGTCGACTACAAAACAATATAGATAACATAATCATGATTTGTAAGACATGTTTCACATTTGGATAGATGAGGATATTTTGATAGATACACGGGAAAAAGTCTAGAGGGATAACTATCACAGCTCAATAGGGACATTATCTGAATGGTGAAATGTGTGGTTTTCCCGTCCCTCCCTTCCTTCCTTCCTTCCTTCCTTCCTTCTTTCTCTTTTTCTCTATTTTCTAATTATTTTCCACCATGAACATGAACCACTTGGGTAACTTTTTTAAATCTCTGAGGAAGTAAATACCCCATCTATAAATACGAAACAGTGCACGAATGAGGCAGGGAGGCTCCGGCCGTGGGCAGAGGCAACAGGAATGGAAAGTCGGAAGCAGAGCTGAGCGCAACGACAGCAGAAGAGCTGCCGGGTGGGTGGCTGACTGGGTAAGGATCTGAAGGGAAACTAGAGCTGTAGTGGGACTCCCAGGCTTGCAGCCCGCACAGGGCGGGAGACGCAGGTCACAGTGTCAAGAATGGGCCAGCAGCAGGGCACTTAGCTTGGAGGAACAGATTGTGGGTTTCCCTGTGGAGCTGCTTTGTCTGAAGTGTGGATAGGTCATCCGGGAGGCGGAGGGGCAAGGGAGAGCTTAGGGATGGGGCTGTGCAGTGAGGTCAGGCATGGTGCCCCCTGAGGGTCCCCCAGGGAGCCTGCACTTCCCCAGGGGTTGCCCTTCCAGCTGTGCTGGGGAGGCCTATTTACTACCCGCTCCTCACTGTGGACTCCAGGAGGCAGGGACCCAGTTTTTGCCCTCATCCTTCTACTCCAATGCCTGGATCAGTTCCTGGGGTATAAAAGGCACTCGATAAATGTTTGAGAAGTGAATGACTGACTCCTGTAGGGAGAGAAGAGTGGATGAATTATCATTATCCCAGGGAGAGAACAGGGGGATGGGCAGGACTGAAACCTGGGGATACCCTCAGAGGCATGGGAGGGAGCTGTGCCGCCAACAGCATCGATGCAAACAAGGACAGAGCAGCTTTCCAGAAACCAAGGAAGGGGGGCTGCAAAGCAGACAGGGACACCAGCAGCACTGGGGCAGAGCTGGAGGAGAAAGAGACAGGGCTGGGGGGAAGGTTCCTCCATTCCACAGCTGCCCGGGATTCAGGAGGTGGGAAGGACCCCAGAGGTAAGGGGTAACAAGATAAAAGGAATGAAAGCAGAACATCTTTTAAGTTATGTGGAGAAGAGGAAAAATAAGTAGATTAAGAAGCTGAATCGGGCAGAACCTCAAATTCGGAGATGACCTGCACATGTCAGTATGTGGAAGGCTGGGAATCCAGGCAGCCGTGGCACTGCCTTCAATGGGATAACCAGTCCTGCAGGATGACCAGTCCTGTGGGATGACCAATCCTATGAGGCAACCAGTCCTGCGGGATAACCAGTCCTGCGGGATGACCAGTCCTACGAGGCAACCAGTCCTATGGGATAACCAGTACTGCAGGATAACCAGTCCTGTGGAATGACCAGTCCTGCAAGATGACCAGTCCTGCAGGATAACCAGTCCTGCGAGATGACCAGTCCTGTGGGATAACCAGTCCTGTGGGATGATGAGACCTGCAGGATGACCAGTCCTGTGGGATGACCAGACCTGCAGGATAACCAGTCCTGCGGGATAACCAGTTCTGCAGGATGACCAGTCCTGTGGGACAACCAGTCCTACAGGGCAACCAATCCTACCAGGCAGAAGGATTACCCTAGAGAAGGGAGAGGAAGGCTTGTTTGAACTTCCTGTCCTCCAAACCCCTCCAAACCCCTCCCAGCCTCTACCACACAATTTAATCTAATTATCCACTCATCTCCCTCCCTGCCTCTTCACATGTCCTCTCTCCTCAGTCAGATGCCACAGACCAAATCTCCAGGACTTTCCAAAGTAAATTCTCAATAAGACTTGGTAGCTGACTGTTTTGGTCCCATAGGGTAAGTGTCAAAAAAAATAAAGCTACACACATTAATATATATGCAGTAACTATTAAACAGACACTACTGAAAAAAGACTATTTTTAAAGTAGCACTTTCACATCTCCCTTCCCTTCTTCTGTAACAACAAAACACCCCATTATTCTTGGGCAAGGGAGCTATCATCCCCCGGGGTCCGAGTCCGAGACAGCTAACTGCAAAGCGATGTTCACATGAACCACCCTACCATTAGCTGCAGTCAGCCAGGGGCAGGTGGCTGAGAGCAGGGACGGCTTTTAGACAAGGCTTTGGAAGGCAGATCCCTGAACTGCCCTTCAGTTTGGATGGAGACTGCTGAGGGAAGGTGGAAATAACAGAATTAATACCCTCACCTGTCAAATACGAGGTTAGCAAGTAAGTTGAATCACACACTACTTTAAGTGTTTAATGCTGAAAACTACTCATCCGAGTGTTCACTTTGCAACTGTTTGTGCGTATTTGCGTCTGTTCTCCTGAAGGGTGCTCTTCTGTTAGTGTAGCCCATGCCATTTCTTTAATTAATGGTGCAGATTTTTTTAGTTCATAGGCTCGTCTTGGGGGAGTAATGTCGACATGTGTGAAAGGGGCCGTGAGCCTTTCTGGACTCTTGGGTCCTATCTGATAAATGATTGCTTCAATACACTAAATGGGCCTCAGTGTCCTAGAAATCTGTGACCAGCCTATTCGAGACCCCAGGGTGCGCACTTAGGATGTTTCTGAGAGGTCCATCCCTGCAGCAAGATGCTACCACCAGGCCAGGAATGAGACCTAGGCTGGAAGCGAACTCAGAGGAGACAGGCCAGGGCAGCTGCCACCTTCAGCAAAGCTTGCCCTACTCCTGACCCAAACCAGAGCAGCTGTGGCCAGAGCATTCTCCGAATGTGCACCATAGGCAGAAGATTCCTATCAGAGTAGCATCGTGAGGCAGCTAAAATGCCAAATGTCACTTCAAAAAGAAGCCAGGATGGAAGTGAAGGGCCTGCACTTGCCCCACATTTGCACGCTTCCAGACGAATCATTAACATTCCTCAACACATCATTCCAACCATACCTTCCGCTGCATAGTCTTCTTCCTTGCTCACTTGTATTTTTGCAATAGGAGAAATCAACTATGCCTACTTAGCGCTTTCTTTTCTTAAGCCTTAAGATGCTTACATACACATTTTGAAAAGTATACTATAAACAGATTCATAATAAACTTCACAAAAGATTTTCCCACACTGAGGTTATTTTCAAAACATATGCCAAATAGACGACCATTCGTTTTTCTCCAATAATGAGCTTGGATTTCCAAGTTACCCTTGTCATAAGTTACACTTTCCAGGAAAAGGAAGTGAACATGTGGAAATGATATGAACGTTTCTAGGACACTGGGGCCCATTTAGTGTATTGAAGCAATCATTTATCAGATAGGACCCAAGAGTCCAGAAAGGCTCACGGCCCCTTTCACACATGCCTGCATTACTCCCCCAAGACGAGCCTATGAACTAAAAGAATCTGCACCATTAATTTAAAAAACGGCATGGGCTGCCCTAACAGAAGAGCACCCTTCAGGAGAAGAGACACAAATACACACAATTAAATTTCAAAGTGAACACTTGGATGAGTAGTTTTCAGAATTAAACACCCAAAGTAATGCGTGTGATTTCACTTACTTGCTAACCTCGTATTCGACAGCTGTGGGAATTAATTCTGTTATTTGCACCTTCCCTCATTTTAATTTGGCCAAATACTCTATTACATCACTCTGTGAATCTTAGGTTACCAAAGAAAAATATTGGGGTGAAGAGTTTCTTGCTTAAACATTAATATTTCAGGGGTTGCAAAGAATGAACAAATCTATCCATGGAACATTTCATATTCGGGACACTAGTCTAAGTATCAAAGATCTAAGATTTTAATGTTGCCAAACTAGCTAAGAATTGACAAATATTATACTAAATTCATATGCATGTTAAAAAAAACATTCCCTGTTTATAAGCAATCTTCCATATGTGTTGGATAGAAAAGCACTAAGCGATAATTGGCTGACTTCTCCAATCTGTCATTAATTGTCATTTTTAAGTTGAAATGATTCCATTAAATTGTATTTTCAGTGCTCTATATCAAAATCATTTATGAGAAAGTTTCTATTTCTCCATGAGATGTCAAATAATTTACCTAACAGTCCCATTTACATGGATGTAACTCTATTTTTATGTAAACATTTTAGGTAAATGGGCCTCTCTTATTCACTACTTGCTATTTTAAAACACTTTTACTTTTTATAAAAAATAATAAACTCACCATCCCCCCTGCCCCCTGCCATGAATCTAGTTTTTCAAGGGCTAGAGTTTAGGAGTTCAGGTCTAATATCTCTGAGCAAATATAAGCCCTGATTAAAACACACAGACACACACAAAAACATCTGATGTGAAACTTGCATGTTTTATGTTTAGTCTCTATCTATGAGTTTCAACTGCAGAGAATCTAACCATTGGCCCAAGTTATAATGTCAAATAAACACTGGGCAAAACCTTCTTCTACTGATATTTAATGGAGGTTCATGAGAAAGTACCTTCTCAAGAATAATAGAAAAGTCCAAGCTAAGTGATCTATGGTAGTGATGAACCAATTCATTATTCAAGACACTTATATGTGTTTGACGATGACCTTTCCACAAGCTTCAGGAAAGAACACACAACCCATCACATAAGAACAATCTGAAATCAGAGAGCAATTTACAGATAATTCTACATTTACAGAGAAATCGTGGAAGTATGAAGGCCTGGTATAGTAAAGGTTTGAAACAATGGGATATCCCACATGAGACATGCAAATAACCCCTCCAAATAAATCTGCTGTTTCAGATTATAGACAAGTTCTAACATCGCCAGAACAGAATAGTCAGGTTTTATGAAGCATTGTGTTTAAAAATTCAGACCAATTTCTGAGTTTCCTCCATCTAACAACACACCCCAGAGCTCAATATACTTACACTCCAGTCTGGGTCCTGGGTTTCTGGTTTTTGTAAGAGGTCTGTAAAATGTACAGATGGTAATAATCTGTGGCTTCCTTCAAATCCTGACGACTGCTGCTTTTATTCTCTCGATTTCCTTTGGTGCCAAAGATGTCGTTCTAGTCCAGAGTTACCGCATGTTAAGTGAAACTGCTGTCAACATTTTATTACATTCACTATTTCGAGTTTCCTGATAGCTAACTTAAACATTAAAGATAGCTGTAGTCTGTATATTTTTCAATCCTCTTTTTCTTTTTCCCTCCAAGGAAAGGTGTGGGATCTCCTTAAGCAGCCCAGAGATTTAAAGTTGTGTGTTTCCAGGCTGCATTAAAATAAATCCTAATGCAATTCATTTCTACCTTCAGACATTTCGTCCCTTCCCTGGTTGCTCTGGCAGTGTTAATTTTCCCACACTCTCCTGTAGTGGTGAACGACTTGTCTGGGCAAGTAAGATAACACTTGGGCAGAAGATTAAAAACCCACATTGAAGTCATTAAGGACCCACGGGGCTGGGCCCTGAATCCGCTCAGCACAGTCTCCAAACACTGTCACCTGACTTGAAACGCAAGGGAAAAGCCTGACAATGAAGACAATCTCCTTTCGGCATTTCCAGGACCTTAAGCCACCTGTATTTTATAGAAGAGAACAGTCCTTCAACTTAGATGCCAGAACAAGGAGGAAATGCCTTACTTTGATTTCATTTCACCTTGAATTATGGAATCTGGGAACCATTGCTGAGGTCTAGAACTAGGGTGACCGTAAGTCCCACTCTGCCCAGAAAAGTTCCTGCGTGCGATTATTCCTAATACTGCCTTTCCCACTCCAAAGTGCCCCGGGTTCATCAGTAAATGACTTGCCTACCTTATCTGGAGCTTCAACCTCAGTTCTGGGAAGTTCTTCACATTTGCCATCTATGTTTGAAAAAGCAGTTGACACCCATACCCTACAATCACAAGTGTGAATAACAACTTGACCATTTTGACCATCAGGAACTTATAGATTTCTACTCTCTACTACTTACGCTGACGCACCCTTACACCAACTTACAAAACCATTCGTTTTATTAAATAGGTTTAAATTAATTTCCTCTTCCTTATTAACATAAATCTTAAAAGTTCCACCGCTAAATGCAGAAAAAAAGAACCTCCCATGGCTGAAGGGAATGCTGCTTCCGAGGTACAGGGTGTGGTCAGATCGTTCAACCTAGAATTAACCTTGATGAGAGTATGATAAGGCAGCATCATCCTTTCCCTCATCCTTTCTCTCATCCTTTCCCTCATCCTTTCCCTCATCCTTTCCCTCATCCTTTCCCTCATCCTTTCCCTCATCCTTTCCCTCATCCTTTCTCTCATCCTTTCCCTCATCGTTTCTCTCAACCTTTCCCTCATCCTTTCTCTCATCCTTTCCCTCATCCTTTCCCTCATCCTTTCTCTCATCCTTTCTCTCATCCT
The DNA here is from genome assembly GCF_000001405.40 of Homo sapiens. NCBI lineage: Eukaryota > Metazoa > Chordata > Mammalia > Primates > Hominidae > Homo > Homo sapiens. The sequence goes on along the minus strand of NC_000004.12, from coordinate 183,852,371 downwards.
TTCCCTCATCGTTTCTCTCATCCTTTCCCTCATCCTTTCCCTCATCCTTTCCCTCATCGTTTCTCTCATCCTTTCCCTCATCCTTTCCCTCATCGTTTCTCTCATCCTTTCCCTCATCCTTTCCCTCATCCTTTCCCTCATCCTTTCCCTCATCCTTTCTCTCATCCTTTCCCTCATCCTTTCCCTCATCCTTTCCCTCATCCTTTCCCTCATCCTTTCTCTCATCCTTTCCCTCATCGTTTCCCTCATCCTTTCCCTCATCCTTTCCCTCATCCTTTCCCTCATCCTTTCCCTCATCCTTTCTCTCATCCTTTCCCTCATCGTTTCTCTCATCCTTTCCCTCATCCTTTCCCTCATCCTTTCCCTCATCCTTTCCCTCATCGTTTCTCTCATCCTTTCCCTCATCCTTTCCCTCATCGTTTCCCTCATCCTTTCCCTCATCCTTTCTCTCATCCTTTCCCTCATCCTTTCTCTCATCCTTTCCCTCATCCTTTCCCTCATCCTTTCTCTCATCCTTTCCCTCATCCTTTCCCTCATCGTTTCCCTCATCCTTTCCCTCATCCTTTCTCTCATCCTTTCTCTCATCCTTTCCCTCATCCTTTCTCTCATCCTTTCTCTCATCCTTTCCCTCATCCTTTCCCTCATCCTTTCTCTCATCCTTTCCCTCATCGTTTCTCTCATCCTTTCCCTCATCCTTTCTCTCATCCTTTCCCTCATCCTTTCTCTCATCCTTTCCCTCATCCTTTCCCTCATCCTTTCTCTCATCCTTTCCCTCATCCTTTCCCTCATCCTTTCTCTCATCCTTTCCCTCATCGTTTCTCTCATCCTTTCCCTCATCCTTTCCCTCATCGTTTCTCTCATCCTTTCCCTCATCCTTTCCCTCATCCTTTCCCTCATCGTTTCTCTCATCGTTTCTCTCATCCTTTCCCTCATCCTTTCTCTCATCCTTTCCCTCATCCTTTCTCTCATCCTCTCATCCTTTCCCTCATCGTTTCTCTCATCCTTTCCCTCATCCTTTCTCTCATCCTTTCCCTCATCCTTTCCCTCATCCTTTCCCTCATCCTTTCCCTCATCCTTTCTCTCATCCTTTCCCTCATCGTTTCTCTCATCCTTTCTCTCATCCTTTCCCTCATCCTTTCCCTCATCGTTTCTCTCATCCTTTCCATCGTTTCTCTCATTCTTTTTCTCATCCTTTCCCTCATCCTTTCTCATCGTTTCTCTCATCCTTTCCCTCATCGTTTCCCTCATCCTTTCCCTCATCGTTTCCCTCATCGTTTCCCTCATCCTTTCTCTCATCCTTTCCCTCATCCTTTCTCTCATCGTTTCTCTCATCCTTTCCCTCATCGTTTCTCTCATCCTTTCTCTCATCCTTTCCCTCATCCTTTCTCATCGTTTCCCTCATCCTTTCCCTCATCGTTTCCCTCATCCTTTCCCTCATCCTTTCCCTCATCCTTTCCCTCATCCTTTCCCTCATCGTTTCTCTCATCCTTTCTCTCATCCTTTCCCTCATCCTTTCCCTCATCCTTTCTCTCATCCTTTCTCTCATCCTTTCCCTCATCCTTTCTCCCATTTGTCACATGATGAAAGAATGGAGGAGAAGGTGGCAACATGTTCTTCTTCTTTTGACTTCTTCTTTTTTTCTTGAGACGGAGTCTCACTCTGTCACCCAGGCTGGAGTGCAGTGGTGTGATCTCGGCTTACTGCAGCCTCCACCTCCTGGGTTCAAGCAATCCTCCTGCCTCAGCCTCCCAAGTAACTGGGATTACAGGCACCTGCCACCAAGCCCAGCTAATTTTTGTATTTTTAGTAGAGACGGGGTTTCACCATGTTGGTCAGGCTGGTCTTAAACTCCTGACCTCAAGTGATCCACCTGCCTCGGCCTCCCAAAGTGCTGGGATTACAGGTGTGAGCCACCATGCCCAGCCCTTTTGACTTTTTTTAAAAAGAAATCTCATAAGTATCAATTACTATAAATGAAAATCATAAAGAATAATAAGCACAAATCCTTGTCTTAAGGATGGAAAATATGGCATTCTCCAAAATTTTTTTTTTCTCCTTGAAGAATCTATATAAACTTTTTGAGCATTTAAGAAAATGCAGGCTGGGTGTGGTGGCTCATGCCTGTAATCCCAACACTTTGGGAGGCCGAGGCAGGCAGATCACCTGAGGACAGGAGTTCAAGACCAGCCTGGCCAACATGGTGAAACCTCGTCTCTACTAAAAATATAAAAATACAAAAAATTAGCCAGCTGTGGTGGCTGGAGCCTGTAATCCCAATTACTTGTGAGGCTGAGGCAGGAGAATTGCTTGAACCCGGGAGGTGGAGGTTATGGTGAGCCAAGATCTTGCCACTGCACTACAGCCTGGACAACAAGAGTGAAACTCCATCTCAAAAAAAAAGAAAGAAAGAAAAAGAAAAGAAAAAAGAAAATGCAGCTATTTGGGAGAAACTGGTTATATCTGAAAAACATTAGGAAAGAAGAATCAACCAGAAATTGGAGGAATCTGGGAAAAAAATCATGGGGCAATAAAATGAAATGGAAATAAATACAACCCTTGGAGTGGCTTCTCCTTCATGGTGCATACACAAAAACGATGTGCCGAACTCCCAACGCCCTCTCCCTTCGCAATCTCACTCCATCCTGATCCCGATGTGTGGATGGCTCCAGTCTTTATTTCTGGCTGTAGAGATCTTGGTAGAGATCTCCCACATCCCAATCTCATATAATCAATTACTGACATCTCTCCCTAGATGCCCTATGTACTCATAGGCTCAGACGTTTAACGTCAACAATTATTACTATTTCTGTATTCCACATTTTAGATAAAGCCAGCCAGCTAGGCTCACCCTCCAGCATTGTCTTCTTTCCAAGCCCTGTAAATGCTATCTCCAAAAGAGTTCTTGTATGTATCTCCTACGAAGCTACATCCTTCCTTCTCCCACCCCAACAGGAAACCCCTGATCCATATGTAGTAGGCTGAGGCTAATTTCCAATGCTCAGGATCAAGCCCATACTGAGGCATGAGGCCTTTGACTTCAGCCCACTCTGGGGTCTTGCACCCAGTAGCAGTGGCTGCTAGTTCCACCCTAAAGTCTCAATTTTAGTCAAAGAGCTCCTAATTCCCCAACTCCAGCCTGCCTCCAACCCTAAATAACAGAGTTTCACCTCTTAAGCCTTGTTTCCAAGCTCCAATTTTGGTAACTGCCCAGGAAATCTGGCTGCTCCTGGGCCTGGGACTCTTGCCAATTTCCCCACTTGGCCCTAAATTGTCCTTCTCCCATCTCTAGTTTGATGCTTGGAATCTACTAGCCCCTGCAAGACTGTGTACATGCCCAGAGTGAACTAGTTATCTAAGGGCCTGGAGATTGCCACACCTGCTGGAAACTGCTTGCCAGCTCTAAATGTAACCTAAACTCCCACGAGGCAAGAGCCAGAGCCAGAAACCAGGCACTCAGCAGAATTCTATTCCCTCCACCTGGGCCCCAACATGGACTTCGGGCTCCTGTTCCAGCATCCGACACACCACAGGCTTTAGCTTACTTTGGCTCAGAGTTGACATTTCTGGTTTTAACCCTATTACATGACTGTCTGTAAGTTTTGTATTTCTAATCTTCACTTCTAACTCCTCACTTCTCTAATAAAGATGACAGCTTGCTCCAAGTTTGACATGGTTAGGACAGAGCAGGTACCTGCTACCCTTCCAACTAGCCACCTCACATCCTTATCAGCCATCCCTCTTAGCTTCTATCTAGCCATTGTCCACTGCCCACCTAACGGTTATTCTCTCTTCCTGGCTTACAGAACCCTGCTCCTTTCATCTCTCGGAGGCCCTTCCCCAGCCCTGACAGAAGAATCACAGACTTGTCATGGTAATCTCTTCTTTTGGCCAGTGATGGATATACGAGTGAACATGTGACTTATTTATGGCTAATGAAATATAAGAAGTCTTCTGACGGGGGCTTTCTGTTCCAACGTTCTAAAAAGTTGCCAGGAAAAGACTTTTGTATATTATGTGCCTTGAATGCAGAGGTGCTATCTGGAGCTACAGCAACCATCTTGAGATCAAGAGGCAACAACTGAGAATATAGAAGCCAATATTCTAATGACAGTGAAAGAGAATGATCAACAGCACCTGAGTTCTTGACAGCATCATTAGGCCACTACTCTGGCTCTTACCTGTTCATCCCCAGGTTTCCTGTTATGTGAGTCAAATAAATTCCTATTTGTGTGGGCCAGTATGAAACAATTTTCTGTTACAGGCAACCACACGCTGTCCCCTAATAGAACAGATACCTGAACTGCATAACTTTCTAGGAAGACTGTATTATGTTTTGGTGCCTGAAGCTGGGCCAGTCAATATCCCTCCATTTCCTACTCATTTCTTCTCCTTCAACCTCTCTCCTCTCTAGTTCTCTTTATACCAAAGGTAATAAGGTAGCATCCTGCACTTAGCTCACACATGTTTTCTTTTATATACACACTATTTGTAAGGCACATGTGCACAAAGTGACATCAGCGAAAATCGTGGAATAGGGAATTCCAAGGGCCTGTTCCTGTACAGAAACAGCTAATAAATGGACAAAAACTGTCAAAATCAACTTAATCTGAACTCTGGAACTGGTCACAGGTTTACAGCGGCCAGGTGAACACATAAGAAAAAGGCAGCTGAATTTCAGTAGGGGAGATTTATGGCATTTTAACCTACCCTGGCCCCAGGATCCTCCTATCCAGTTCGATTGTGGTCTTGAAGACAGCAACCCACTTTCTTGGTGATGGTTCCTAGTGCTGGAAGGAGAGCAGATCTTGCTTTCCAATAATTGTGTTTCTTTTAACCTGTCTGGTGGCTCTGAAGGACTGATAGAAAAGGCAATATGTTCTGAATTATTTTTGCTAATTCAGAACTTTCCCTGGGTGGTGAAGTGACTACCCAATAAACATTTGTCACTCATTAAAAACACATGACTTAGTTGCTGACACCTGGGGCAAAGAAATACAAATTGGGGCAAACAACAGATAGCAAAAAAACCTAAAAGGAAAGGCTAGGGAGTTACATACTTTTCCATATAAGGACTTTGAAAAGTTCCCATGTAATCCTGGGATTCTAGAAGCCCATATACATGCTAAAGGTAGGGCATATGCTCAGAATAGACCTGAGATGGCACTGAGCTCTCACTTCTGCCTGACTTTCAGGCTCTGCACAAGCAGGAAGTGAAGGCTAAGGCAGAGTTGGGAATTGTATGGCTGAGGGTTGAAGGCATAACCTAATACACACAGCACACTGGCTCTCTGATTCTTTTTTCTGTTTTTGTTCCAGATGTTTGAGGGAATCTTTGTCAAATTGCTAAGCTAACCAAACATAAGCTTCCATGGACATACATGACAAAGAAGGCAGAACTTAACAAAATTAGTTTCTAAAAGTCACTAAACAAAGAAACAGCAACCACAATAAGCAGGTGCAACAAGTCCTGAGAATCAGAAAGAATCTGACTACCCGAGTTATCACATTACAATATTCAAAACCCAGTTTCAAAAAAAAAATTACAAGGCATGCAAGAAAGTATGACCCACGCACAGGAAAAAAAGAAAAGATATGAATAGAAACTGTCTCTGAGGAAGCTATTGAACTTACTAGGCAAAGATTTTAAATTGACTATTTTAAATATGTTGAAATGCTTTAAGAAAAAAATATACAAGCAACTAAAGGAAATCATGAGAATGATGTCTCACAAAATAGAGAATATCAATAAACACGCAGAAATTATAAAAAGAAACCATAAAGAAATTCTGGAGTTGAAAAGTACCATAAGCAAACTTCAGTGTTCAATAGCAGATTTAAAGAGACAGAAGAAAGAATCAGCAAACTTGAAGATAGGTCAATCGAGATTACCCAATCTGAAGAACAAAAATTAAAACATGAAGAAAAATAAACAGAACCAAAGAGGCCTGTGGAACACCATCAAGCACACCAACGTGATGTTCCACAAAGAGAGGAGAGAGAAAAAGGGCAAAAGAATATTTGAAGCAATAATGGCCAAGCATGAATCTACACATTCAACAAACTCAACAAACTCCAAGCATGATAAATTCACACAAGTCCAAAACAAGATACATTATAATGTAACTGTCGAAATACAAAAAGAGAATCCTGGAAGCAGCAAGAGAAAACAGCCTTGTCACAAGGTATACACAGTAAGATTAACAGTTAATTTCTCATCAGAAGCCACGGAGGCCAGAAGGCAATAGGATGACATGCAAAGTGCTGAAAGAAAACAAACTGTCCATTAAGAATTTTATATTCAGCAAACTATCCTTCAAAATTGAAGAAGAAATTAAGGCATTCCAAGATAGACAAAAACTCAAGAGGGTTTGTCACTAGTAAACCTGCCCTACAAAAAATCCTTCAGGTTGAAATGAAAAAATACTAGACAATAATTCAATATGCACGAAGAAATAAAGAACACTGTTAAGTACATATTATAAGTACACTACATAAGTACATATAAAAGTCAGTATTAAAGTATATTTGACTATTAACTCCTTTTTTCTGTAAGATTTAAAACATAACCACATAAAAGTTACAAATCTATGTCAATGGGAACACATCGTATAAAGATGTAACTTAATAAAGCACATATGCAGAGGAGAACTGTAAATCTGCAGCAGAATGAGAGATTGCATTCCCAAAGCATTGAATGGTGGATGGTCCCCTGGAGAATACTTCTCTTTTTGCTGTATCCTCTCCACATCACTTCTCTATTATCTTCATGGCCTTTACAGGTATGTGAGTTTGCAACTCCCTTGTTCAAAACTGCTGCCAGATTAGCACACTTCTGCTTAGAAGCCTCAGATGGCTCTCCACTTCCAGCAAAAAAAAATTCAAGCTTTATGGCCTGGCATCAAAGACCTGGAAGATGTGTTTCTTTTCCATCTTTTTGTCCTCATCTCTAATAATTCCATGTGATATATTCTATCTTCAAGGTAAATTGAACCACTGACTGTTCCTATTTCCATTCTTCCCATGCCATATCCCACCTGGCTTAAGCTTTTCTGAAGCTTTTCCGGCTCTGGATGGAATGATCTTCCCCTGCCCTGAAAGTGCACAGTCCATCCATCCCTATCCCTAGTCCTTATGCCCTTTATCCATCCCCTACCCAGAAGCCATCTCTCCGTCTTCTGGACTCCTGTACCACTTTAGCTGAACTTCTGTGATTGTACGTATTACTGTCTATTTTGTATTTACCTATGGTGGACATTTCTTATCTCTCCTTTTTAAACTATTATAGAGCCATCTCTACAGTTTGGAAAGGTCACCTGATTGGGAATCTAAGGAACTGTGCTACAGGCAGCCTTGGGGAGACTATTATGTTTTCTATGTTTTAGTTTCATCATGAATGAAATGGAACCAACATCTGCTTCATGAGATTCTTATGAGGATGTAATGATGTCATTTGTAATCTGTAAAGCACTGTGCACATGTGAAATAACATTTTAGCCTTGGGGTCAGAGTCCATGTTTTAGTCAACTTTGTATGTCTAACAAATTACTCAAGACATAGTAGGCGAGGTGCTCAATACACTTTTGTAAAATGAATGAACATGCTAACTCCTTGGTGAGATGAAGCTGAATCATTTAAACCAATCTACACGCATTTTCATTAATAATCTTACAGTCCTACCTACAGTCTCTCCCAGAGGTAAATAATGAAAGAACTTTTTAATAACTGCAATTAAATGACCCACCTTGAGTTTTAACACAATCAATGGCTTATTTTATTACTAACATGACTTTTTTGATATCCCTGAGGTAAAAATTCTCTGTACTCAGGGCTATTTTTTCACAATTCACACAATTTGACAACCAAATTGTCAAAAGTAAGAGAAAAAGAGGTGACTCCATTTAGTAAAGCAAAACAATACCCTGCTTTTATTTTTAAAATATTTTTAATATAAAAGGATTGTTTGAGTGAGTAAAACTGATAATTTTATAGTAAAATAAATCAATGCTCACCATGGTTTCACTCAGCTACAAATGTCAGGCAACCTAAAGAGAGAAATGAGTTCTCAGGTTTTTTTTCTAGGAAAACAATTGTTGCTTTCCTGAAGACATTTTTCAGTACCAAAATATTCAACCGGAACATGGGAACTCTCCAAGACAGTGTTAAGGGTTGGAGGAAGAAAATGACTGCCATCCTCATATCTACTTGCAATGGGGTGTCCCTTTTTCAGAGATTTATATTCCAGAATACCAACAAATACAAATTCACCAAATTGAATAATAATTTTGTTTTTTTAAGAAACAATTATTAGATTGCTTTTAAAAAGATTAGAAATTCGGATTGGGTAGAAGAACACTGGGAGTAGATGCAATTAAATAAGTAACATTAAAGAAAAGTAAACATAATTTATTTTCAGAATTTTACACCTACACTACATAAACTATGATTTACGTATAAAAAATTAAGTAAGTAAAAGCAAAAGTACAGAACTGTGGGTCAACTATAATTACAATTATTATAAGATACAGTGACGTATGAAGAAAAGAACATGGATTATGGAATTAAAGATGAGTTTCTCATCCTTTTGAAATGTTCTTTCATGGTATTACCTTTATAATAACTAAAACTCAAAGAAGAAAAAGAGCCGAGAGTATCTTTTTGCTAAAATCAGAAAAAATCAAAACAATATTTCATCATATGTGAAAATTATATGGAATCCAAATTTTGGCATGCACAGAGCTTTACTGGAACACAGCCACGCTCATGCGATTTCCATAATGTCCCTGGCTGCTTTTGTGCCACGGCAGCAGAGCTGAGTAGTGGTGACAGAGACCATATGGCCCCACAGTCGAAAGCATACACTATCTAGCCCTCTGTGGAAAAAGTTTGCCAACTCCTGATCTAAAGTTCAGTGCCCAGGAAGGTACACAATGTTTCTGTCTACATTTGTGGCTGAACAAGTCTAAAAATTGAGTGGAAATATTTAGTACTTAAGCATAAAAATGATTTCATCTTCTATTTTGGTGTTTTTCACACTGAGTTCTGCGGAGTCCTACGGGTCAGGGTGACGTCTCTGTGTGAACTGTGTGGCCAAGGTTCTGAGATTCTTCTCCCTCCTCCCAAAAAGAGTCATTCTGCTTTTATCCTTGCAGATTGGGATACCACCTGCAATTTTATTTTAAAAACATTTTTCTTTTTCTTTTTCTTTTTCTTTTTTTTTTTTTTTTGAGATGGAGTCTCGCTCTGTCTCTCAGGGTGGAGTACGGTGGCGCGATCTTGGCTCGCTGCAACCTCTGCCTCCTGGGTTCAAGCAATTCTCTGCCTCAGTCTCCCGAGTAGCTGGGATTACAGGCACCTGCCACCATGCTTGGCTGATTTTTGTATTTTTTAGTAGAGATGGGGTTTCGCCATCTTGGCTAGGCTGGTCTTGAACTCCTGACCTTGTGATCCACCCGCCTTGGCCTCCCAAAGTGCTGGGATCACAGGCGTGAGCCACCACACCCGGCCTGAATAACATTTTTATTTCAAAAAAAAAAAAAAAGAATTTAAAACTCACTGTGACCTATTTTATCTATGAGAGATGACTGCAGTGTCAAGCAAGTTTCAAAGGCCATATATGAAAAGGAACCATTATGAACCTAAAACCACACAAAACCGGACTGAAAACCAATCAGCCCTATTTGCTGAGCACTATGTCGTGAAATGAAACATAGGCAGCCAACATGGTGTATGAGGACTTCAGTTTTCTCACAGAGCACTTTCCTCCACCACAGCTTAACCCCATGTGCACACGGCCCTGCTGTATACTTTATTAAATATATAAAATTACAGAGCAATTTGATTCACATTCCTGTATTATTGCCACACATCCATTTTCCTGGGGTTAGCGAAATCAAAAACTAAAGAAACTACAAACAGGGTGGCAGAGTACCTATAATTTATTTTTATAACTAATGAGCCATTAACAGGTACTTGAGGAGGTAATTAAAGGGAAATTGATAGGAGCTGACTGTGAGGCTTGAAGTTTTCATGTTTGCTTTTTTAGTAAAGCAATAGTCTTCTATACTCCATTCAAAGCATCTGAAAAATGAGTTTAGCCACGTCGTATGGAACTAGTAAACTGATATAGACTAGGTTCCATCTAAAAAAGCAGATCTAAGACATTCCTACAAAGACTGAGTTTTGCTGAATGCCTGGGGCAGCCAGTAAGAAGACTGGTCTCTTCAACACTCAAATCTGGAAAGGTGGTAAGAGCTACTAGGGAAATGAGGAATTACCTGTGTGATATTTTAATGAATATATGTGGCAATGAGCATGAAAGGATCAAGTGGCTTCATTATCCATCTAACTTTTCTTACAGGGATTATATGAGGAAATTCATTACTTAAGCCACACACTGGCAAGGACACAGCCCTTGCTGAAAGTAAGGCTGGTATTAATAATTCCACAGTCAAGTTTTTTTTTCCCATATAAATGACTCTTTCAAATTGTATGACTCTATGGGAAAATTAAATTCCCACCATAAGCATTTACCTTACCCACTATTTTCCAATATCTTGATTATGCAAAGCCAACTTAGTATTTGATTTCATCATTCATCCAATAAGAAATTCCTAAAATAAGAGTTGCTCTGTATAATCATCTGGCATGTATTTTGGAATGCCTTAATAAGCTGTGTATTTTTTTCTGTCTCTATTTTCTCAACTTCTTACCTATTCTAAAAAGTTGTTTTAAATGTTCAAAAATAGTGAGCAAGGCAACTTACAAATGAACCTCATTTTAAAATAAGAAGCAGGCTGAGCACAAGAGATGGAGGAAGAAATCGCACGCTACCAAGGGTTCTGATGATTTCATAATACTACGGCGTGGCACAGTGGCTCAAGCCTGTAATCCCAGAACTTTGGGAGGCCGAGGAGGGAGCATCTTTTGAGGTCAGGAATATAAGACCAGCCTGGGTAACAGTGCAAGTTCCTGTCTCTCTAAAAATAAAAAATAGTAATAATAATTAGCCTGGTATGGTGGCATGCACCTACAGTACTAGCCTGGTGTGGTGGCATGCACCTATAGTACTAGCTACCCAGGAAGCTAAGTCTCCAGTAAGCTATGATCACACCCCATACTCAAGCCTGAGCCACACAGCTAGAACCTGTCTATAAATAAATAAATAAATAAATAAATAAATAAATAAATAAATACTACGATGAAAACTGAACCGGGCGTGGTGACACACGCCTGTAATCCCAGCACGGGAGGTCGGGGCGGGCAGATCACTTGAGCCCAAGAATTTGAGACCAGCCTGGGCAACATGGTGAAACCCTATCTCTACTAAAAATACAAAAATTAGCCGGATGTAGTGGTGTGCACCTGTAATCCCAGCTACTCAGGAGGCTGAGGTGGGAGGATTGCTTGAGCCCAGGAGGCGGAGATTGCAGCGAGCTGAGATCCCGCCACAGCACTCCAGCCTGGGCAACAGAGTGAGACCCTGTCTCAAAAAAAATAACAGAATACAATGAGTGAAACTCTCTCCCGCAGATCCACAGTGTGCAGTGTCTCTAAGAACACACTAACCACATCACTGAACTTTTTTTGTAGTCAGACAAAAAGATTAAGACCAAGTCTCAAGCCACTGAAGAGGGGCTCTGGCAAGTCTGAAATATGCATATGAGCTAAGCTTCAGAGTATGAGAATTATGAGAATTTCCATCAAATCTGTTTCTTGTGTTATAATTATCCTACAAGGATTTCTAGGAGACCGAGGGGAAAGCATGGCAATTTTATGCAGTCAAAATACAGCAAATAACCACTGCCACACACTCACCCCACACACTTACACACAAACACAAACGTGCAGAAAACCTCTGGTTGCCATTAAGTGTGTCAGGAAAGCATCACCAGTTTATCTGCAGTGATGAAGGGGCTACGTCAGATGGCTTCTGCCATTCTTCGCTTGCCCCCTGGTGGCCAACCACCTAAAGAAGGGCTCAGAAATTACCGAGAGAATTCCTCCTTCAGAGAACAGGAATTGACTGTTACATGGACAAAGAAAAGACATTTGTAACAGAACACAGAATTGTACAAATGGGTTAAGAATCATTATTTTAAATAATCCATCCACTCTCAAAAATTCAGCTTTTCAGACACATTGTCTATTTGTAACAATAAGGTATTAGAACGTTCCAATCTAAATACAAAAGACTTGATTCCAAAAGTTACATTATCAATTTTGTTTTCACAACAAAGCGGAGAAAAACTACATGCTTACATTTTTTGGCATCCCTTTTCCCCTAGTTCTTGCCCCCACAACCAACACACACACACACACGCGCACACACACACAGAGTCCATGAAAAACAAAGAAATCCTTGCACGCTGAGTGTTCACAGACCACAGGCCTTTGTGTTACTCGAAGGCAACATTTTACAAAAGGAAGAACAAACAAAACCCTTAGAGCGTTGGCCAAAACTCGCTACAGACTCAGTATCAACAATATTTGTAAATCCGAAAGTTTATCATTTCATAATTGATGTTTAAAAGTTAAATGGATTCTTTACTCATGCAATCTGCACAACATTAGGTGCCACATCACCATATGTAACTTATGGGAACCAAAACAACTCACATATATTTCAAATTCTTTCCATTATTAATTAATAGAAATTATCAGAATGTCCGAAAAAGAACATGAAATGCAAAGTCAAGAGGACACAGTTCGCGTTCTGGCCTCATTCACTCACTCTATTACTTTGCCCTGTAGACTTGCACACAGTCACAGTAACTTTCTCAACTGCAAAATTAGGGACTCGCATGGAGAAATCCCCTCAGGTTTCCTGTAGTACTAATGCTGGTTGTTCTAAAAGGAACAGCGGATGAGCCACAACTTTCCATTTCCCTCGTTCATGGTGCCCTCAAGTGGTTCAGAGTAAAAATAAACTTTTGTTGTGTGTGTGTTTTAATTCTTGCCTATATGCAGGAGAACGTTAAAGTCAGTGGCACCCAAACTTTTCGGATCAGTGTGATGGTTAATTTTATTGCCAACTTGGCTAGGTCACGGTACCCACATATTTGATCTGACACCTAGATGTCTAGATGTCTCTGTGACTCTTTCAGATGACATTAACACTTAGCCAGTAGACTGTGAATAAAGCAAATTACCTTCCATGATATGGGTGACCCTCGTCCAATCAAAGGCCTTAAGAGAAAAAGACTGACTTCCTCCAAGGAAGAGGGAACTCTGCTAGCCAACTGCCTTTGGATTGGATCTGCAGCACCCACTCTTCCCTGGGTCTCCAACCTGGCCTGCTCTCTGTGTGTGTGTGTGTGTGTGTGCATGTGTACCTGTGTGTGTGTGTGTGCGCGCGCGCGTGCACGTGTACCTGTGTGTGTGTACACACATCTTACTGCATCTTATTGGTTCTCTTTCTCTGGCTAGCACAATCAGTGATTCTCAAATGCTTACCAGAAACTGCTCATATATACCTCTCTCCAAAGTGAAGACTTCTGCAAGAAATGAGACTCACTGGTGATGAGTGTGTAACCACGTGGAGGAGGTGGAGGCAGAACAAAGGCTTGAGAGCCACTTGTATATAACTAAACAAGGCACACTCTCCTCAACAGTCAGTCTCCACCCATCCACAATGGGTGCCCCAAGTGGGGGCTGCAGAGAGAGGCCAAAACCCCTGGAATGGGAAGCACAGTTTTGAGCAAGAGCATTACTGTGCTGCTTTAAGGACATGGGGACTCACACACTGGCGAGGCTGTGGCAAAACTCTCACAAAGTAATCGGCCATTTGTGATAAGCAACTTGATTTGCTCATATCTTTGATGTAGTAGCTTCATTTTTATGTAAATAACAGATTTATCAACAAAGATTTATATAGATATGTTCATCTCGATGTAATTTATAATAAATCTCAAAACTATCTAAAAGTAATGAAATAATAAATCAAGACACACCCATAAAAGTATTGTTTATGGTCATTAAAAATATTTGAAATATTTTATGTATTTATTTATTTAACAAATTTCATTTATTTAAATATTTCAATATATGTATTGAATTATTTAAGTATTTCAATATATGTATTGAATTATTTAAGTATTTCAATATATGTATTGAATTATTTAAGTTTTTCAATATATGTATTGAATTATTTAAGTATTTCAATATATGTATTGAATTATTTAAATATTTCAATAAATTAAATAATAAAAATAATAAATACTAAAAATCTAGTCAATATATTTATTGAAATATTTAAAGAGAAAAAAGGAGATAAATTTAACATATTTTTACCGTAAAAATTATCACTAAATACAAAAGCGGTGATTTTCTGTTTTAATTTTAATTTTCTGTATTTTTCTAACTAATCCACAATGAATATGTGCTATCTCAGAACTCAAGGTAAAATTTTCCTAAAAAAGTGAGTGCCACTGGAACAGACACCCACATCTGCACACCCACGTCCACAGCAGCATCATAGCCAAAAAGTGGAAACAACTCAAGGCTCCATCCACAGATGAACAGATAAACAAAATTTGGTATACACACACGATGGAGTATTTATTATTCAGCCTTGAAAAGGAATGAAATTTTAATATGTGCTACAACATGCGTGGAGGCCAGGTGCGGTGGCTCACATGTGTAATCCCAGCACTTTGGGAGGCTGAGGCAGGGGGATCACTTGAGGCCAGGAGTTCGAGACCAGCCTGGCCAACATGGTGAAACCTCATCTCCACCAAAAATACAAAAATTAGCCAGGCGTGGTGGTGCACGTCTGTAATCCCAGCTACGTGGGAGGCTGAGGCAGGAAAATTACTTGAACCCGAGAGGCAGAAGTTGCAGTGAGTCAAGATTGTGCCACTGCACTTCAGCCTGAGTGACAGAGAGAGACTCTATCTCAAAGAAAAAAAAAAAAGCACGGACTCTGAAAATAGCATGCTGAGTGAGATAAGCCAGATACAGAAGGACAAATACTGTATGATTCCACTTATAGGAAGTACCTAGAATAGGAAACTCCATAAGGCAGCAAGTAGAATAAAGGGTGCCAGGGGATGGGAGTTCTTATTTAATAGGTATAGATATTGGTGATGGTTACATGACATTGTGAATGTATTTAATGTTACTGAATTGTACACTTATGAATGATTTAAATGATCTATATGAAGGGTTATGTATATTTTTCCACAATTAAAAATAAAGGGAATGGCCTGGGATGCTCTTCCCCACTCCCCGAGAAAGCTCCAAGGATTCCCCCATTTCTGCTCCCAGAAGTCTTTCCTCCTGCTACTAATCTTCACTCACCAGCATAGATGTCAGTCTATGTGTTTATCCCCACTCTTGTACAGTGCTACGTGTATGAGTCCTAAGAAGCAGGGATGTGCTCTAATTAATCCTGTATAAGCAGCACACAGTACAATACTGGCACACAGTAGGAACTCAAAACACCGTCTTCCTGGAATTATTATATAAAAGACAGAAAAGACAATCCATTCCAAGGTGTACCAAACCTGTATAGTCAAATTAGAAGCAAATATTCCAGATGAATCTTAGTGTCCCTAAGTGAAGTTTTGTAGTTCCACTGAGCCAACTAGGAGATTTCCAATATCAGAGTGTCTAATAGTATCCCTGCTTTTTCACCTTCATGAGGCTGTCACGAGAAGTCACTGACCCTGCCACGAAATGGGAGACGGTGACTGCGATGGACACTGCTGATGCTCACTAATACCAGGTCACCCCTTCCCAGGACATGGAAGACTGCACTTCCCAGATCCCTTCCCATTGTATGGGGCCATGTGATGGGGTCTGGATAATGGCTGAGGCATCAAAAAGCCCCTGAGTCCCCTCACATTGTTCACATTCATAGAAAGTAGAGTCGTGCCCTAAGATTGCAGCAGCCTGGAGCATAGACTTTGCAGAAGAAGAAATGAGGCTTAATGTGTTAAGCCACTGAGACGTTATTTCAGCATAAAACAGCCTATGCTGCTAACGTAGTGACACTCCTTATGTTTATTTTTAGTGGTCCTCAGACCACTGTTGCTGCTGAAACCCGCTACACCACAACCATACCCATTGACTTGCAGAAGAGGATCTGCGGTGCAACCTCAGAGGATAAAGCAATCTCCACAAGCCAGGAGAAGGAGAGTCCAAACAACAAATACCAAAGTCAATGACTCTCACAATGGGCAAAGGATTTGAACAGACATTTCTCCAAAGGCTATGATAAACAGCCAAAAAGCACATGAAAAGACGTTCAACATCATTAGTCACCAGGAGATCGCAAATCAAAACTGCAGTGGATACCACTTTCCACCCACTAGGATGGCTCAGATAAAAAAAAAAATGGCAGTAACAAGTGTTGGTGAGGATGGAGAGGAATCAGAACCCTTACACAATGCTGGTGAGATTGTAAAATGGTACAGCCATGTGAGAACAGCCTGGAAGTCCTTCAGAAGGTTAAACATGGAGTTACCATACGACCCAGCAATTCCACTCCTAGGTGTATACCCAAGAGAAATGAAAACATATGTCACACAAAGACTTGTAGGGAATGTTTGTAGCTGCATTACTCTTAATAGCCAAAAACTGGAAACAAGTCAACCCAGATCTTTCCCCTCACAGATCCCACAGGAGGTCTACAGGGAGGTGTGACTAGCTCTGCATCCCTGGAGTCACACAGTAGGCTGGTGGCAGAGCCAATTCTAGTGTTCTTTCTATTGTAATAATTTGCCTCCAGTAACAATGTGAGGAACAATAAGAGGAAGAGATTGAAAACAGACAGACATTAATTAATTAACATATTTAAAAACTATTACTGGACATTAATTAATTAATTAATTAAAAATCTATTGGTTTGGCCAGGCACGGTGGCTCACGCCTGTAATCCCAGCACTTTGGGAGGCCGAGGCAGGTGGATCACGAGGTCAGGAGATCAAGACCATCCTGGCTAACATGGTGAAACCCCGTCTCTACTAAAAATACAAAAAAATTAGCCGGGTGTGGTGGTGGGCGCCTGTAGTCCCAGCTACTCGGGAAGCTGAGGCAGGAGAATGGCATGAACCTTGAGGCGGAGCTTGCAGTGCACTGAGATTGCGCCACTGCACTCCAGCCTGGGCAACAGAGCCAGACTCCGTCTCAAAAAAAAAAAAAAATCTATTGGTTGCCAGACACTATGATGAAGTCTTAGGACATTATTATCTTATTATCTTCTTTGCCTATTCTCAGATGAAAAAGCTGAAGTTCAAAAAAAAAAAAAATAGGTAACTTGCCTGAGGGTCACGTAATTGTTAAGAAGAGGAGCTAGAATTCAATCTCACCTATGCTCTCCTTCAAGACACTATGTTTCCTCTCCACGACACTGTATTGCATCAAACTCTAAAGATCTTCTGCTCTGTGCATCCTTCCTATCCACCCCAGCCCCAACATCGGAAATTCTTGGCTCATCCACAGGTTCCCCAGAGCACCTGGCCCACATCTCACTGCTTCAGTAACCTTGGATCACAAAGATTACCTGTCTCTTCCACTGTAAACTTGAAGTTTCTTGAGGTAGGAATCTCAGTTCCTAGCACAGTACCTGACACAGAGTAAGTGCTAAATATTGCTTCTTGAATGAATAAATGGAATGAATGAATGCGTCACACTGAAATTCAAGGCAAGCAGCTAATGTTCAAGAGACTTTGTGTTCTCTTTGCCTAATATGACTATCATTGTAAGACCAAAAGAACATGGAATAGGCACGGATCTTCATGACTATTCTGAGCGACAACTGGGGAATATATAGAATGTAGAGCCAACAGCCTTCCTTCCCTTATATAAATGCACAGAACCTGCGTGTTCCATGCCACTGACTCACACGAGCCAAGACGGCAGCCTGGGAGCCATTCCAACTCCGCACCTCTCCCACCTCCACTCCACCTCCTGCTTGTGCAGACTGTAGGAATTGTGTTAACCTCTCACAACAAAGATTGCCAGGTTGCCAGCAGATCCGGGCTGCTCTGGCTGGGGAAAATAAGCCACAAACAAGGTAGTCACAGGTTGATCAACTGCCTAACAGGCTGCACGGTGCAAAACTTCAGAGATCCAAAACGGTCTGTGTGAAGCATGGGAATATTTAGAAACCCATTAATTCAAAACACATTGATTACTACAATATTTTGGGACCATGCCAGGCTGTGACAGAGAAACAAAAGGAAGATCAATGAATGCTTTACTGCTGATGGAATGCTCCTCTCCTGGGAAG
Organism: Homo sapiens; assembly: GCF_000001405.40. Classification (NCBI taxonomy): domain Eukaryota; kingdom Metazoa; phylum Chordata; class Mammalia; order Primates; family Hominidae; genus Homo; species Homo sapiens. The sequence goes on along the minus strand of NC_000004.12, from coordinate 183,834,139 downwards.
CAAGTAACACTGCTGTAGCCATTCTATAGATGGAGAAGCTGAGGCTTGAAGAGATCCAATGGCTTGCCAGAAGAGGCTGGCTCTAAGGAGGAGAAATACACTCATGCCTGGATTTTGTGACAACACCTTCTCACATTCTTTTTTTTTTTTTTTTTTTTGAGACGGAGTCTCACTCTGTCGCCCAGGCTGGAGTGCAGTGGCGGGATCTCGGCTCACTGCAAGCTCCGCCTCCCGGGTTCACGCCATTCTCCTGCCTCAGCCTCCCAAGTAGCTGGGACTACAGGCGCCTGCCACCACGCCCGGCTAATTTTTGTATTTTTAGTAGAGACGGGGTTTCACCGTTTTTAGCCGGGATGGTCTCGATCTCCTGACCTCGTGATCCGCCCGCCTCGGCCTCCCAAAGTGCTGGGATTACAGGCGTGAGCCACCGCGCCCGGCCCTTCTCACATTCTTTCTACCTGCTTTGGTGAAACTCTGGTATGCTTGGAATGAAAAAAAAAAAAAACTCCTGCAGAAATATAAAAGCCTGTATCATTTTCATCAGCCCCGATCCCGCCTTGCCAACGCTATTTCTCTGTTGCGACCACTTGAAACCATTTCTTCTGACATACCACTGTTTGCATTTGGATTTTTTCAGAATGTCTCCTCTCTAACCTGAAGGTCTTAAAGGGTGGGATATAGAGAAGAGATTAAGGAATGTTTGATCTTTTATGTGGGGAAATATCCAGGCTATGAACTTACCTGGGGAAATAACTTTTTAAGAGTAATTCAAAAACCCCCACCAGTTTCATCATTACCAAGCAGAGTTAGACATTCTTTGATGATGCCAGACCTAAGCGTTCTGCTAAGTAACCACGAAGGGAATCCTGACAGGTCACACCATAATCATGGGGCAGGTTGCAAAGCACAAACGCTCCTACAAAATCAGGAAGAGTCTGGACTTGACTTCTTGCAAGCGGTTATTAGGCAATAAAAAAAGAACTGTCACTGAATTTAGAAAGACGATTAAGAACTGAGTGTATCAATGTTCAAACTCACTGAACCATGTCCATTTCACAGGGGAAATTTCAGGTAGACCATCGCCATGGATAATCCATATTTGGTAACAAATTAGCAAAATATTCTTAATAGCTGACTAATACTCCTATTGGAGATTGAAAAACATCAGCATGCTGTAACAGGTTTTGACGGAATCTGTAGTGTTTGGTCTGCAGAGGTGAAGTTAAAAGGAGACATCACTGTTCCTTAAATATACATGAAGGGATTGTGTATAAAGTTTACCTCATCTTTTTAATTGAGCCGAGAGTCAGAGGAAGAGCCTAACGACAGTAAGGGTAAGAGCCAGTTATAGGCTGGGTGTGGTGGCTCACGCCTCTAATCCCAGCACTTTGGGAGGCCAAGGCAGGCGGATCACTTGAGGTCAGGAGTTCAAGACCAGCCTGGCCAACATGGTAAAACCTGTCTCTACTAAAAATACAAAAATTAGCCGGGCATGGTGGCAGGCACCTGTAATCCCAGTTACTTGGGAGGCTGAGGCAGGAGAATCGCTTGAACCCAGGAGGCAGAGATTGCAGTGAGCCGAGATCATGCCACTGCATTCCAGCCTGGGTGACAGAGCAAGACTCCGTCTCAAAAAAAAAAAAAAAAAAAAAAGAGTCGGTTATAGGCTACTAAGAAGCTGCAGAATCTAGCTTTCTAGAGTTTTAAAAAACTGGATGAAGTATTACATTCCTTAGATAATTTCAAGAGTCTTCTCTAACAGAGATAAGCATACAACTAGGAGCCAAAATGGGGTTAGTAATATTTAGAGTCCCTGCTTTCAGAAACAAATAGAAATGAATGAGCTCCAGGGCCAGGTGTGGTGGCTCCTGCCTATAATCCCAGCACTTTGGAAGGCCATGGTGGGCGGACCACCTGAGATCAGGAGTTCGAGACCAGCCTGGCCAACATGGTGAAACCCTGTCTCTACCAAAAATACAAAAATTAGCCGGGCATGGTGACGGGCACTTGTAATCCCAGCTACTCAGGAGGCTGAGGCAGGAGAATCACTTGAACCTAGCAGGCAGAGGTTGCAGTGAGCCAAGATCACTCCATTGCACTCCAGCCTAGGCAACAAGAGTGAAACTCTGTCTCAAAAAAAAAAAAAAAAAGAAGAAGAAGAAGAAATGAATGAACTGCAGAATTCACCAGAAGAAGCTTCAGGGAGGGGCCGAGAAGGGGACTAAAGCCTGGAAACAGGAAAAATTGGGCAGAGCTGTCCCAGGAGAGAAAAGAGGAAGTACAAAGCCTCGGAAATGAGACCAGGGCGTGTTTACAGCCACCTAGACAGAAACTAAGGCAGATAAGCTTAACAAAATTTATTTATCTATGTATTTACTTTTAGTGTTTTTTGTCTATATCCGTGGGGTACAAGTGCATTTTGCTACCTGATCTATTGCTTCGTGGTGGTCAGGGCCCTCAGCGCATCCATCACTGACTAAATTTATTTTTAAGAATTATACAGCACAGCAGATTTTTTATAAACTAGAAGTTGATTAATTGTTTACTGTACCACAAAATTCTAATACCTAGCAAAATATTTCTAGACCATTCTTTTCGCAATTATTTAAGTCTGATATTCACCAAAAAAAAAAAAAATGTACATAGTTCTAAACTTTCCATCAGGGTTTTCTAATGTTCATGAACTAATGTTCATGGTCCCCACAATTATTTGTGTTTTCTGGTACTGCCTAACCATCTGTTTCCTGATTGGAGCTGCAATTTGGCAACGTTTATAACGTAAGATTCCAAGTTCAAGGCAAACTTGGGGGCGGAAATGAAGAAAGGCAAAAGAGCCAAGCTTCTTTCCTGCCACAATTTTCCTTACATGTGTGCAATTTCTGTGGGTGTGTTCTGTACAGGACAACCTTTTTAACCTACTGTATCCTGCCTTTCAAATCGTCTTCTCTCCTGTAGACCTTTAGCAATAAACAACTCTCACTGAAATCTTCCATCCCCCCACCATCCCCCCTCACGCCTCCACACCCACCAGGAAGGAGAAAAGCCAACACCCTCCAAGCCAGCTGCTCAGGCCCGGAGTTCGGTCCCATGTAGTGCTTGGCCATCTCCGCCGAGGACTAACCCAGAATCCCAGGATTCTTCTACCACCAGCCTAGGAAGGATCTAAACACCAAAGCCTGCAACTTTGAAACTGAAAACTGTTCAATCATATACAGCTAGCCAAAAAAAAAAAAAAAATTCTAAAAATGCAGACCTGCCTGTTACAACCTCTGAAAACGTTTTGCACAGCATTCTTCCCCAGTCTTCCCCTATTGGTGTGGATCAGGTGACCCTGAAACCGGAACAAGTGTCCTATTGTTGGAGGAGGGCCCTTAATGACTACTTTTCAGCTGACAGTGAAGTTCATGACTAATTTCTTTTCAATGAGCCATTGGCCTATGATGAAAGGTATGTTTTCATCCCAGCTAATTTCAACCAACAGATATACCCTATATCACCCTCAGATATACCCTCAGCTAACTGCCACACAAGGAGTGACTACTAGCCAGGCCAGACCAGCCCTGGGCACATCAAAAGGGCAGGGTCAAAGGTAAAGCCAGCCTGGGGTCATGGCTAAGGTCAAAGGATAAGAACCCTCATGACCATCTCTCCCAGCCCTGGCACAGAGGACTTCACTGGACTCCCTCCTTCCCACAGAAGGACACAGCTGTAGTTGCATTTTATCACCCAGTGGAATTCAGAAAACAAGATAACACCCATAGTAGCAAACTCTCAGTGCACCTAGAATGTAATTCAGTCGACTGAGAGTGTAAAAACCCCATGTGCTTGCACTTGGCCAATGAGGGGGAATTCTTTTAATTATAGTTAGAACAGTATGTTACTCCTAGCCCAATTTTCTACTGTGTGCAAGGAAAGCAGGTTAGCAGAAAAGCAAGTAACAACGCACCAGGTGACCCTAGATACCTTGTTGGGGGGGATGTGAAATTAGTTCTGCTCAGACACTGGAAATAGCCCTACCTCCCTGAGACACTGTGCTCAGGGCCACATAAAAATCCATTGACAGCCCAGAAATAGTCACAATCAGCATAACTTCAGCAACAATGCAGTAAAGATCTAAAGGATTCGCCGATTCTACCCCATCACTCATACCTGCAAGAAGAGGGAGCAGGCCCAGTAATGGCCATCTTCAGCATTCCATGAGGAAATGTCTCTGAAACACCCAGCACACACAGCAGATGCTCAGTAAGTGTTCACTTTTCTTCGTGTCTCTTTGGGAGTGTAAGTTCCTTGGCCAGGAGAGGAGAATTACTCTGTTTCATTTCCAACACATAACAGAAAATCTAATTATAAAGTTCATTACAATCAGGATCCATTAGGTGCATCTGGTTGCAAGTAACAGAAACCGCAAGTCGAGCTGGCTTAAAATTACAGGGAACGTATTGACTCACTATCTGTGAACTCCTGAGGTGGGGCTGGAATTGAAGGCCTTGGCCCATGGCTAAGACAATGTGACCAAGGGCTGATTTTCACAAGAAATTTAAAGTGTACTGTGTTACCTATGCTGGTGACTGACAGTTTAATACAAAGACATGAGGGAGACGTGCCACCAAATGCAAAGGGAATGAGGAGCATTAAATAATCTGGCGCATAGAAGTCTTCTAGTTATGTATAACAGTACCCTAGATTCTGGGGGTTGGAAAGGCCTGCAAGTGTGACAAAGACAAACAAATGACAAGGGACTAGAAGTTGCAACAAAAAGAGAAAGGAAACGGCTTTTTTCCACGTTCTGTCTTTTCTTTCTGCTACTACTGCAACTCACAATCCCACCAGTCTTAAAGAATGTTGAATGTAGAGATGAATGTTTTTAATTTTTCCAAAATAAGAATGTGTATGTTTCAAAGAATAGCAGATTAACTAAATGCCTCAAATATAATTTCTCTCATCAAAGAAAAAGATGATAGATTTTTAAAAACAAAAGACCACTTTCTTTGGATAGGAAAAGAGCAAAAGTTTATTTCTAAATTCTCTTGTTTCTTAATGCTAATTGGCAAAATATCTGTGGAGAAAATTAGTCAACTTTATAAATGTTGCCATAAAACAGCTGAAATCAGCAAATTGCTAATCTCCCGGTTGGCACCCAAGCCAAACTGCTTTCCTTCTTCTGCCTGTTACAACTTAAATCTACCTGACAAAACACATGTGTCTGCAGCACCAGGTCTGGCGTCCGTGGTAGGTTTTTTACAAGGTACCCATGATTCTCTGTCTAGTTTTAAAGTGTGATCTTGGTTAAATACAGAAAAAAACTCCATCAGGCTCAAGGTACATCACAATACTCCACTTTGAATTTGGCAAGGTCCCCCAAACAAAGTGATGAATAATTTCAAAGCAAACAGAAGTATTTCACAGAAGTTCATTTTTTCAGTTATCTGAATGCTGGCTCATTTGTCAAGACATTTTCAGTACCAAGAGCCAGCCTGAATAATAAAAGCATGTACCTAAAAACTTAAATCTGTCGCCTCTGGGATTATGCCCTAAAAGCATGGATTTACCCCACTGCATTCATTTACTTTACTCAAACACACTGTCATCATTCAATGCACCTCCCCAAGTTCCTGACCATTTTTTTTATAAAGGGGGGAAAAGCCAACATAACAACTTGCAAGAAAAATCAAGTGGAAGGGTAGAGACGAAGAATGAAATACAGGAAATAGACATGTTAGACTGAATATGACTGAAGAATCTAAACACATCCCCCGAGCCACACCCATCCTCTTTTCCTGGGGCTGTTTCTTCCTCCCACCTTCCCCAGCCCTGTCAAGACTCTACCGCTGTGTCACTCACCCAAACTTATGACTTCAGAGGCAAAATGCGCCAACACCCTCTGCCAGTTTCCGAGTCCACCCTGTCATCACAGCCAGCTGGCAGCTCCTTGGAAGTCTCTTTCTCCAGCCTCAAACCGTGCCTTGCAAACATGGGCACAATAAACATTTGCTGAATAAAGTGCAACAAGTACACAACATTTTCAGGTACTTTGCTTTAAAAATTCATTCTCAAAAATAGACTGTCTTTTGTTGGGATCCTGATTTGAACAAATGAACTGTAAAAAAATGTTTATGCAAACATCAGAGAAATTTAAACACAAACAGGATAGCTGGTATTAAGGAATTACCAATAATATGATATTTTTAAGTCTGATAATGGCATTGAGGTTATACTGGGGCAATAAAGGCCGTCTTTTTTTCTTTCTTTTTTTTTTTTTTTTTGAGGCAGGATTTCATTCTGTCACCCAGGCTGGAATGCAGTGGTGTGCATAGCTCACTGCAGCTTTGAACTGGGTTCAAGCAATCCTCCTGCCTCAGCCTCTCGAGCAGCTGGGACTACAGACACGTGACACCACTCCTGGCCCATCTTTTTGAAATTTATTTATAAAATATGTACAAGTTCATTGTAAATACAATTGCTAATGTGTTGTATTTACAATAGTATGATGTCTGAGATTTGTTTCAAAATAACCCAAAGTGAAGATAGAGGTGACAGCACCAATGAAACAACATGGGCCATGTGTTGATTACATTAAAGCTGAGTAAAGAGGAACTCATTCTCTCATTCCCTCCAATTCTTTGTTTTTTTATTTTTATTTTCTTTTTTTAGAGACAGGGTCTCATTGTCACCCAGCCTGGAGTGCAGTGGTATGATCCCAGCTCACTGCAGCTTCAAACTCCTGGGTTCAAGCAATCCTCACGCCTCAACCTCCCTAGTAGACTACAGGTGCGTGTCACCACACGTAGCTAATTTCCTCATTTTTTGTAGACTGGGGTCTTGCTGTGTTGCCCAGGCTAGTGTTGAACTCCTGGCCTCAAGCGATGCTCCCTCCTTGGCCTCCCAAAGTGCTAGGATTACAGATGTGAGCCACCGCACCCATGCTATTCCATTTCTATAAATGACTGACATTTTTCATAACAATAAAATAGGGGTTATTTTTATTTCAGTGCTATAAAAATACGGTGGTTGCAGCCAGACTTTCTGAGTTCAAATACTGACTATACTACATAGCAGCTAGGTGACCCTGGGCACCTAACCACTCTGTGCCTCAGTTTCCTCAGATGGTGTTAATGACAGCCAATACCTCAAAGCTCTGTTGAGAAGATTAAATAGGTCATGTTATATGTAATGCCTGGCATATCATAAATACTTATAAATTTGCTATTACTATTATTACCATTACCGCTACTACTATCACTGCCTTTTGCATTATGATTGCCTGTTGAGCAGCAAGCTCAATGCTGAGATCAGAGAGGAACATAAAACACAGCCTTTCTCTTCTGAGGGTCTTTGGTCCAGCTGGCGATTCCAGACGCAGAGAAAAGAAAGAGAAATAGCATTTGTCCAAACACATTCTATGTAGTGGACACTGTGTATTCTCCCACTTAAGCCTCCGCAAACCCTGCGGGGCAGATTCCACGGTCGGGAAAACTGAAGTTGAGGGCGATGGTGTGACCTGCCAGGGCCACATTGCTAGCAGGCAGCCGTCCCAGGACTGTGTGATACCAAGTTCTTGCTCTTTCGACAAGCTAATGGCTCGTATTTGAAAGGAGTGAAGTGGTGTAGAGAATACAAGCCATGGAAATGGAAAGCAGAGAGGTTACACTTACTCAGCAGGGAGGTCAGAGTGGCAGCTTTCACAGGGAAGACGAACTGTGCCTCGAAGGCCAGTGACGGGGACAGGGAGTCGCTGGAGCCAGAGGCTGCCTGGGTATCCCCTGAGATAGATGAGCAAGCCATTCTCAGGGGAACAGGTTCGCTGATGAGGACGGTGAGGGGCAAGGCTCAGGGAAACCATGGAGGGGTCAGGACTAGCAGTGGTGATGAGAACAGAAAGAAGTGCCCCAACAGAAAGGGAAAAAAGACCAAAACCAGATGGAACCTGGCAGCTGAGTTTGTTTTCTCAAACTTGGTCCTCGAATCAACTGCACTGGAATCATCTGAGGAGCGAAATGAAAACGAAATGCAGGTCCCCAGCCCCACTCCTGGTCTGCTGAGCTAGAGTCCCTGGGAGTGGGGCCCAGGAGTCTGTGTTTTAACCTGTTTCCCGATGAGTCTGTTGTGCACTAAAAACTGAGAACTTCTAGATTAGACAAACAGGAAAGAGCAGAAGAAGAGGTGATAGATTACCCAAAGGTTTCAGCGACTGCAAATGGTGTCGATTTTCAGCTCACAGCCAACGACCCTTCTCGCGCCTTCTCCCCATCATTTGCCAAACTGACTGCCATACTCGTTCCCAGACTAAACTTCCCCAAACACTGATTTGATCACACCCTGCCTGTGCTCAGGAGCCCAGAGCAGCTTTCCACTGCTCGAAGCATTAAATCTGAACCCCTCCCCGGCAAAGTCCAGCCCCAGCCACCTCGCTGACCCTGACTCCTGCTCCACTAGGTCTAGGTTGCCCCTGTCCTGTCAAGCTATCCTCAGAAAATAACAATGGAAGCCCATGCTCAGGGCTTCACCGCGAGTCCTGGGACACAGAGGACGGGCAGGGAGGGGTCGGGCGCTGCACCCACGTTGGCAGGACAGAGGCACGGACACACACACCTACAGCGAGGGTGGCTGCCTGCACTTGGGCCTGAAGGAACGTCTATTCACCCATTGAAGGTTGCCTGCCACCCAGTGCAAGCCTGTTTTGCGGTCCAGGGATGCTAGGAGATGACACGAGCTGACCGCTGCCATCTGCAGCACGCGCCACACGAGGGATGGCCCAGCTGTGTGAAGGCTGACCGCTCCCGGCCCACCTTCCTCCCAACCTACTGCTTGGGAAGCCTCATCAGCTGCATCTCCCTCCTAAGAACACGTCCTTCCTTCCTCGCCCACAGCCTCTCCTCCTCATGCATAATTAGCTCAAGATCCTCAAAGCAAAATAAGCTGGAAGAATGTCCCAGCCGTCCTCATGGTGGACCTGAGACCATCCACCACGACCTCCTGACACCATGGGGTGACCTTGGATGCTCAGTCCTAGCTCTGCCTCTTTTCAGCAAGTGTCTTTGATGAGCAGCCTCCTTGGTCCTTAAGAGCCAGGGATTATCCACCATGTTCCTCCCCGATCCCCAAGCCCAAGATTGTGTGAGGAGATAGGGGACATGGGGACATTCCAATTGTGCAGGCCAAGAAGAGAACCCACTTGTGATTGCACACTTAGTAGTCCAGGGCAAGGGTCACAATTGAACTCTATCGGTCCCCTCTCTTCACGAGCTCACAGCACTTGCCTGGAAGCCCCCATCTGGGCACTTAACCACCCGCCACAGTCTGCTGCCCTGCGTGTCTGGGGAAGCCCTGAGTCCTGAGCAGCTGGAACTAAATGCATGATGTCTCCTGCCTCTCCCATGGCGCCTAGTATTGGTGCATCACATAATACATACTAAATAAATCTTCTATTGGTTCAGATTCTGTTATTTTTACAAAATGCACATTTTACTCTGTGCTTCCCTCAAAACTTTATCCCATGTCAAATAAATATAATTTCTGTTTACCAGTTTACAGCAAATTAAGAAACTTTTCTATAATCACACAATAATATCTTTTTTTAATTTTATTATTATTATACTTTAAGTTTTAGGGCACACGAATCACACAATAATATCTTTGTGGCTGTTTATTTGAGAAGCTCTCAGAGTTCATCCAGATGGCTGGCCGTTCCATTTCCCTCTCTCCAGCGTGCCTTTTCAAATCAGATGTAACAGAAATTTACCTAACGAAATTACCCAAGGCCCAAGGCCTAGGAAAGTAAAATAGCCTTAAATGAAAGTAGAATGTCGGTGAGAAATAATTTATAATAAAATATGAGGAACATTAGCAGGTGGTGAGAATATTGTATTAGCTTTATGACCCAGAAAAAAAAATTGCTATGAGGGTATCCCTGCTTAAATTATCCTATTCTGGCCAGTATGAATTTATTATTACATTGTTTTAATCCCAAAATTATTTTAAAGTAGGTGACGGTTTATGAGCTAAAGCTCAAAAAAACCATTGTATGTATACAACTGCTGAATTGTTCTAACATCTGATGCCTTCCCAAGTTTGCAATAACACCACAAATGGATCTCATGGAAACCACTTCTCACAGAAAGTTCAGTAGCCGATTTTACGATACATGGCTACACATGTCTGCGTATCTGGGAAAAAGATCAAGACCTGAAGCCGCATTTGAAGGACAAAATTGCCTTGCTGTTATACTGTTTTTAACGTATGCTGTACATTATGCTTTACAATAGCTAAAATGTGCCAAAGAACAAAATCCCCGCCCTAGAGGATTTACAGTCTAGAGGCACAGATGTTAAGAGCCAAGGAAAACGCCAGGAAAGTTGTGAAAGTCTTTGGAATTGAAAGGCCTCTGCTCATCAGGTAAGTTTTCAAACCCGCGGCAGCCTCCGCCAGATGGGCTGGGAAGTGTGACAGCCCTTTAGGCACTGGTGTCTCTCGGGCCCAGAGCTATGAGGACGTGCTTTGCTGGAACTTCTTGTGGGCCAGACATCTGGTGACTCACCAGAGCTACTACGATTAGGGCAGAGAGCACAGCTCCACATTCCCTCATCTTCCAGGTCTATGAGCCTAAGGAATGTGATGGGCTAGTGGGAAGGAAAGTCTTTTATTGTGTAACAGTTTGCCTTTCAACAGTCTACTTCTGGACAGCCAGCTGTTGCCTCCAGATGATAGTTGGGGGTTTTTTGGTTTGTTTGTTTTTTGTTTTGTTTTTAGACGGAGTTTTGCTCTTTTTGCCCAGGCTGGAGTGCAGTGGCACATTCTCAGCTCACTGCAACCTCTGCCTCCCGGGTTCAAGTGATTCCCCTGCCTCAGCCTCCCGAGTAGCTGGGACTACAGGCATCCACCACCACACCCAGCTGATTTTTGTATTTTTAGGAGAGATGGGGTTTCACCATGTTGGCCAGGCTGGTCTTGAACTCCAGACCTCAGGTGATCCACCCACCTTGGCCTCCCAAAGTGCTGGGATTACAGGTGTGAGCCACCACGCTCAGCCCAAGTGATAGTTTTAAAAAGAGAGAATCATCGCTAGATCATTGCGGTTACATTTATATTGAAAGAAAAACGTAGATCATACAAGCTTTCAAGAGCACCCGAAGGTTCTCAGGAGGTGCACAGCAGATGGGTCGGACACAGGAAGGCTAGGAGAGCCATGTGCAGGCTCAGCCGTGGAGTCAGGCAGACCTGGGCTGAGGTCTCAGCACTGCACAGCTGGACCTCCAGCAAGATACTTAACCTCTCTGAATTTCAGCCTCTTAGACAATAGAGATAAGAAGAGCCTCACTGAGTTTCCATGAAGATTAAATACAATCATGTATATCACAGGGGTCCCCAACCCCTGGGCCACAGACCGGTACTGTGGCCTATTAGGAACTGGGCTGCACAGAAGGAGGAGAGTGGCAGGCGAGCCAGGGAAGCTTCATCTGCATTTGCAGCTGCTCCCCATCGCTCAGATGGCCACCTGAGCTGCGCCTCCTGTCAGATCCGCGGCAGCGTTAGATGGTCATGGGAGCGTGAACCCTTTTGTGAACTGCGCATGTGAGGGATCTGGGGTGTGTGCTCCTTATGAGAATCTAATGCCTGATGATCTGTCACTGTCTCCCAGATGGGACCGTCTAGTTGCAGGAGAACAAGCTCAGGGCTCCCACTGATTCTACATGATGGTGAGTGTATAATTATTTCATTATATATAACAATGTAATCACAACAGAAATAAAGTGCACAATAAAGGTCATGCGCTTGAGTCATCCCAAAACCATCCCCCATGCCAGTCTGTGGAAAAACTGTCCTTTACAAAACCAGTCCCTGGTGCCAAAAAGGTTGGAGACCATGATATACATAAATGGGTTACTTCTCAATCTAAGCTACAGCCAGCGTTCCATTAGCAGTAGCTTTTTAAAAGCTCACTCTCCAGCATGGATGGGATCTGTCCTCTCTGGAGGGCACAGGAATCCCATCTAGGCTTGTGGCTTATGGGGGTTTGATGCTCCCTAGCACGTGGGTGGCAGAGACTCCATAATCCGGGGCCTGAAAGGCTGATCAGGACGGGAAGTTTGCAGAGCACCCTGCCCAGGAGGGCAAATCCCAGAGACCTAGGCACCCCCAGCCAGCCTGGCTGCAAGACCCGACACAAACTGTATCACCTTTTCCACACACAAGCGTCCTTTTTAGGGAAGGGCAGGGTGGGGGACATAGACTTCTAAAGCCCCATCCATTTCTGTTAGATCCTAAGCTCCAACTCTGTGACTAGAACCCCACCCTACAGACTCACAAACCTGGGGCAGGGGTCAGAATGCAGCCCGGCAGGAACAGGGACAGGGATGGGTGCTCCGCAGGGATGTGGAGGGGGAGGCTGCTGGAGCAGCAGGGACCCCTCCCCTCCCCTCTAGGCAGGGCTCAAAAGGGAGGTGGTGGGGTGTGACAGTGGGGACAGCACCCTGCAGTTCCGGAAGAGGACACACTGCCAACCCTCACCTTCCCAGCCTACCTGCCTGCCAGCCTCCCAAAGAGGCCTCAGGCCCAACCCCAGTGACATCAGAACAAAGGACACAGCAAGATGGGGAGCTGTGAGCAATGACCTTCGCAGCAAGGGTTGGGATCACCCGCATTCTCTTAAGGGTCATGGGTGAAAATATCCAGCAGGTAGAAGAAAAGGAATTACAATTTTCAGAGCAGCTAACAGTTGCTGTGCTCTGGCATGAATAATATCAGTGTAATGCTTTCGTTTGTTCTTTATAAAAGATCCTCTACCTGCTAGCACAGGCTTCCACCTATTAAGACAGGGAGGAAAATAAAGCCATTATCTGCATTCCGTGAAGCACCATATGGTTACACACGGGCCTCCAGCCAAGGGAGGGTTCTCACCAAGCCTCTGTGTACAATTCAAGAGCAAAATTAAGTCGTTATGCTATATTAGATTGGCATCAGGAAAGGAGGGCCAGGAACTCAACAGAACCGTGAAGAGAAAAATCTCTTTTTTCTTTTTCTTTTTTCTTTTTCTTTGAGACAGGGTCTCACTCTGTTGCCAGAGGCTGGAGTACAGTGGCACAATCACAGCTCACTGTAACCATGACCTCCCGGACTCAAGCAACCCTGCCACCTCAGCCTCCTGAGTAGCTGGGACTACAGGTGTTCACCACCACACTAGGCTAATTTTTGGTGTTTTTTTTTTTGTAGAGACGGGGTCTCACTATGTTGTGTTTGAACTCCTGAGCTCAAGCGATCCTTCTACCTCGGCCTACCACAGTGCTGGGACTATAGGAGTTAACCACCGTGCTCTGCCAAAACACTCCTTAGCTTCATTCTTTTTTTAATCTCCTGGTTTCTGAGTTACCTTGAATGTCTCAAAAACCATAATGGGGATCAGCCAGATTTGACTGCACAGACAGCTTCTGTTATTCAATCTGCATACTTTGAAACTAAGTATGACAATTTCAGTCCTTTGCAAGATACATAGCCTAATAATTCTAATAACCATATACTGTTATGTCTAAATAAGCAGACAGATCAAAAGAAATTTACTCAAAACTCAAAGTTTTAAAACAGTAAAGAATAAATTGATACATTTATGGTTTTAATCTCATTGAATCCTCCAATAGGAGAGCCACTTGTCTGAGACCCTGCAGCTTTTAAAGAGTAGAGCAGGGATGAGGGCCCACATTCAAATCCAGAGCTCCTGGCAGGGCACCCAGGTTTGTCACCTGACAATGACATCAATGAGAGAAGCGGCAATAGGAGAGGAAAGGGACATGGAGTGGCCCACCTCCTCACAAGATAAGACCCTAATAGTAGGGGCAAGATGTGAAAACCAGAGACACACATGCACAAACAGGTTATGAGCCTCATGAACACAGAACATCATCTGGTAATAAAATAAAAATAGTCTAGCTGGGCATGGTGGCTCACGCTTACAATCCCAGCACTTTGGGAGGCCGAGGCGGGAGGATCACTTGAGGTCAGGAGTTCGAGACCAGCCCGGCCAACATGGTGAAACCCCATCTCTTAAAAAAAAGAAAAAGTCAGGATTTTTTCAGATCATTTTAATGGTGTGACTAGCGCATACTTCAAAAAGAGAGTAAAAGAAGAACTATGAACTAATATTCATTGGGATTTTAGTTTAACTCTGATACTTATACCATAATGCACATTCTCTAAGCACTCCAAATCTCAACTGTACTGTAAAACTATTTTCCAGAACATTGCTTACCCTATTTAAGAGCATAACCTCACCACCTTCTCCTCCAAAGGCAACGGCAGTTTGCATGGAAAAAGAGCATGGCCCAAAAGCCAGCAAAGCAAAGGGAGAAAGAACCTTATTCTCCTCCTTGTGATTTAGTGGGGCGATGCCGTTCAAGCCTTTTTCACCCATGCTTCCTTTTGACGAACATAAAATATCTCACGCCCTCCTTTCATTTCACCTGAAGTAAAATTAAGTGCATCAATGAAAAACATCAAAGCAATGATATTTTAAAAGAAAAATATTTCGCCTCTCCCTCCTCCCCCTCCCCCTCCCACTCTCCCTCTCCCTCCCCCTCCCCCTCTCCCTCTCCCCACAGTCTCCCTCTCCCTCTCTTTCCACGGTCTCCCTCTGATGCCCAGCCGAAGCAGGACTGTACTGCCACCATCTCTGCTCACTGCAACCTCCCTGCCTGATTCTCCTGCCTCAACCTGCCCAGTGCCTGCGATTGTGGGCGCGCGCCGCCATGCCTGACTGGTTTTCGTATTTTTTTGGTGGAGACGGGGTTTCGCTGTGTTGGCCGGGCTGGTCTCCAGCTCCTAACCGGGAGTGATCTGCTAGCCTCGGCCTCCCGAGGTGCCGGGATTGCAGATGGAGTCTCGTTCACTCAGTGCTCAATGTTGCCCAGGCTGGAGTGCAGCGGCGTGATCTCGGCTCTCTACAACCTCCACCTCCCAGCCCCCTGCCTTGGCCTCCCAAAGTGCCAAGATTGCAGCCTCTGCCTGGCTGCCACCCCCTCTGGGAAGTGAGGAGCGTCTCTGCCTGGCCGCCCATCGTCTGGGATGTGAGGAGCCCCTCTGCCTGGCTGCCCAGTCTGGAAAGTGAGGAGCGTCTCTGCCCAGCCGCCATCCCATCTAGGAAGTGAGGAGGGTCTCTGCCCGGCCACCCATCGTCTGAGATGTGAGGAGCCCCTCTGCCCCGCTGCCCAGTCTGGGAAGTGAGGACCGCCTCTTCCCGGCCGCCATCCCATCTAGGAAGTGACGCGCGCCTCTGCCCCACCACCCCGTCTGGGATGTGAGGAGCGCCTCTGCCCGGTCGCGACCCCGTCTGGGAGGTGAGGAGCCCCTCCGCCCGGCAGCCACCCCGTCTGGGAGGTGGGGAGCGTCTCCGCCCAGCAGCCGCCCTGTCCAGGAGGGAGGTGGGGAGTCAGCCCCCGCCCAGCCGGCTACCCCGTCCGGGAGGTGGGGGGCGCCTCTGCCCGGCCGCCCCTTCTGGGAAGTGAGGGGCCCCTCTGCCCGGCCGCCACCCCGTCTGGGAGGTGTACTCAACAGCTCATTGAGAACGGGCCATGATGACGATGGCGGTTTTGTCGAATAGAAAAGGGGGAAATGTGGGGAAAAGATAGAGAAATCAGATTGTTGCTGTGTCTGTGTAGAAGGAAGTAGACATAGGAGACTCCATTTTGTTGTGTACTAAGAAAAATTCTTCTGCCTTGGGATCCTGTTGATCTGTGACCTTACCTCCAACACCTGTGCTCTCTGAAACATGTGCTGTGTCCACTCAGGGTTGAATGGATTAAGGGCGGTGCAAGATGTGCTTTGTTAAACAGATGCTTGAAGGCAGCATGCTCGTTAAGAGTCATCACCACTCCCTAATCTCAAGTACCCAGGGACACAAACACTGAGGAAGGCCGCAGGGTCCTCTGCCTAGGAAAACCAGAGACCTTTGTTCACTTGTTTATCTGCTGACCTTCCCTCCACTGTTGTCCTATGACCCTGC
This sequence comes from Homo sapiens, assembly GCF_000001405.40. Taxonomy (NCBI): domain Eukaryota; kingdom Metazoa; phylum Chordata; class Mammalia; order Primates; family Hominidae; genus Homo; species Homo sapiens. The sequence continues at coordinate 183,818,154 of NC_000004.12, read as the reverse complement.
CAAGTCCCCCTCTGCGAGAAACACCCAAGAATGATCAATTAAAAAAAAAAATTATACTAAAAAAAAAAGAAAAGAAAAAAAGAAAAATATTTATAGTCGCCTTGAAACATACATATTTTTTCTTGTCATGTAATTTTTTTTAATGCTGAGGGTGCTTGCTCACCGAAAGTACAGTGATAGTTACTTCATACCCAAGTGTTCTGCTGCGTGAGGTGGGGAGAACAGTGCAGCAAATGTCTGTGAGTGAAAGAAATAAGATAATACCTGAAGATGCACATTTGCTTGTTTTAATGTAAGATAACCACAGTGATCTGTAAAGTATATCTGGCACCTGAATCAAATTCCTCTTCCCAAACCTCGCTTGGAGTTCTCTTTTCAATACCATCGGTGAGAAAAGGTCTCTCCTCACAAGTCACAAAGGCAAATCTCTACTCATGTCAAGAGTAGGTGACCTGAATTCACCTAAACTGGATGAGATGTAACTTCTCAAAAGTCACTCTCACGAAGTCTTGAGAGTGTCATCAAATTGGTGGCTTATAATTATTTTAAAACCTGTTTATAAATGCATGAACTATAATGTTTGTTTTTATCCCTTGAAATTTCTATTTCTGTGTATTTGGAGTTTCCAGTCTTTCTACCAAATACACAATGCTCCACCTGAGGACTTTTCTTAAGTACAAACAATTTGATTTTTTCCCTGGCGATCCAAAAATAGGGCTACTATGTCTTTCAGCTCATAGTCTGGCAACCATACTTCCCACTGATCGCCAGCAAAGGACGGACCCTGCAGCCAGCATGCAAAGGGTTGCAAAGCAAGGCACGCCTCCGGGTGTGTGGCACGTTCTTTTGAACCCAGTGAACCATCTTGTTGGTAAGGACTGAGGTTTTCCCCTAGATTACTAAGCAGTTTTGAAAGCCATTCTTTTATGAATGACACAGATCAGCCCCCAAAATAGTTGGAGGGTTCTTTTCCTCTTTGCTTCAGTTCACTAGCTTCCAAGAATGTGGACACCATTTCAAAGCTTTAGTGGTGGCCACCTACCTGCAGAAAACAGTAGTCCTTTTCCATCTCTCATGACTTGAGGCATGTGCTGCACTCACCAGGAGTTGAACACAATTGCAACTATCAGAGCTCACAGCAAAAATGATGACGTGATCTGAGGCAACACTAGAAATTCAATAGCTTCAGCGAAGTCATCAATTCAGCCAATGCAGCCCTTGCCCGTACAGTTAGACAAAGACATCATCTGGAATTTCATCCCCATTTCCTCTGCAAAGAAGTTTTGGCAGACACAAAAATACGCTAATTTTCATGAGCCTATCTTTAATGAGGACTTTTTAAAATCTTTTCAAGTTACAGGATTATTTAATATAAAATTTTCACAGCTTTTGTGGATTTCGATAATGTGTTCCAGTTCCATTCCATCTCATGTGTGGAAGAAAAGTGATGTTTCCAAAATAAATGAATACACTTCACCATTTAAATTTTTTTGAATTTTTTTTTTAAATTTTATATTCAGGGGATGCATGTGCAGATTTGTTACACAGATATATCATGTAATGCTGAAGTTTGAGCTTCTGGTGAACCCATCACCCAAATAGTGAATACAGTACTCAATAGGTGGTGTTTCCACCCTTCCCCCTCCTCCTCCCTCCTTTTAGGGTATCTGATGTCTACTGTTCCGATTTTTATGTGCATGTGTACCCATTGTTTTGCTCCCGCTTATAAGTGAGAACATATGATATTAACTTTCTGTTTCTGCATTAATTTACTTAGGATAATGGCCTCCAGCTGCATCCAAGTTGCTGCAAAGGACATGATTTCATTCTTGTTTATGGCTGCATAGTATTCCATGCTTTATCTAATCCACTGTTGATGGGCACTTGTGTTGATTCCATGACCTTGCTATTGACGTCACCATTTTTAAAATAAGACTTTTATGACTAAGGCTAACTGGCACCACTGCTCAGCTTTTAAAAATATATCCAATATTCCTCTTACTCTTCACAATATACATTCATGTCCACATGAATCACTCATGAAATCGCTGGTTATTCCTTACGAATCGATTTGGTTTTCTTCCAAATTGACCCAGGAATTCTGAAATTTGGCAGGCCTGCAAAGTGAGGAAGATGTTACAATAATGTACTGTTGGACACTGGATGCTAAGGTTACTCCAGGTGTCCAACCACGTATGCAAGATTTTTTATCATTTCATGTCAATAGTATCAATAATATAAAAATAAGTGGTTGATTTTAAAAAAATACACACACAAGTTGTCTAAAGTTTGACATTTTCCTCTGCCTTCCTGAAAATAGACACTTTTCAACATCATTTATACCTTATTTAAGGTATCGCATTTGTTGCCCATGCAGTGTTCGAGAGACCTCATTCAAAAGATCTCGTGTTTACCTACCCATGCTGAGGACCACAAGGTTGAACAGTAACAATAAAGTCCACTGTGTCCTGTAATTAATATCTCACTTCACTCTGTTTCTTCTCAACTATGAGTAAAAGAATTTTATTCCCCTTCCTTCACAACAAAAATGTTCTGCAATTATAGTTTTCTCTCTTGCTTGTCAAAGAGCTAAACAGGCCAATCTCACTGGCTTTTTGTAATTGTCCAATTTATTTTATTTTATTTTTAAATTGAGATATAATTAATATATCATTTATTAAAAATCTATAGTTCATTTTAATTTCTAAAGCAATGTTGTAACTGAAATAAATTTAATATATGCTATTAAGTGTCATCATCATTAGACTGATACATTTTATAGTATTTTGCTAAGATTAAGCCTCTTTTGACTACAATTCCATTTCCCCACTTATGCATCTTCACAGTGGGTTTTTTAAAGCAACAACACAGGCCCACAGTGGTCCACACCTATAATCCCAGCACATTGGGAGGCTGAGACGGGAGGATCGCTTGAGTTGGAGACCAGCCTGGCAATATAGCAAGACTCCTTCTCTATTAAAATAAAAAAAAAAAATTAGCTGGGCATGGTGGTGGACACCTACAGTCCCAGCCACTCGGGAGGCTGAGGTCAGAGGATCACCTGAGCCAGGCAGCCACAGCAAGCTATGATCACACTGCTGCACTCCAGCGTGGGCAACAGAGCGAAACCTTGTCTTGAAAAAAAATAAAATAAAATAAAATAAAATATTCCCCCCAAAAGAAGGACTCTAAATCAAATCTTTTATTCAATTTTCTTTTTACTAAATCTTTATACTCAAAGTAACATCATTTATCGCTAAAGAAAATCTGAAAATGAAGAAAAAAGACTAAAATCACTTAGTTCTCTAACCCAAATCCAACCACTATTAATATTCACAGTATTAATATTTGTGTATTTTTGTATGTATTTTAATATTTGTGTTGTACCCAACAAACGGAATGTGCAGAGGGTCCTAAATGCTGGCCACAGGCTGGCACTAGACCCTGGCTTGGTGTAAACCGTGCCAGGCTCTGGTTGTCTGCCAGGTGACTAATTCAGGAGGTGGGCCACGGGGCATGTATTTGTTTGCTCACTCATTTATCTATTTAAAGTTCTCAGATGATTCTGACACACAGAAAAATTTGCAAATTACCAGTTTCAAGCACGGACCCTGGATCCCACAGGCAGACCTGGTCCCGATGCAGTCCCATCACTCAACATGGCTGAGCAAGATTACACAACCTCTCTAAGCTCAGTGTCTTTGTCCGCAAAATGAACAAACCAAGAGCCATTTATAAAAATTAAGTGAGAAAATTACTCGGCAAAGTCCCTAAAACATAATAATTACTCAATATACAGTAATTATTGTTATTCTTTCCCATCTTCCCTAAGCATCTGGTTTAAGATTCTGTTCTAATTTGTATTGTTGTGAAATATTCCATGTGTTTCTAAGTGACATTATATATCATAAGCACTTTTCTATGTTGCTTCATAACCTTCATAGATATTTTAACGGCTATATACTATTCCATCCAATATAAAGAACCATAATTTACCTAATATTTTCCATTCGTGGCATTTAGATTATATGCAATTTTTCTTCCTTAAAAATTGTGTAATGAATAGCTTCCTACATATAGCTCTCTACAAAATGTAAGATGCAGTAACTCTATTTCTAGGACTATCTCTAAGACAATATTACAAATATTCCAAAATTTTGCAATATTATCTTAGAGATAGCCCCAGAAATAAAATTACTACATCAAACTATATGAACATTTAGATGGCTTTCTCATACAGACTGCCAAGATACTTTCCAAAGAAGAGTTTTTTCAACTTATAATTTCACTGGCAGCACATTAAGGTATCAGATTTATTTTACCCTTGTCAGTACTGAGTGTTTTTCCCCCAGTGTTAAAATGGTAGTTTAGAAATTACTACCAGCCGCCAATTAGCATTGACTCTACCTGTGAGGATATTTATGTAATACTTATAGATCCACATTACATAGAAAACTGAGCTCGAAAATATAAACTGAAGTTTATAGTCTCCACCCTCAAAGGAATTACAATCTAATGGGAAAGACACATTCAAAGTGTCCTGCTAACATAAGCAAGTAGAACACACAGGCCTCCCTCGGTACAGAGGATCAGATACCAAGAATACGAAAATCCACGGATGCTCAAGTCCCTGACATCAAATGGCAGAGTATTCACAGATAACCTACTCACATCCTTCCAGATTCTTTAAATCATCTCTAGCTTACCCATAATACCTAAAGCAATGTAAATAGTTGTTAGACTACATTGGCTGTTTTTTCTTTTTTCTTTTTGAGACAGGGTCTCACTCTGTCACCCAAGCTGGAGGGCAATGGCATGATCTCAGCTCACTGCAACCTCCACTTCCCGGGTTCAAGCAATTCTCCTGCCTCAGCCTCCCAAGTAGCTGGAATTACAGGTGCCCGCCACCTTGCCCGGCTAATTTTTGTATTTTTAGTAGAGACGGGTTTTCACCATGTGGACACACTGGTCTCCAACTCCTGACCTCAAGTGATCTGCCCCCCTCGGCTTCCCAAAGTGCTGGGATTACAGGCATGAGCCACCATGCCCTGCCTGTATTGGTTTTTTATTTGTATTTTTTCTGAATATTTTCCATCTGCCATTGGCTGAATCTGTGGCCCCAGAACCCACAGACACGGAGGGCTGACTTTAAATGCAAATTATTTTTTTAAATAATTGATCACATAAATGGTAATCATTTTCAACTTTTATGACTTGAGAAGGCAGTGTGTGAAATATCTTCATTGAAATGCTTGGACAATCTTTTTGGTATGAGAACAAAATCAGCACAATGACCTACATACTTGGAAAATTAAATATGTTAGCAGTGTTACAAAGGGCTGCATTCATTCATTAGAGTTCAGAACTTTTGAGTACATGGGGTCAGGGCTTAGAGAAAATCATTCACATTCTCTCTACACAACTGCACACACTCTAAATCCCTCCTTGAAAGTAAAAGCATTTTTTTTATTAGATCACACTCTCGATCCTTAGACTGGGCAGTACAGATTTATATTCTGAAAAGTCAGTCCTCACAAGTAGTCACAGAAATGATGTGAACTCACCAATTCATGTTGAGCTGCTCTTTAGAAACAACTGTAATGCATATTCTATCAGCACGTAACTGAGTTTCTACTAATAAACTTCCAGAAATTTTAATGAGGGAAGAAAAAATCATTTAAAAATTTAATACTGATTTTAGCACTTTTTTAAACAAATCTAAAAACCCTTAAATTGCATAGACATTTTTAAAGGTATTAAGCACAATGCAACTTTATCAATTAATCATCAGTTTGAGTACATTTAAAGTAAATTTAAAGTTATAGTTTATTCAAATTACATGCAAATTTGCTGGCTAAATATGATTTCACATTTTAACTGCAAATATAGCTACAAACTGCTGGACTTTAAGAAAATCACAGACGGCTGGGCATGGTGGCTCACCCCTGTAATCCCAATGCTTTGGGAGGCCAAGGCAAAAGGGTTGCTTGAGCTCAGGAGTTTGAGACCTGCCTGGGCAACATAGTGAGACCCATCTCTACAAAAATAAAAATAAGTTAGTTGGGTGTGGCGGCATATGCCTGTAGTTCCAACTACTGAGGAGGCTGAGGTGGGAGGATCACTTGATTCCAGAAGGTAGAGGCTGCAGTGAGCCATAATCACACCACTGCACCCTAGCCTGGGTGAGAGTGAGACCCTGTCTCAAAAAAAAAAAAAAAAAAAAAAATCCAGGCTTTCTCACTAGGTCATTTTATAAGAAATGGGCTCACACTTAAGAATAAAAGAAACTGATATTATTTTAAGAAAACAAAGAAATTTTGGAGCTTTCTGAACCTTATCTCTTCCATAGTGTCAAAGACATATCTAAAGTATTCATTTTTAAAAGAAGAAAGAGAGGAGAGGAAAAAACTATTCATGAATTAAACTTTTTTCACAGGAAACATTTTCTAATTAGTCACATATCACTGAATTAACACCATCAACAATTTCCATGTGAATCTGTCTTCATGGACTTCTTCAAACTAAAGATTTGCTGCTATAAGCAGCTTCTATTCCCCTTCCTGCTTTTATTTACTTCTTGATTTGGCATAAGCAGTTTTAAACATAAACAATCTCTTCCACATGAAGGAGATGGAAGATTTAAAACAGGAGAAGCATGTGACAAAAACCAAAACTTGTCACCCAAAGGAACAGCATGGCGCTTCATACTTTAGGCCTGGATCAAATACCTGGTGCTTGTAACGTCTGAAAATCTGTTCCTAGGATTGCCTGAGGGAGCCGCTTGTTCTGTGAGCCAGTTTAACTCCATAGCAATGCCCACATTTCTCACCTTTCTGCTTTTGAATTCTGGATCTAACATAGACTTAACACAATATAAACTGGAAACAAACAAAAACAATTCCAATTTCCAAACCAACTGATGTAGTCTCCTAAGAATAAACGGGTGTCAGTCCCCATGTACCATCTATCACCCCTCCCCGTCCTTTGAAACTTGGTCAGTGACAAAGATTCTCTGCTTGGCCAAACTGTAGTCAGTCTCTTGAACCTTCTCGTAGGCCCATCTGTACACTTCCTTGTAAAATCACTTTAGCAAAAGAACCCTGCACTAAATCGGTTTGACAAGAACCCCAATCCTTGATATCTGATCAGGTTTCTCATCCCCCACCACCCCCGACGTGCTGTCTGATCACCCTGGCCTGTCTTCAGCAAGAATTCTATTAGGTAGGTTTAGCCAGAAATCCCCTCGTGCCTTGTCTTAGTCCATGTTGTGCTGCTATAACAGAATACCACAGATTGGTTAATTTATGAACAACAGAAGTATATCTGGCTTATGGTTCTGGAGGCTGGGAAGTCCAAAATCAAGGGGCTGAATTTTGTGAGGGCCCCCTGCTGTGCCACAACATGGGAGAAGCCATTGCATGGGGTGGGGGTGGGGGTGAGGGTGCAGGCAATTCATCCATTTATCCAGAACCCACTCCCAAGATAACAGCATTAATCCATTGATGAGGGCAAAGGACTCATTGCCTAATCACCTCTTACAGTTCCCACCTGTCAACGCTGTTGCACTGGGGATTAGATTCCAAGATACGAACTTTGGGGAACACATTTAAACCACAGCACCCCTGATGTTTCTTGGTAGTAATTTTCCAGCCACTGACTTCCACCCAGCTCTTTCTTTGGCAATGAATTGCCACTTGCCCATGCTGTGTTTGGAGTTGAGCCTAATTTCTCTCCCCTACTGCAAAACCTTGTTGCACTGCTTCCTGTACCTACCATGGTGGTCCTGATAAAGCCTTCCTCACAGTACTTTAAAAGTAACATTAAATAATTTTTTCTTTAACCTAGGGCAGAAGCATCCTCAACAGTCCCTGGTCCAGATACACAATGAAGGAGGTTTCTGGGCCAGAAAGTGAGCATTTTACCAACTCATTCCTACACCAGTCCCTCCCTGCAACTGCAAGGTGGCAGCTACACTTACCTCTGTCCCCACTACTCCTCCTTAGGGTCAAGGGTAGAGAATCCGGGTTTATTTATCCATGCAGAGCAGTACTGTAGTTACAAGGTCAAAAGGAAACCACCAAACAAGTTAATTCTTCATAGGTAAAAATGGCAGTGAACATTCGAGAGTTATGCTCTATGAATTCAGTTTACTGTTAGTGATTTACAAAAAGCTGACATTTCACAGTCTTCCATAGAAAAACCTATCTATAATTTTTTGGAGAATAAAAGATGCTCATAATTCAACTTTTAAAAAGTATTTCAGAGGGAAACAGCACTTAAAACATTTTATCAAAAATAGCAAATGCAAAATAAGTGTACTAAAGGAAAAGATACAACGGTAATGTTGAAAGTCTGTATGTTTTTCTGTTTTGGCTTCTAGAAAGTCAAGTACATAATCAAAACACAAATCTCTGTATTTCTCCAAAAGTGGAGAGTTGACTTAAAAAATAAAAGTCAGGGCCGGGAATGGTAGCTCACACCTGTAATTTCAGCACTTTGGGAGGCTGAGGTGGGCAGATCACGAGGTCAGGAAATCGAGACCATCCTGGCCAACATGGTGAAACTCCGTCTCTACTAAAAGTAGAAAAATTAGCTGGGTGTGATGGCACGTGCCTGGAATCCCAGCTACTCAGGAGGCTGAGGCAGAAGAATCACTTGAACAAGGGAGGCAGAGGTTGCAGTTAGCCGAGATCGAGCCACTGCACTCCAGCCTGGTGACAGAGCAAGACTCCGTCTCAATAAATAAATAAAAATAAAAATCAGATCAGGCCAGGCACAGTGGCTCACGCCTGTAATCCCAGCACTTTGGGAGGCCAAGGCGAGAGGATCACTTGAGGAAGAGTTCGAGACCAGCCTGGGCAACATAGTGACATGTCATCTCCACTAAAAAAAACTTTATTTTAAAGTTAGCTGGGTGTGGTGGCTCATGCCTGTAGCCCCAGTTACTTGGGAGGCTGAAGCGGAAGGATCTCTTGAGTCTGAGAGCTCAAGGTTGCAGTGAGCCGTGATCACACCACTGTACTCCAGCCTGGGAGACAGAGCAAGACTCCCTCTGTCTCAAAAATAAATAAATAAATAACAGCTCTAATTCGTATCCAAATTCCACAAAATTCAAGCATGTCCTATTGTTTACAATGCGTACAGATGAAAACTTTAGTACAAATTCATCACTACCCCTAGAAAAACAATTCAAAGCAATCAAGACCCCCAGTGTCTTAAAGTTTCTTAAAACAGTATGAGATTTTTTTTGCCATTTTTTTTAGCTCATCAGCTACCATTAGTGTCAGTGTATTTTATGTGTAGCCCAAGACAATTCTTCTTCCTATGTGGCCCAGGGAAGCCAAAAGATTGGACACCCCTGATCTAACAGAATGAAGAAGTATATAGCATAAAGACTGTCTTCTAGAATGTTCCTTTTTCAATATAAGAGGAAATGCTAAAGATACAGGTAAAAATGAAACAAAGATGCTAGAGTAACCATTATTATCTGGGAACAGACAGTGTCTAAAGTACTGCTTTTGTTTTTCTACATTACTGCATTTCCTATATTTAAAACGTACTGCTTTCTGCATTTTCTACATTACCTCACAGTCTACTAACGATTAAAGACTTTCCTTGGACAAACTTTTTGTTACAAATTAATAACCAGGCTCTGATGAAAGGAAAGTGATCAACCTAGACAAATTATGCTAGTCACAAAGTCCCCCAAAACAAAAAACAAAGGATGCTTCCCGTCTCTGCGGTTCTATATTAACTCCAAAGTGAGCAGGCCTTCCAAGGCTTTCCCAGCCTATCACGACCAACCCAGGACAGAGGGGAAGTGACCGGTCAGGAGAACCTGGAGCCCAGAGGCACTGCTGGAGGGAGTCAGGCGAGGATTGGAATGAATGGTGGCGCTGTAACAAGACTACAGGAGAGATGTAACCCTAACCGATGAGATAGAGAACTGGATTTCTTTCCAGAAGCGCCGCAGAGTTCACTGAGCTGTATCCTCCTTTCACTTCCTCAGGAAGAGTCCAGGAGAGTCTGGTTTATTGACCAGAGAACAGAGATTTAAAAAGGAAAAACCAAAGTGATTCGTCCAGACTGGACAGTTCTTTTCACCCAGCAGGTGTAATGTGGGGTCCATCTGCTACGGGAACCCGCGCTGATCCCTTAGTCCTCCTCCTGGCCTTGGCGAAATTGGCTGGGAGAGCTCAGCCCGCCCCGCAGGCCTGTTGGGTAGATAAATCCACAAAGAAAGCGGCCTGATTCCCAGCAAGAGCCTTCCGCTGCAGCCTCACGGACAGCAGGCAGCTGCTCCCCTCACACCTCCTCTTCCTCTATCTTCTCCCTCGCCTTTTTTCAGCTCCCAGTCATGCATCTGGGCCGTCTCCCATGCTCCCATCTCCCTGCTGACAGCCCACTGCTTCAAGAGCACCCTGGGCCCTCACCTGCCTACCCCACCTCCCCCAGCTCAGCCTCTTCCAGCTCCATCCACCCACCAGGGCTGCCAAACAAGCAGGCAGGATTAAGAAGCTGAGCTGGGAGTGGGGTGGGTGTGGGGTGTGGGGCTGTGAAGGCCGCAGAGATAAAGCGCAAGTGTTCCCTAGAGAAGGTGTCACCCAAAGCCAAATGACAAAGAGGGAAGGCGATGAGACACGGTGGCCAGAGAGGCTGCAAACCCTGGCGGCTCGGGCAGGCTCACTGGCGCCTTAGGCTGACAGGTGGTTTGCAAGGACTGCAGGACTGTCCCAAGAGTGGAAAGCATCCCAAAGGGGTCACACCAGAAGGGCCTGGGGACTGCTGTCCATAATAAAATTTGTTTTGGAAATCATATCCACCGTGGTGCCCCTCTAAATATGGAGAAGTTCTCCTCCCTTTTTCAGCATGAAAGTGTCAGAGGCCGGGCGCGGTGGTTCAGGCCTGTAATCCCAGCACTTTGGGAGGCCAAGACGGGCAGATCACGAGGTCAGGAGATCGAGACCATCATGGCTAACGCGGTGAAACCCCGTCTCTACTAAAAATACTAAAAATTAGCTGGGCGTGGTGGTGGTCGCCTGCAGTCCCAGCTACTCGGGAGGCTGAAGCAGGAGAATGGCGTGAACCCGGGAGACGGAGCTTGCAGTGAGCCGAGATCGCGCCACTGCACTCCAGCCTGGGCGACAGAGCAAGACTCCGTCTCAAAAAAAAAAGAAAAAAAGAAAGTGTCAGAAAGCATCTGGGACTCACAAAGGCCCCCTCCAGGCATGGGGGCTTCGAGCTGTGGGGCCGTGGGGGCAGTGCATGCGGGGGAGTCTGGAATCTCTGAAGACCACTTGCCTTACAAGGGCATGTCCTGGGCCCTACCGTCCTGAACACGAACACATAAATGTTTGTTTCCTCAAAATTTGGACGGCGGCGGACCTTATTTAGAAGTAGAAAGGCAGAGGTGTCATCATAACCTTTTGTTGCAATGGTTTGAAAAGAAAAAATAGTCCAAATCCTGGAGGGAAAGTGGGGGTCGGGGGAAGAAGGGAGGCACCTGACACAGCGCTGGCAGAGGCTGAGACAGAAGGAAATGCTGTCACACGCAGAGCTCTCAGGAAGCAGGCCACAGCGGGTCACTGCTCTGGGAAGCCAGCCTTCCAGCCAGCACCGCCGCAGTATCCCGGGGTTCACAGTGAAGACAGAAGGCTGCAGCAACCTCAGGCGGCAGGAAGATGGGGCGCCCCAGACTGGATTCCACCCCTTCAAGACACCAGGAAGCCCTCCGTGAGCTCCAGGGACTCCCGGATTCATGAGAAGGAGGTGATTTTGGACTCACTATGCATCCCCAGCTTCCATGCCAGAGAGCTAGACTAAGGGACATCATGTGCTTCCCAAACGTACGTTATTGGGGAGTGGGGAGGTGACATCCTGCTTACAGAAGCAAGTCATTTTACACTGACAGATGGGCTGTCACTTTAGAAAATTATTACAGGGCCTTCACAATAAATTGGGAAAATGGAGTCTTTAATCGTGTTTATTTTCATCTTCAGAGTGAAATCTACAGCACAGAGGTATGCTTCCAAAGTGTTAATGTCATAAGGACAAATTCAGACCTGGATCTGCTCAGCATGGGGTCTCCCACTGTCCCATGCACTTTCTCAACTTACCCACTTAATTCAGGCCCCAAAGACTTGGATGAATCCTTTCTACCTCTTTATCTAAGTCATTTATCCATTTATCAAATTCTCAAAGACACACCGCCAGCTCTGGCCCTTGGTAGTGTCCAGCCTGACTGGTCCGCATCAAGAGAGACTGATGCCAAGCTATCAAGAGCTGTTTAAGCCAGCTCATCCCACGCCAGTGTGATTTTTATTTTTACTTTTTGTATTTATTTAGATAGGGTCTCACTCTGTCACCCACGCTAGACTGCAGTGGCACAATCTTGGCTCACTGTAGCTTCCATCTCCCAGGCTCAAACGATCCTCCCACCTCAGCCTCTCAAGTAGCTGGGACCACAGTCACACAGCACCATGCTCAGCTAATTTTTTTAAAACTTTTTTGTAGAAATGGGATCTTGCCATCTTGCCCCAGGCTGGTCCAGAACTCCTGGGCTCCAGTGATCCCCTCACTTAGGCATCCCAAAGTGCTGGGATTATAGGCGTGAGCCACCATGCTTGGCCTACTGTGATTCAAGTGGATTAAAAGCTCTTGACAGAAGGCCTTCTTAAAAATCCAGATCTAGCTATTATTATAGTATACTATAAATTAAAAAATTAGATCCAAAGCTTGTACTTTGGCAATACATCTATTTATTCCTCATTGAGATAAACTATAGACCATATCGTTAGTTTCCCCCAAATTAAGAAATGTTGGAAATCATATCATGTCTACAGCTATGCAACAAGGGTTTAAAACTTATTTAACAAATATATAAACTAAGTAGAAGGATACAAGTACAATCTCCAAACTTCAAGTAACTAATGTTAAAGCCCACCTCATACACTGAAAATTTTATTTTTAAGGTGACCAGATCATCACTGTGTGTGATATTTTAGGCAGACTGAAGACATTTAAAATTCCTTGCAGCAAATAGTTTGTATATAACGAACTTTCCCGGGTTTTTACCGCAAAATATATGATCGACCTCAGGAACAGAAAGCATCTAAATACTTTCAACCCGTCGCAAGACACAGACACCGTTTCAGTTTAATGAGCCCTTTTAAAAGAACTTGGCAATAACCAGCAAATTTACCTCTTGATGCAATTTATTTTCCAAATTCAAAGTAAACCCACAAGGAAACAAACGTGCTCAAGATCATAATTAATCTATAAGCAGTAAAATTTATAAATCTTTGCAAAGCCAGATTTATCACAGCAAGACCTGGAATCTCAGAAGTTCATTCTAAATGCTTTATTACAATGAAACTGACAGCCTTTGCTGAAAACATCTTTGAGCCAAAGTGAGATAATTCATAAAAATGGTTTTTATGACTAGCTAGAAGTCACTAAAGTTTTAAATGCATCCTTGTTCACTGTTTAGACTTAATCCTGAGATTTTAATGTAAGAGATAAGCTTCTTTAGGAGCCAGGCCCGCTTCTTAAACTTCTCTAAATTTTCTGCCGACCCCAACCCAGTGCACATTTCTGGAGACTCATGCCTTCTCTCTGCAGAATACCATCCCACACGGCCCCACAGGACCTGGCCTGGGCCTGCTTCTGACCTCAGCTGCAGTCACACCTTCTTCTCCTTTCCTGGCTCAACAAGCCCAGCCCCATGGGCCACCCTCTCTGTTTCTCCAGCATAGCAAGCTGATTTCCACCTGCTCCTCTGTCATTGCTGGTTGGTGGATACCTGCCTCATTGGTCAAGTGTCACCCCAAATGAGGTACTGTCGAGTAGTCATCCAAAACACTGCTTCTAGCATCCCAGGGCCTGGGTTCACATCCCGGCTCTATCACTTATTAAGTAGGCATCCCTGGAGAACATTTATCTTTCTGTTCCTTAAGGTCCTTATTTGTATATGGATAAAATAATGATACCTAAATGGTATAGGTGTCTTAAAGATTAGATTAGATCATAAAAATAAAGCATTTAGAAAATAGTCGGTGATCAATAAATGTAAATGTTAGCTATTCTGTCATTTCTCCCCAGCGCTCTCTATTCTATCAAGTGCTTAATTTTTACAGCATTTAAAAATATTAGAAATTTTTATTTCTTTAATTCTTTTCTTTCTTTTTTTTGAGACAGAGTCTCACTGTCACCCAGGCTGGAGTGCAGTGTCGTGATCTCAGCTCGGCTCACTACAACTTCTGCCTCCCAGGTTCAAGCGATTCTCCTGCCTCAGCCTCCCAAGTAGTTAGGATTACAGGTGTCTGCCACCACACCTGGCTAATTTTTGTGTTTTTAGTAGAGACAGGGTTTCACCATGTTGGCCAGGCTGGTCTCAAAGTCCTGACCTCAGGTGGCCCACCTGCCTCAGCCTCCCAAAGTGCTGGGATTACAGGTGTGAGCCACTACGCCCAGACCATTTCTTTAATTTTTCAAATGTCTGTTGTGCCACTAGAATGGAGCCTCCAAAAGTACAGGGACTGTATCTGACTTGTTCTCCACTTCAGTGCCTAGAACACATCCCAGGAACTGGTGAATGCTCTAGTCACTGAATGAATCAATATCTACAATTTAAAAGGCTTTAAAACAATTGTTAAGCAATTCAAGCTATTCGTCTAGGAATATTATTCAATTTTAAGTTGACTTAAGTAAGTTATTGAACTGTAACTTCTTTTGAGTATACAAATGTCTGTGGAGTGTACATTTTTTTTTAATAATTCTAGGCCAGGCTTAGGTGCTAACATCTGTAATCTCAGCACTTTAGGAGGCTGAGACAGGAGGACTGCTTGAGGCCAGGAGTTCAAAACCAGTGATTTGGTTTGGAGCTGTGTCCCCACCCAAATCTCGTCTTATAGCTCCCATAATTCCCACATGTTATGGGAGGGACCCTGTGGGAGATGACTGAATTATGGGGACGGATCTTTCCCGTGCTATTCTCATGATAGTGAATGGGTTTCACGAGATCTGATGGTTTTAAAAAAGGGAGTTTGCTTGCACAAGCTCTCTTTGCCTGCTGCCATCCACGTAAGATGTGACTTGCTCCTCCTTGCCTTCTGCCATGATTGTGAGGCTTCCCCAGCCATGTGAAACTGTGAGTTCTCCATTAAACTTCTTTCCTTTGTAAATTGCCCAGTCTCAGGTGTGTCTTTAACAGCAGCATAAAAATGGACTGATACGGGCCGGGTGCGGTGGCTCACGCCTGTAACCCCAGCACTTTGGAAGGCCAAGGCAGGCGGATCAAGAGGTCAGGAGATCGAGACCATCACGGCTAATACGGTGAGACCCCGTCTCTACTAAAAATACAAAAAATCAGCCAGGTGTGTTGGCAGGCGCCTGTAGTCCCAACTACTTGTAGTCCCAGCTACTCGGGAGGCTGAGGCAGGAGAATGGCGTGAACCCGGGAGGCGGAGCTTGCAATGAGCCGAGATCGCACCACTGCACTCCAGCCTGGGCGACAGAGCGAGACTCCGCCTCAAAAAAAAAAGAAAAATGGACTAATACAACCAGCCTTGGCAACATAGGGAGACCCTGTCTCTACAAAAAAAAAAAGTTAAAAATTAGCCAGGCTTAGTGGTGTGTGCCTATAGCCCACCTACTAGGGAGGCTGAGGCAGGAGGACCACTTGAGCTCAGGAGTTGGAGGCTGCAGTGAGCCATGATAGTGCCACTGCACTCCAGCCTGGGCAACAGAATGAAACCTTGTCTCAAAAACAAAAAAGAAATCTGTCTTAAAAATCTACTATTTGGGGAAATCACTTCAAGAAAGCAACTCTTTTTGAGAAAACCAATAAAAATTTTGGAAAAGAATAAAATCTTGATGCCCATGTGTTCTAAACAATTTTATAATGCAAAATACAAGTTCTGATATAAAGTCTAAAAAAGTGTATTTGGTCTGAACTATTTAAACATGTGAGGATCAAATGGGAAAGTGTAAAGTGCCACTTTCCCATTTGGGGACAGAGATGCACCTGTGCTCCCTGAGGTCTGGAGGGGGAGCACGCACATGGCTCCACACAAAGGCTAAGGGCTTGTGGCCGAGGCTAGAAGGCCCTCCAGCCTCAACCAGACTAATGGTGTCTTTCTTCGGGTACTAACCGTGGCCTGTGCAAGTGTACCGAAGGAGAGCAAACACTCTAAAGAAGCACTTGGCATTTCTCCCTCTGTTTCAATAGGCCTAGCTAGTGCTCCTATTTCTTTCTAATCCCCTCCCAGTCCCACCCTTCACCCTCACTGGCATGGAATTCTCATTGTAACACAGATCAAATCACTTCATTCCCACCCTTGCTTAGAAGCCTCCAGTGGCTTCTAGATCTTCACATCTGGCCCTCTCCCACCTTTCCATTGTCTTATCACCCCAGCCAGTTTCCAAACACATCAGGAACTCTCCAACCCCAAGCCTTCACTCAAGCTCCGGGCACCTCCTTCCCCAGCAGGGAAAGTTCTCCTGCTCTGCAGGAACTCCCGCCCCACCCCCATCTCCATCTGCACAAGATCAAGTTCAAGCCTCATACCTGGGAAACCTCCCCTACCAGCTCACAAGACAGAAGTAACTGCTTCTCGTTCACTCAAAACAAAGAGTCCTCAAAGCATTTAGCACACTCTCAATTTCTTATGTCAGAATACCCCAAAAGATGGCATGTCCCATCAGTCTTCCTATTTGCAGGAGTGACACAGAGGCTGGCGCTAGAAAGCACTCAATAAACATGTATGGGCTTTAATTTACTGTGATTTACTCAAAATACATAGCACAATTTTAAAACATTACCAGCATCCTGTATACCCTTTGAAGGGTTCTGAAAATCAAAAGTCCAAACTTTTTTTCTATATGCCCACAGTAGGTTATTTCTAAGAATGGACTTGCAAATTCTAGTAGGTTATTTCTAAGTAGTGAATTGGAAGATGCCAAGTCAAAACCACTTTTCCTTTGAGTGGCTTAACACCCTGCTTCTTGTTGAATCCAGTAATTATCTCCTTGTTGTCCAACCCTCACCTGAAGTTTTACAGTTGGTTAGAACCATATACTTTTGGAATTACAGGCACCAAAATGCTTATGATTTCAACACAGGTGTTTCAAGTTACAGCATAAAATATTAACTCCTGGCAAATCCTGCTGTGAAAGTGTAGGTTTGCCTCAACTGTACCACAGCACAGCCAGACAAAAGCACCGGGGCTTGCCTGTCTCGCCCCGCCTGTGAGCCTCTCTGCTCTGGGTTGTGTGAAATCATGCACCCAGGCGAACCCAAGTCAAGAGACAGGGCAAAACCGTTCCTCTCCTTTCTTCACTGGCAGGATCTAATGGGACACTTTTATTACCACTCTCTATGGTGGGATCTAAGAGATCATCTGAAACACAACCAATTTTTATAAATAATCTGTATCCCCCACAAGAATGATAAGACTTAAGCAAACTTTTGGCTACCAGTTATTTCAGAGGACTATTGGTAACTGATGAGCTTAATTCAAGTTCAACAAGTGGGAATGTAATGCGCCTCCTGTAAAGCTCATCTATGTGTCTGGCTCTATGGCCGTTTCATATGCATGAAATAATGAGCTAAAATCCCAAAACAATGTAAAAGGACCTGACGATATATGTACTACAGATGGGGGTCAATTGAAAGGGATGCTGCAAGAAATGTATTACTAATAATAAAGTATCAAAGATAGCATTTGGTTTCTGGTTTTGTACGTTTAGCAGTAGATCGATTCTAGGCTATTCCTATAACATCACGCTTTTCAGAGCAGAGTTTCAGCCAGGATCCCCCATATCACCGCCCCGGCCCCCCGCCAGCATTTGAACTTGTCATCACGTGTATTGTGACTCAGAATAAAAGGTTGTGAGCCAATCCTCATCAGCTTCCAGACTGGAATTGCAAAGCCCAATAAAAGATCTGGCAACAAAAAAAAATGAGGAAGCCTGCAGCAGATATTGAGAATTTTTATAGTAGATAAAAATCTTTCAAACAATTCAGCATTTTACCGTCATTACTGAAGCAAAATTGGAATTCCAGTGGAGATTTTTAACCCACCCCACCCCCCAGGCAGTTCAAAAGAAAGTTAGCACTTGGATCCCAGCAGGTATCACCCCTGCTCTTTTATCTGATGCTTGGGCTTTAAGAGGGAGTCCCTCTGCTTCCTCTGAGGGTGCAGAGGTAAGGTGAGGAGCTCAGTACTACAGAGGCTGGCAGGCCCCATCAGTTGCCAGTCAGCAGAGACAGCTCAGGCCAGGCCACCTACCCAGGTCAGGGCAACAGTCAACCAATTAGAGCAATTTGGAACCTTTAAAAATTGCCAAAATATTTCTCTTTGGTTAATATGACAGATCACCAATTCCTATGAACTTATAAATTCTGCTGAAATAAAAAAAATACATGAGCATACTGAAATATTTACAAATGAAATCAAGTTGATATAATGTCTGAGATTTCAAAAAAGTACGGGTAGGGGGTAGATGGGGGTATAAATGCAGTAAGACCGGCCATGCCATTGATACTTTTTGGAGCGGAACGTTGAGTACACGGTGGGGGTTCAATATAATATTTTTGAGTTATACTACTTTTGTATATATTTGAAATTATGCAAAATAAAACATTAAAAAGTGTGAAATCGAATTTCAAAGAAAATTATTAAAAGCCTGTAGAGCAATCTATACGGTGCATATAAATGACTACGTATATCCTTACGTCCTAATGTGTCACAGTCCTACGGGGCAAAAGCAAGTTAAGTCTCAGAGGCGTTCACCTTGGCCCTTTACGGAGGCCGCTTAATTTCAGAGACTGAGGTTCTTGCTAAAGTCAAAAGAATTGAGAAAATCAAGGCACCTTTTGAAATTCAGCGCAGGTTACAAAATACACAAGATGCAAGCTTTACTAGCTTTTTGTCTACTCAAGTCAAAGAAAGCTTTGTAAAGATCTCTTCTCTGCCAAAATAGACAAAACACAACAAAATAAAAATGCTATAAATTCGTCACACGCATAGATGGCGTCACATCAGCAGGTAACAGCTAATCCTTCAGAGGAAGGCGGCATAGCAACAGCGGGTAACGAGAAAAGGCGGCTTTACAGTTTTTTAGCGTTTGAACTTTTGACCTCCCAAAATGTCAAGAAAGAATTTCTGAACCGCGGGACTAGAAAGAATGCTTTCTTCCTTGAAATTGTTTCCTAAAGCTTTACTATTTACTATGTAATAGTACAAAAACTCAAAGTATAAAACCCAAAGTACAAAACTCAAAAGTATATTCTACAGGCGATGCAAACTGGATTAAGGAGGGGAAATGAAGTAGTGCAATAAAAACCAGCAAGTCAAAGCAGCACTGGAAACGCGGCGGCGACCTTCACCTCTGGGCGACTCTGCCCCTCTTTACGTTTTGCTCTCTTTTGTTGAGGATCAGATTTTTTTTCCTCCGGCCTCTTTGTGTCTCTTCCTTCCCTCAGACACACAAAACGACTTGAGAGATGTGCTGCAGGTGAGACATTTAAGACGAACTCTGCAGCCTTGCCTCGTTGAGAAATGCGTGCGCGCAACACTCAGCCTCAACCCTAGCTTCCCGGCGCGTCCCCCGCAGTCGCCGCCCAGGGAAGGGCGTCCCGGGCGCACCTGAGCCGCCGCTCCAGCTGGGAGCCCCGCGCGACCCGAGCCCCGGAATCCTCCCCGCCCACCTCCGCCCGGCCCGCGCACTCCAGCCGCGGAGCAGTGCCGGGAGGGGGACACTCACGCGCCCCGAGCGCCGCGCCCTCCGAGCCGCCCGCCGAGCCGCGGCGCCCACCTGGCCGGCCTCAGGCACCGCCCGCCACCGGGGAGGCTCCCGCGGGCAGGCGGGGGCGGCGCACCGGGAATGGGACGGCTCCCTCCTTTCGGTGCCAGGAAGTTCCCCAATCCCACGCTCGCAGAGGGCCCCCGGCTCCTCCCCCGGCAGGGACGCGGGCACCCAGGGGAGCCTCGGCGGTGCCCGCGGCGGGCTGGGGCAGGGCGGGGCACCCGCGACCGCACGGCACGGACGCGATCCGGTGGGAAGGGACGGGACGGGCGCGCGGCGGTCGCACTCACCCAGGCAGCGGATGTGGAAGCCCGAGGGCGGCCGCAGGGCCCGGCGCGTCCAGCCTTCGCGCAGCGCCTCCAGATGTTCCTCCTTGCCCTGGATCAGCAGGACCTGCTCGTCGATCCAGCCCAGGAAGAAGGTCTCGGCCACCGCGGCCGTGACCTTCTTGTTCCAGAAGTGCTGCATGTTCTCGGCTTTGAAGTCGGCGAAGATCTCGTAGCCGATGTGGTGCCGGGCGAGCTGGCGGGGCTGGGCCGGGGGCGCGGGCCGGGCTGCCCCTGGCCTTTCCCCCGCCGGCGCCTCTGCCGGGCCCAGGACGATGGCCAGGGAGTGAGGCGCGATCTGCAGAAACTTCTCCATCTTCCCAGGCATCTGCCGCGCCGACCTGGCTCACCGAGGCCGCCTCCCGCCGCTCCCAGGAACAGCCGCCGGGACGTGGCTGCAAGACCAGCGGGGAGCGCGACCGTCCCCCAGGGCAGGGCTGGCCGCGCCTCCCCCGCGCCCGCGTCCCTGCAGCCCGGGCGCCCGGCGCAGTCCCTGGGCGCAGCCCGCGGGTCGCTGCGGGGAAGGGACGGTGTGCGGGGCCCGCTCCGGCCTGAGCTCTGGACCGCGTTACCTGCAGCTCCGGGCCACCCTTCGGGCAGCGCTCATTTTCCGGCCTCGGCACCCTCGCCTCCCCGGGCGCCCAGCGGCCCCGCGGGGGCGGAGACGCGGGAGGAGGCAGTGAGGGGGCGGGCAGTGCGCACCGCGCCCGGGAACCCCCTCGGCTGGACGCGGCCTGAGGAATCCCAAGGAGTCCTATGAGGGAGGTGGTCGGGGAGCGCGGATGGCCTAGGGGTGAGCCTTTGGGTGTTGGGCCTCGAGGGAGATCAGAAAGCGGGGGTTGCGGGGGACGCAACGGCGACACTTGGAAGGCACGGATTCCGGAGCGGCGAGTGTCGCTCCTCCCCACGCTCCACCCCTGCCCCCACCTCCCACCTCTCGCTGGAACAAGTGGATTCGCTGACTGGTTAATGAATGTACCCTTAGAAGTGGCTTTTTAAAAAACTTAGTCAACCACCAAAAATTGTCATCAGTCCCTCCTCCCAAACTCTTGAGGAATTCTACTCTCTTGTCTTCAGCATATACTTTGGCCTACCCTAGAGGAAACCCAATCAACCATTAACCCTCGGTTTATGAAGAGGTTACAGAAATTTACCAGGAAAGGTAACGATGATGCTTTTAAGAAAATTCCTTACGTTTGTTTCTGTGCCAAATTCTGTATGACTTATATTTTAATCGAGAGAGGCTAGTAGTCATATGTGAAAAGAGATGATTGTCATAAGAAGCATTAAGAGTTATGCTACATTTACCCAGAGCGGTATTTAAATTTCAACGTGCATCACCGTCACCTGAACACGTATTAAAACGCAGGTATCTGGGCCCCATTCCCAGAGTTTCTGATTCAGTAGGTCTAGAGGAACCCGGTTTTTTAAATTTCTAAGAAATTCCCAGATGCTGCTGCTACTGCTGCTGCTGGTGGTCTCGGACCACACCGTGAAAAACACAGAATGTCCAGCCTAGTTTTGGGGAATAGAAATAACTGAACTGTTTTCCGCTGGCGTCCTGTGATTTTATTATCATGAAAAAGTCACTAAACCCGGGTCTAAAGACCTGAGGTGTTTGTTTTGTTTTGTTTTGGTTTGTTTTGTTTTGTTTTGTTTTGTTTTGTGTTTGAGACGAGGTCTCACTGTCGCCCAGGCTAGAGTGCAATGGCGCGATCTTGGCTCACTGCAACCTCCGCCTCCCAGGTTTCTCCTGCCTCAGCCTCCCCAGTAGCTGGGATTACAGGCGGGCGCCACCACACCCAGCTAATTTTTGTATTTTTAGTAGAGACGGGGTTTCACCACATTGTCCAGGCTGGTCTCGAACTCCTGACCTCAGGTGATCCACCCACCTCGGCCTCCTAAAGTGCTGGGATTACAGGCGTGAGCCACCGTGCCCGGCCAAGACCTGAGTTTTAGTCTTACTGCAGGATGCCCTATTGAATAAAGCAAGAAGGCATAGCCCACACTGTTATAATAAACAGAAACTCAGTTTCTCCATCTGCAAAATGGGAGTTGTTAAGTCCTGCTAAGTCCCTGTCACTGGACTGGTGAAGGAATCAAGCAAATAAATGGATAGGAAGTCACCTCAGATGATAAAGTTTTCAGTCAGCATGAGGGTGTTACAGACCCTAGGTGCTTTTCAGACCTCAAAAAGCCAAGAGCTGGGTTTAACATAGGAAGGCCGCTGGAGCAGGGCATCCTGACCTCAGAATTTCCCAGGCACCCACCGTGTGGGGAGACCTGTGATTTTCTTGCCTGGCTTTTGGCGCTTTCGTATTAAGCCTCCTCAATTTGGCCCCGTTGAAATGCCGCATTCCTCACCCTCCTTGCTTAGTGTCTGGGCCTCAGGAAGAAAGGAAGTGATGGTGGTTGGAAAAATGGAAGAAGGGACAATTTTACACTTGTGATTTTTTTAGTTTGCATTTGTCTCTTTTTTTGTTTTATTTTGACATAACTTCAGACAAAGTGCAAGAATTGTACAAAGAATACCCACATATCTTCACCTGGGTTCCTTAATTAACATTTTACTCTGTCTCTACACATGCACAAATTCTTTTTCTAAATGATGGAACAATCTCCCTACTATAAATTATTATTTTACTCTTTTAATTAATAAATATCTTTCTGAGAAGTATTTTGAGATTATATAAATACCATCCTGTTACTTCTCCATTGTTTGCTCATTATAGTGGTCTTTGATTCTTGTTTGTCTTGATATTATAATGGTTGCTAAATTCTGGTATTCCAGTTTCATCATGCCTTCTACGTGTATTCGTTGTCATTCTACTGTAAAAATGAGCTTTCCTTTATTATTAAATAACAGCATGGGCTATGCCTTCTTGCTTTATTCAATAGGTTATAATTCTTAAGTATTATCATTATTTTGATGTTCATATTACCCCAAATTTGGCCAGTGGGAGCTTCTAAAAGCTGGCTCTTACGTCCTTTAGAATTGGTCTCATCATTCTCTGAGCACTTCGTTACTTTTTGGCATGTCAAGATGTTCCAGAATCATTTTGCTCCACCCCTACAATCAGCCATTTTTCCAAGGAACTCTGATTCTTTTTAGTGAATGGTATTTAGAAACCAACATGTGGCTACTAGGTGTGCTCATTGCTACTGAGGTGACATTGGGTTTTGATTAGTCCATCTATTCATGAGCAGCATCCGCAAGATACTATAGTTCTTCTCTTTACGATATGTCTTCAATCATCTGTATAGGAAACATGAGGCAGTGTAGCTTCGTACAAATAGGTTGGATGCAGGGTGGGACAATGTGTGTTCAGTCTACTTATCAGATAGATGAAGGACCTTAGTTCTCACAGTTACCCTAAGGTAACTCTGTGCCCGGAAAATCACCAAAAATAGCTCCTTCATTTTCTGTGAGCAACTCCTGAGCAAAAACATACAAAATACTGCAGGAACAAGCAACCATCTGAAATAGTTATACATCTTTTTCCCTAGGAAATTAAATGCAAAACTGCCTTCAATATAGACAACCTTTGACATTCTCAGCAAAGCATGTTTCCCTCTTGAACGGCATCGCAAACATCTGTCCAATCGGCTCTGCGTTCTATTTGTGTAACTAAATGGCCTATTTTATTTCCTCAGAACAAAGAATATTTTCTAGAATACTCAAAGGAACAGTGTTTTCAAATAGCTACTTCTTGAAAGATTACTCAACCCTTTGGAAAAAAAAAAATAGGTTTTCCATCTTCCACTACAGCTATCTAGGCTCAACAGCCTTAGAGCCAAGTTTTAGTCAAAATTAAGACTCAAATGTTCCCTCTCCTATCCCTGAATCTGTAAAAAGAAAGCATCTTTTTCCAAACTCATGGCTTAGGAGCTCAGCCCTAAGATGTCTGGACAAGTCCTATCTGTATACTCTTTCCGCATCTTGATACAGAGGTCTTTGTCTTCCTTAGGCAACAATTCCTCCTGATAATAAAGAGTAAAATTTAGTTCAGCACCCGGGGCATGGAAAGGTCTTTAATTCTTACAACAGCCCTCTAAGGCAGATCTTATACCATCTCTATTAATTTGTGGATGAGGAAATTAAGGCACAAAGAATGTGGGAAATTTGTATAGGATCCCCCAGCAATGAAATGCCTAGGTTTAGAATTAGAATCTAAACCTAAGCAGTTTATCCCAAAGCTCAAACCCCATGTCGTCCCATCTGTCCCACTTACCTAACCAATTACTGGTAGATAGAATATCCCATTAAGGTCCTTCAACAGTGCCTCTTGCATAAATGATACTTGACATTTGTATTAGTCATCTATTGCAGCATAACAAATTATTCCAAAACTTAGCAGCTTCAAACAACAAACATTTTTAATCTCACAGTTTCTGCAGGTCAGTAATCCAGGCATAACCCCACTGAGTGCCTGAATGGTTTGGATCTGTGTCCCCACCAAAATCTCATGTTCAATTGTATTCCCCAGTGTTGGAGGTGGGGCCTGGAGAGAGGTGATTGCATCATGGGGGTGGGTCCCTCGTGAATGGTTTAGCACCATCCTTGGGCACTGTTCTTGTGAGTGAGTTCTCACAGGATCTGGTTATTTAAAAGTGTGTAGTGCTTCCCCTATCTCTTTCTTGGTCCTGCTCTTGCCATGTAAGATGCCTGTTCCCACTTTGCTTTCTGCCATAATTGTAAGTTCCCTGAGGCCTCCTCTAAAGCTGATGACACCATGATCCTGTACAGCCTACAGAACCATGAGCCAATTAAGTCTCTTTTCTTTATAAACCACCCAGTCTCAGATATTTCTTTATAGCAGTGTAAGAACCAACTAATACAGTGTCTGTGGCTCAAGGCATCTCAGGAAGCTACAGTCAAGTTAGGGCTGCTGTCTCATCTGAAGGTTCAACTGGGTATGGACCCATTTCCAAGCTCATTCACATGATTATTGACAGGATTCAGTTTCTTGAAGGTTGCTGGACTGAGGCTCTTATTCCTCACTTCATGGAAGCCCACTGTTTTTCTTGCAACTTGAACCTTTCCACAGGGTAGCTCACAACGTGCCAGATGGCTTCCCTTAGATCACTCAAGAGAGAAATAACATGCCATCACCTCTGCTGCATTCTGTTTTCTAGAAGTGAGTCACTAAAGCCAAGCTCACACTCAAGGGGAGGGATTTATACAAACGTATGAATTCCAGGACATAGAGATCATTAGGGGTCATCTTAGAAGCTCCAGGCACATTTATAATGAACCATGAAAATGTTTAATTATTAAGACAATTACAATAAAGTGACAAATAAAAAGAGCAACTTCTAATAGAAATGATCTCCCTCACATAGAGATAGCAAGCTCTTGGCACCCACGCAATCACAAAAACTATTGATCTTCCCAACAGGAGGGGCTATCTTAGAGGATCTACCATCAGAACTCAATGGGACTAAGAAAAGAAGATTCTTTATTGGTTCTTACTGCTGTCATCATTTGCATTACTATCAACCTCATTAACATCATCATTACCAATTAATGATTACTTACTATACGGCAAGCAATGTGCTAAGAACTTTTCATGTGTGGTCATATTATTGTGTTTTTTTTTTTTTCAGAAGATAGTCTTAATGGCAATCATATTTTTCAGATAAGTGACACAGTGAATTTTCATTCTCTTTTTTTTGAGATGGAGTCTCACTCTGTCACCCAGGCTGGAGTGCAGTGGCATGATCTTGACTCACTGCAACCTCCCCCTCCTGAGTTCAAGTGATTCTTATGCCTCAGCCTCCTGAGTAGCTGGGATTACAGGCAAGCACCACCACGCACAGCTAATTTTTGTATTTTTAATAGAGGCGGGATTTCACCATATTGACCAGGCTGGTGATGATCTCCTGACCTTGCGACCCCCTGCCTCGGCCTCCCAAAGTGCAGGGATTACAGGCATGAGCCACCACACCTGGCCCAAATTTTCATTTTCAATAATCCTCAACTCCCAGTTGTCTCACAGTATCTTCCATTCATGGACTCAATTGTTTCCTCCATGTCAGTTCACCAAAATGTGCCTCTGAATATAACTTCTGTTTCTTTCTCAGCCTTTCCCTCTCTTTCCCCTCCCTGCCCCACCTATACCATCCCCAGTCTCTTCTCTCTTTGCCCCTATCTCCCGCTGCAGCAGTAGCCAGGAGCTAGGACAGGCTCTGTGATGAATGAGCATTCCTTCAAATTTAGAAAAACAAGATAAAAACCAGTCAAGAAAACATAATGGGTTTAAGGGGAGCAATCACCACATAAAGGAATGACCTTGAGTGTAGTTATAGCATGTCAAACAGGTGAAGGGACAGACAGAAACAGGGAGGACCTACCTTAGATAGGATGTTGAGGGAAGCCCTCACAGAAAAGGTGGACATGTACTCCAGCCCAAAGGATGAGAAGTAGCCCAACTTGCCAAGACTACAGTGATCCCATAGATATATGAAACATTAGAATAATAATTGTTCCTTCTTACTGATTTTGTAAGAATGAGGCATTTTATATATATAAATATATATATTTACGTATTTTTATATATTTACATATTATGTATAAAATATATAAATAAAAACAATGAGACATGTTATATATATATGGGTATACAAATATATATAATGCCTCATTCTTATAAAATTAGTAAGAAGGAACAATTATTATTCTAAGTTTCCAAGAAGGAACTGAGGTTCTCAGATGTTAAGTAATTTGCCCAAGGTCGCACAATGAATAAAGCCAAGATTTAAACTAGATCTATGAATTCAGACCCATGCTTCGTCACCATCCACTGCAGCTTCCACAGGAATGTAAGAACCAACATGATAAACCAGTGTTACTTTAGTCCCAAGAAATGCATGCACCAATTTACTTGAAAACATTCAGGAAAAACTATGAAGAACTGCTTGAATATCTAATCACATAAGAAATCCTCAAAGCCATCTCAAACTCTCTGGGGAAAACTTTTGCCTCGGTTGTCTCAATCCTGAAGTTCAAGATGAGTGGGATTTGGGGCAGGATTAAAGAGCATGGTGAATGAAATTCTTTGTCAGCACTTCTCCCCACTGCCTGCAGTCAACTGCCTGCCATTCTTGCTGGGGAAAGACGGCCTTGTAAACTTGCTCTTGGCCAAGTTTATCAATTGCTGATTGTCCACTGTGCTATAACAGAAGCCCAGACAATCATCAGTCAGGGAGGTGCATTCCTGCCTAAGTGCCTCCAGTTTGGAATTTCTGTTTGTGGCAGCTACTGTTTTCTACAGATCTCTGCCACAATACCTCCTGTTCACATGCATATCTATGATATGATATTGCCACACTTCCGTCAAGAAGTAGAAACCGTCTCTCCACTCGCTTCACTCTGGGCAGGCACCGTGATTTCTTTAGCCAATAGAATAGAACTGAAGGGATACTGCATGAGTTCTGTCTGTAGACCTAAGGTCTCATCGTTCCCAGTCCTGCCTCATGGAAGCCAGCCACCATGTAACAAGTGCTACTACCCTGTATTCATCATATTGTGAAGAAGCTCAAGCTAGTCACATGGAGAAGGTGTGCAGACAGAGTGCTGATGGCCAATCCCCAGCTGCTCTTGCCATCCCAACCCAGGAGCCAGACACATGAGTGAAGGAGACGTTCCAGCCACAGAAGACACCAACTATGGAAGAGCTGAGGCCCCAGACTGATGGCCCCAGTTGAGCTGTCCCAGACATATCTGGCCATCCAAGCCACCCCAGCTGAAACTTCCAACTTTGTAGCAAAGGTGAGCCATCCCACTTTGCCCTGCCTGAATTCCTGATCCACAGAATTGTGAGCGTAATAAAATGGTGGCCTTTTTACATCACCATGTTTTGGGGTGATTGATTACATAGAAATAGATAATTGTAACACCATTGTTCTTATAATATATGCATGCTACATGTAGAACTACAATTTATAAGAATCCAGGCAGAAAATAATATTTTAATGACATGCTGATTATGCATCTATGGAGAGTCAGCTTTTATAAAGAAAAAAGAATGTCCTTCTATATTATTTTGATAGCACAGTATTGTAGATAGATTACCTTCTCTGCTGTGTCATGATGCAGTGTGAAAGCCCTCGTCAGAAGCCAGGTTATGCCCTTGGACTTCCCAGACCGCAGAACCATGAGCTAAATAAGCCTCTCCTCTTTATAAATGACTCAGTCTCAAGTATTCTGTTAGACTCATGAGTACATAATTCCAGGCAGCGATTGGTTACATGTCAGAAACAACAGTGTCTGCACAAAAAAACCTTACTGTTGTCAGGTACAGTGGCACATGCCTGTAATCCCAGCTACTCAGAGGCTAAAGCAGGATGATTGCTTGAGCCCAGGAGTTCAAATCCAGCCTGGGCAACATAGCAAGACCCCCATCTATAAAAAAAGATAAAATTAAAAAAATAAAAACCTGGCTCAAGCCTGTAATCCCAGCATGTTGGGAGGCCAAGGTGGGAGGGTTACCTGAGCCCGGGAATTTGAGATCAGCCTGGGCAACATGATGAGACCCTGTCTCTACATTAAGAAAGAAAAAATGAGTCAGGCATGGTGGCACACACCTGTAGTCCCAGCTACTCAGAAGGTTGAGGCAGGATCACTTGAGCCTGGGAGGTTGAGGCCACAGTGAGCTATGATCATGCCACTGCACTTCAGCTGAGTGACAGGATGGAACCCTGTCTCAAAAAAAATAAGAATAAAAACCTTACTGTAGTAGGAAGCCAGAATTTCCACAGAACTTCTATAGCCATGGGGGTGATCATTTATTCTAATTACAGGCCTTCTAAAGGATTCTTTCAATAATAACCCAAACTTAATTGTGTCATAACTCTTATGCAGTATTAGTGATTTTTTTTCATGCTTACGACTACATGTTTACCTACAAGCAGGAATCCATCAACTGTTGAACCTTCAATTACGTGTCTGCTACTGCTTATCCCAGATAAATAATAAAAATAGCTAGCATTTATATGGTGCTTCCTATATGTCATGCAGTGTGCTAAGTACTTTATGTATATTCACTTATTTAATCCACACAGCAGCCCTATGGGATAGATACTCTTGTCATCCTAATTTTACAGACGAAAATTGATTCAAAGAGAATTAAGCAACATGTGCAGGACCTCCACTGTTAAGTCACTGCTGTGGTTTGGATTTGTTTTTTGTCCTCACCAAAAGCCATGTTGAAATGTGGTGGTATTGGGAGGTGGGGCCTAGTGGGAGGTGTTTGGGTCATGGGGGCAGATTTCTCATGAATGGCTTGGTTTCATTCTCGTGGTAGTGAGTGAATTCTTTCTCCAGCAAGATGGGATTAGTTCTCTCAGGAATGAATTCATTCCCATGAGATCAGCTGTTACAAAGTGAGGTTCCTCCTCCTGTTGGGTCTTCCCATGTATCTGCTTCCCCTTTGACCTTCTCTGTCAAGTCATGATGCAGAGTGAAAGCCCTCGCCAGAAGCCAGGCTGCACCCTTGGACTTCCCAGACTGCAGAACCATGAGCTAAATAAAACTCTCCCCTTTATGAATGACTCAGTCTCAGGTATTCTGTTATAGCAACACTGAATGGACTAAGACAGTCACCAAGCCACAGTTCAAGCCCAGGCAGTCTGGTTTCAGAGTTTGTGCTCTCAACAGCTATACTGTGAGACCCCCTTCCACTGTTTTTTAAAGAGTTCGTGATGGTCTAGTTATTGTAGCCACACACGTGCGAATCACTTACTTTGAGGATATTGGCTATCTCTTGTGGTTGAGAATGAATATGATATTGAAAACACTGCCAAGGCACATCCCATACATCACTTCTTCCCACAGCCTACCAGAGACACTTACCTTAGTGAAGATCCTGTACTGATCTACCCTACGGGGAAGACTTTTTGACTGCCTGAGACACTTTCTCAAAGTGGCTCAAAATGCTCCTAGAAGCTTCTCTATCTATTCTGATTCCTCACTAAATTTTCCCAAAAGGATTCATCTTTTCTGGTAGGAAGTTTAATAGTACCACTATCAGTGAAAGCGCCTATGGCCTAACATTGAACTGCAACTGGCTTTTGAGATGCTTCTGAATAATGCCTCTGTTGACAATTCCCCCAGCCATGACCCCTCTCTACTTACACAGCACTGGCCCTGGCATTTCAACTACAATGGCAGAAGCTCATCCCACTTCAAAACCAAATTTCAAAGAGCAGTGTGCAAAACATATATCTCTTTGTCTTCAGTTTCTATTAGAGGTTTGCTTATGTTCCATTCCTGTACCTGCGACAGCAGCAATTAAGAGTGGAGACCAATCTAGCATAATACTTTCCCCATTAGAACATTTGACTCTTTACCTGCTTGTTAGTGTAAACCCAACCCAAATTTCATGCTAAATTCATTTTTATTTGAACAAAAATTCCACCAGCCAAACCAAATTATGAAATGTTGACAGTATTGGATATCCATATCATGAGCGTGCACGTCTCAGGCTTTAACACTGAGTGATTCGAAGCTACTAAATATTGCTCCCATTCGTCAACAATCATATCAGACAACTCTTGTATTCTAGGCAGTGAGCTGACTGCTGGACAAAGAGAAATAGATGTGACATGGCCCTTGTTTGGAGGGAGCTTGTAGTTTGTAAAAAGAAACAGACAAGTCATCCCCCCAAAATGAAGTTACACTAATTGGTGGAATGGTAGAAACATGTACATGCTGCAGAGCAGCAGAAAGGAGAGAGGGGCGTCAATGGAAGGAGTGGCTCATTGTAAAAGGGAATTGGGAATGAGAGGACAGCTTGCAGTGGGTGATATTGGGCTAACACTTGGGAGATGAGTACTTGTGGTATGGTATTGATGCATTATGTATAGCTCTTTCCAATCTAAAGATCTTGATCCACTGCTGAGTCTCTATCATTGGGAAGTATGTCATAAGAAAATGGTTATTAACACTAGAGTGTCAGTTTGGGATGGATTTCTTTTTATTTATTTTAAAGGTAGAGTAGAGTCAAAGTTTCTCCAGTAATAATTTTACTCTCATTCTTTTGCATATTGCTAGGCTTTATTAAGTAAGAACAGAAGGGGTGGACTTTTACAACTACCCTGCCAGGATTTGTGTGTTTCACCGTACCCTCATGAGCCTGTGTCTTTCACGTCTGTGTCTTTCACATAAATGACATCCTCCATGAGGGCTGTGGTGAGAAAAAAACAACATGACAAACTGCTGCTACAACACACACTATACTGTCATTATTTTCATAAGTATTTAGATGGACATAGATACACCTTCTTGCTACTTCATGTGAAATAACAATAGCTGATATTAGTAACAAAGGTACATGGTAAAATAAACATAATTTTTAGACATGTTTGTCTGCTTACTGGAATAGCAGCGGTTCGTTATCTGTTGATTTTTTTTAATGTAATTGCCAAGTTCTACCCTTGATTTTGTCTCCCTCAAAAAAGGAAGTGAATACTCAGTGTCTGAGGTCTCCAGCAGTGGAAATTATAACCTGCCAGGAACCCGCCATCTTGCCCGAAATACATATTCGCGAGTGAACAGGCTCTCCCTCCTCTGAGATCTCTGTAGATGGCAGGTTTCCAAAAGGAAAAGAGGAAAAAAAAAAAAAAAAGGACCAGAGCTAAAAATAGGCAGTTTTAGGAAAATGCTATGGCTAATCAGATAACTGCTATCTGAAACATGCAGGTATCAAAACATTTAAAAAGGCAGAAACACAGTCACTCATAAGAGAAAGAATAATGACTTAATACAAGTTCTGTGTTTTTGTTTTTTTTTTTTGAGACAGAGTCTCGCTCTGTTGCCCAAGCCGGAATGCAGTGGCACAATCTCGGCTGACTGTAACCTCCACCTCCCAAGTTCAAGCAATTCTCCTGTCCCTGCTTCCTGAGTAGCTGGAATTATAGGCGTGTGCCACCACACCTGACTAATTTTTGTACTTTTAGTAAAGACAGGATTTTACCATGTTAGCCAGGCTGGTCTTGAACTCCGGACCTCAAGTGATCTGCCCGCCTTGGCCCCCCAAAGTGCGGGGATGACAGGCTTGAGCCACTGCGGCTGGCCTACATGTTCTAGTTATTAAAAAGTAGAACTTCAGGGCCGGGTGCAGTGGCTCACGCCTGTCATCCCAACACTTTGGGAGGCCGAGGCAGGCGGATCACGAGGTCAGGAGATCGAGACCATCCTGGCTAATACGGTGAAACCCTGTCTCTACTAAAAATACAAAAAAATTAGCCGAGCGTGGTGGTGGGCACCTGTAGTCCCAGCTACTCAGGAGGCTGGGGCCGGAGAATGGCGTGAACTCAGGAGGTGAAGCTTGCAGTGAGCCGAGATTGCGCCACTGCACTCCAGCCTGGGTGACAGAGTGAGACTCCGTCTCAAAAAAAAAGTAGAACTTCAAAATCATCTATACTGGGCATTCAGTTATAAATGTAATTAGATTCATATGCTGTTTTACACTTAATGATTTTAGATGTGACTGACCATAGAGTTTAGAAAAATATTATATGTAATTGATTTTTCCTGATGATCCAAGATGAAGTTATTAGACATTTATCTAGAAGACTAGATCCTGTGTATTCCAGATGGAAAAATACAGATGTCTACTTTTTCAAAATATATTTGAAGTAGTTTTATTTGTAATTTGTTCACTTTTTTATATTATTGATGGAGATTGTCTTGTTAATTAAGACTTGTCTACCATCTGTAACAGTTATTGCAAATCTTGGTGTCTTCTCAGCTCATCGCTTTTTTTTTTTTTTTTTTTTTGAGACAGAGTCTTGCTCAGTCACCCAGGCTGGAGTGCAGTGCCAGAATCTCAGTTCACTGCAAACTCCGCCTCTTGGGTTCAAGTGATTCTCCTGCCTCAGCCTCTCGAGTAGCTGGGATTATAGGCACACTACCTCACACCTGGCTAATTTTTGTATTTTTAGTAGAGACGGGGTTTCACCATGTTGGCCAGGCTAGTCTCGAACTCCTGACCTCAAGTCATCTGCCCACTTCAGCTTCCCAAAGTGCTGGGATTACAGGTGTGAGCCACTGCACCCAGCCTCATCATTTTTAATTTATCCTATTTATCCTGTTTAAATATTTTGAAAGGTATAAATATAATTGGAAAAGGAATTGGATAAGCACTCCATGTCTAAAATTGTACTTCACATCGGAATAAAATATATACATAGTTTAAAAAAAAAACACTATGTTTTAACAGAAAACATACTCATTACCAAGAAAAAAGTGGAAATGGAAGGCGTTCATTTCTGACAGTAAAGCACACTATATACTCTAAAAATTTCTCATTACACCCACATAAAAATGATATATATCAGAAATAACACCTCTAGCACTCACTGGCCTTATGTTTCTGGGTAGGGTAGAGTTGCTTATGTAAGACCAGTGATTCTTCCAGGAACAACTAGAAAAGCTAGATTAAACATAAGCATGATCTGCTTACAGACATCACATAGTTTCTAAAGCAACAAGGAAAAAGGGTAATAAACTTTCAGAGAGAAGAGCCATGAAGTAATGATCCAACCTTCTGCAGCCACTTTTCCCAAAGGAAATTGCTTAATCCTAAGTATGAGCAAGAGGCTGAAAGCCCAGGCTTTGCCTGAGTAAAGCGCTGCTTCTGATGGGCGGAGAAACCAGTAGACTTTTTGGCACTTTTATGCAGCTGGAGTGACACAATTGAAGGGCCTCAAACATGGACTGTTTTCTCTTCAAGACAGCTGGAAAGGATACGGAAATAAATAACTCAGCTGAAAACTAGAGCCAAGCTTTTGGCAGCCTCAGAGTAATGATAAGACAAAGATTAGAGTTCATGACCTGCCAGGGACAGGAACCCCAGTGTACACATCAGGTCCTCAGTTGAAAGCCCAGAACTCATTAGCGTAAGAAGAGAGGTGAACCAAAGAGAGCTATGCCAAGACTGCAACCCAGAGTAGCGTCTGCTCAGTCCCTTACTGAGCAAAAGCAAAAGCTCAGTACCCCCCCGACTCTAGCTGCTTAGCAAGGGGAGGGGTAACGTTTCCCTGGAGGAAAGTAGCATCAACTGGGCCTCTCCAGTTTTGTTTTGTTTTGTTTTGTTTTGTTTGAGACAGAGTCTCACTCTGTCACCCAGGCTGGAGTGCAGTGGCGCGATCTCGGCTCACCGCAACCTCTGCCTCCCGGGTTCAAGCGATTCTCCTGCCTCAGCCTCCTGAGTAGCTGGGATTACAGGCACCCGCCACCGCACCCAGCTAAATTTTGTATTTTTAGTAAAGACGAGGTTTAGTAAAGACGAGGTTTCACCATGTTGGCCAGGCTGGTCTCAAACTCTTGACCTCTGGTGATCCACCAGCCTCGGCCTCCGAAAGTGCTGGGATTGCAGGCATGAGTCACCGTGCCCAGCCCTCTCCAATATTTTATAGACAATGTCCAGAATTCAGTTAAAAATTACAAGGCCTACCAGGGAAAAGGACTATATGGAGTCTGTTGAGTCCCTGAGGGAATGAAATATATACCAGACGCAGACTCAGAGCAGAGACTCTAAAATAACTAACATATGTTCAAGAAAAATAGAGGAAAACAAACAGTAGAGATTATTACCAGAAAAACCAAAACCTAAAGAGGAAAATTAAATGAAACTGTAAAATGGAAAGTACAATGTCTGTAATTAGGACTCAGCAGGTGGGTTCAAGACTAGACAATGCACAGTATAAGAAAGGGCTGGTGAACTGACACACAGGTCAGTAGGAAATATTCAGATTTTAAAACACAAAGGAAAACAACAATGAAAAAAAAGCACAGAAACCCCTGGTATATATTGGAACTGTGTAATACACAGGAATAATTAAAGCTCTTTGAGAATGGGGCAGAATAAATATTTGAAGAGATAACCAAATAACCAAGCAGAATTTTCCAAAACTGATATGTAACATTATCTCACAGATGTAAGAAGCTCTGCACACAAAAAAATCACACATACACACATCAAGATAAAGCTGTTGAAAACCAAAAATGAAAAGAAGATCTTAAAGTAGTTGGGTGGGGATAGAGCGTGGGGGGAAACATTACCTTCAAAGGCGTAACAGTAAGACATTTTGTCTGCTTTTTGGTAGAAATGATGGAGCTAGAAGACAATGGAATATCTTTTTAAAAGCTAGAACTCACAGCCAGTGACAATAATCTCCTAAAATGAAGGTGAACTCAAAGTGCTTTCAGAAGATCAAAATCACAGCACTAATTTAATAATTCTAGGTCTAGTGTGGCAAGCTGAATAATGGCCCTCCACAAATGTCCATGCCCTAATCTCTGGAACCTGTGAATATGGTCTATTACATGGGAAAAAAAGGACCTTTTTTATTTTATTTTATTTTATTTTTTAAGATGGACTCTCACTTTGTCACCCAGTCTGGAGTGCAGTGGCTCGATCTCAGCTCACGGCAACCTCCACCTTCCGGGTTCAAGCGATTCTCTTGCCTCAGCCTCCCAAGTAGCTGGGATTACAGGCGCCTGCCACAACGCCCAGCTAATTTTTGTGCTTTTAGTAGATACAGGGTTTCATCATGTTGGCCAGGCTGGTCTGAAACTCCTGACCTCAAGTGATCCACCTGCCTCAATCTCCCATGGTGCTGGGATTACAGGTGTGAGCCACTGTGCCCGGGAAAAAGGGGCTTTGAAGATGTAATTAATGTTACTAATCAATTGACCTTAAAATAGGGAGATTATCCTGAATTATCTGGGCGGACCCGATATAACCACATGAGTCTTCACAAGCAGAGTCTTCTTCTAGCTGAAGGCAGAAGAGAGATGTGGCAGGAGGGGAAGCTGGACAGATTTCAAGGGTGACAAGGATCTAATGCATTTTTTGCTGACTCCAAAACATAAAAGTCCTTCTGCAAGAATCAGAGGAAGGCCTCTAGGAGCATAAGGATAGTCCCAGCTGACAAGTATTTAAAGAAATAAAGCTGTCTGGGCACAGTGACTCATGCCTGTAATCCCAGCACTTCGAGAGGCTGAGGTTGGGCAGATCACCTGAGGTCAGGGGTTCGAGACCAGTCTGGCCAACATGGTGAAACCCCATCTCTACTAAAAATACAAAAATTAGCCGGGCTTGGTGGCGGGCGCCTGCAATCCCAACTACTCAGGGGGCTGAGGCAGGAGAATCGCTTGATCCCGGGAGGTGGAGGTTGCAGTGAGCCAAGATCACGCCATTGCACTCCAGCCTTGGCAACAGAGCAAGACTCCATCTCAAAAACAAAAACAAAAACAAACAACAACAACAAAAAACAGAAAAGAAATAAAACTGTCATCCTGTGACTGAGGGTTAGGGTGCCTAACATGTGCACAGGAGGCTCCTAACACAATGAGACAGAGCTGGGAGTTGGAAGAGAAGGAGAAAGGCCCAGGCAGGCTGGAAGCATGGGGCTGCCTCTGAATATTCTAAGGCAGAACTCCAAGGAATCAAAAAATTGTAAATTAGAATCTGCATTTACAGAAGATCATAGCAGTATATTTGTTAAAATAAAAAGATAGACTACAGGGATGAAGACAGTGTGGTACCAGACGCATCGATCAATGGTTTAAAAAAAAAAAAACTGAGAGCCCAGAAATAGGTGCTTCCACTTATGGTCAACTGATTTGCAATAAAGGTGCCAACAAAATGTAAGGAGAAAGAAGGTATTTTTAACAAATAGTACTGGGAAAATTGGATATTTATAAGCAAAAGCACCTTACACCATACACAAAAGTTAACTCAAAATTTATCACAGACCTAAATGTGAGAGCTGAAACTAAAAATCATAGAAGAAGGAATAGGAGTAAATCTTCATGCTCTTGGGTTAGGCAATGATTTCTTAGATATAATACCAGAAACACATGCAAGAGGAGAAAAATGGTAACTTAGACTTAATCAAAATTAAAAGCTTTTGTATGTCAAAAGACACCATCAAGAAAGTAAAAATACACTCAAATATTGGGAGAAGATATTTGCAAATCATGTATGTGATTTAAAAAACTTGCATCCAGATTATATCAAGAACTCTTAAAACTCAATGGTTAAAAGATAAGTAGCTCCATTATGGCTTGGCACAGTGGCTCACACCTGTAATCTCAGCAATTTGGGAGGCTGAGGCAAGCAGATCGCTTGAGCTCAGGAGTTAAATATCAGCCTGGGCAACATACTGAAACCCCGTCTCTACTAAAAATGCAAAAATCAGCCGGTCGTGGTGGTGTGTGCACCTGTAGTCCCAGCTACTCGGGAGGCTGAGGCACAAGAATCTCTTGAACATGGGAGGCAGAGGTTCCAGCGAGCCAAGATCGCACCACTGCACTCCAGCCTGGGTGACAGAGTGAGACTCCCTCTCAAAAAAAAAAAAAAAAAAAAAAAAATGTAGCTCAATTAGAAAATTGGCATAAGCCAAAACAGACATTTCATTGAAGAGGAGACACAGATACCAAACAAGCACATGAAAAGAAGTTCAATATCATAGCCATCAAGGAAATGCAAATTCAAATCACAAAAAGCTATTGTATCATTATACGTCTATGCAAATGACTAATAAAAAATAGTGACAGCATCAAATGCTGGCAAGGGTGCAGAGAAATCGATCACTCATACATTGCTGGAGGAAACTTAAAATGGTAAAGCCACTCTGAGAAAGTTTGACAATTTCTTATGAAACTAAACATGCAATTACTATATGACTGAACAGTTGCACTCTTGGGCATTTATCTCAGAGAAATAAAACTTCTGTTCACACAAAAACCTGCATATGACTGTTCATAGAAGCTTCATGCACAATTGTCAAAACCTGGAAACAGTTCAGATGTCCTTCCAACTCAGATACCCTTCAGTGGGTGAATGGTTAAATAAACTGTAGAACATTCTACCATGAAATACTCAGCAATCAAAAGATATGGAGTATTGATACATGAACATCTTGGATGAATTTCCAGGGAATTATGCTAACAGAAAAAAAACCAATCTCAGATTACATACTTCATGATTCCATTTATATGACATTCTCGAAATGACAAAATTATAGAAATGGAAAGCAGACTTGTGGTTGCCTAAGGTTAGGAGCAGTGGAGTGGGAGGAGGTGTAATGGAGTGGAGCCAAGTGGGGCAGGTAGATGGTATGGTTATAAAAGTCAACAGGAGGGACCCTTATGGAGACAAACCTGTTCTGCATCTTGTGGTAACAGATACACATACCTTTATCAGTGATAAAAAATGCACAGAACTCAGCCGGGCATAGTAGCTAGCGCCTGTAATCCCAGCACTCTGGGAGGCCAATGCGGGGCAGACCACCTGAGGTCAGGAGTTCAACACCAGCCTGGCCAACCATGGCCAACACGGTGAAACCCCGTCTCTACTAAAAATACGAAAATTAGCCGGGCACGGTGGTGTCTCTACTCAGGAGGCTGAGGCAGGAGAATCCCTTGAACCCGGGAGGCGGAGGTTGCAGTGAGCCGAGATGACGCCACTGCACTGTAACCTGGGTGACAGAGGGAGACTCTGTCTCAAAAAAAAAAATGCACAGAACTAAATACACATATGTGCACACACACACAAAAGAGTACAAGTGAAACAGGAGAATCAAGAGTAAGCCTGGTAGATTGTTTCATTGTTAGTATCTTGGCTGTGATATGATATAGTATGTCATCATTGGAAGAAATTGGGCAAGGGATCTCTCTGAATTATTTCTTACACCTGCATGGGTTTACAATTACCTCAATAAAATTTTTAATTTAAAAAAATGCAAAAGATTTAAGTAAACATTTTCCCCAAGATATACACGTGGCCAAAATGCGCATGAAAAGATGCTCACCATCATTCGTCACTAAGGAAACGCATACTGACAAAATCACAATGAGATACCATTTTTTACCTAGTAGAACAGTTACAATTTTTTAAAAAGGCAAACGATAATAAGTGTTGGCAAGGATGTGGAGAAACGGAAACCCTCCGACATTGTTTGTGGAAATGGAGGATGGTACAGCCACTCTGGAACAGTTTAGTAGTTTCTCAAAAGGTGAAACACA
Organism: Homo sapiens; assembly: GCF_000001405.40. Taxonomy (NCBI): domain Eukaryota; kingdom Metazoa; phylum Chordata; class Mammalia; order Primates; family Hominidae; genus Homo; species Homo sapiens. The sequence continues at coordinate 183,778,980 of NC_000004.12, read as the reverse complement.
GACTTCATATGTGATCCAGCAATTCCGCTTGTATCAATAGCTATCTACCCAAAAGAAAGGAAATGAAATGAAAACATATGTCCATGCAAAGACTCGTAAACAATGTTTGGCAGGGTGTGGTGGCTCACTCCTGCAATCCCAGCATTTTGGGAGGCCGAGGCGGGCAGATCACCTGAGTTAGAGACCAGCCTGGCCAACATGGTGAAACCCTGTCTCTACTAAAAAAATAAAAAAAATTAGCCAAGTCTAGTGGCACATGCCTGTAATCCCATCTACTTGGGAGGCTGAGGTAGGAGAATCATTTGAACCCAGGAGGCGGAGGTTGCAGTGAGCGGAGATTGGGCCACTGTACTCCAGCCTGGGGGACAGAGTGAGACTCTGTTTCAAAGAAAAAAAAAAAAAAAAAGCTCTATTCACAGTAGCCAAAAAGTGGAAACAATCTATGTGTCCATGAACTGATAAATGGAAAACAAGATGTTTATGCACACAATGGAATACTATTTGACAATCAAGAAGAATGAAGGGCTAAAACACACTAAAAACTGGAAGAACCTAATGCTCAGTGAAGCAAGCCAGACACAAGTGACCACAGATTTTATCATCCTATTTATATGAAATGTCCAGAAAAGGCAAATCTGTAGAAACAGAGAACAGGTGAGTGGTTGCCTACAGCTGGGGGTGAAAATTGGGAATGACTGCTAATGAGCAAGAGGTTTCTTTGTAGGGTCATGGAAATGTTCTGAAATTAGATCATGGTAATAATTGTACAACTCTGTAAATATGCTAAAATTCTTTGAAGTGTATACTTAAAAGAGATGTATGTTATGCTCTGTAGATTATACCTCAATAAAACTGATAAAAAACAAAATTAAGATAAAGTATGTTTGCAGAACATATTGTAACGGTTGGTTTGCACTAAAACTGTTGAGTGTCTGGACATGTGGCAGGTAGTTCTCCATTTGTGCTGGAGACAGCCTGTCTGCCGTTGTCACTAATAGGACCACAGAGAGAGAACTGAGGAACTAAGCCCCGAGAAGGGGCTGGCTGGCTTGAGGGCCATGTCAAGGAGAGTGGGCAAAATGCACAGAAGTTTAGAAAAGCTCTAGTTATATTGCTTTAGGTTGCAGCAATTGCAAGATGTTCAGGATTATCTTTTATTCAAATCTGCTAGTCACTACGCAGCTGAAAGTATAGACTCTAGGCCAGGTACAGTGGCTCATGCCTGTAATCTCGGCAGTTTGGGAGGCTGAGGCCGGTGGATCACCTGAGGTCAGGAGTTCAAGACAAGCCCGGACAACATGGTGAAACCCTTCTCTACTAAAAATACAAAAATTAGCCAGGTGTGGTGGTGGATGCCTGTAATCCCAGCTACTCGGGAGGCTGAGGCAGGAGAATCGCTTGAACCCAGGAGGCAGAGGTTGCAGTGAGCCAAGATCGCACCACTGCACTCCAGCCTGGGCAACAGAGCAAGACTCCATCTCCCAAAAAAACTAAAAAAAAAAAAGAAAAGAAAAGAAAAGAAAGTATAGACTCTAAGCTAAGAACATATGACAATGAATTTACTTCCATGTTGCTCCAATCACTTTCCTGAATCCTCTCCTAAGCCCAGTGCTATGATTTTAACATGTTCCCTCCAAAATTCAGGTGTTGAAACTTGGTGGCCAGTGTGATGGTATTAAGAGGCGGGGTCTTTACGTGGTGATTTAAGAAGTAAATTACCCAGTTTCTGATATTTTGTTACAGCAGCACTAAACAGACAAGGACATCCAGGCTTCCACTTACCTTTTCAGCGAAGATGCAGACAACAGTGTCACCCTAGCCACAGCTGGGACTGATGTTTTCTCCTAGAGTTGAATCTCTGTGTTGGTGCACTGCTCTCCTTCTAACTCCTAGGACTCAACCATAGTGTTTTGTAAATCACTGACCTTTTGATGTCTTTCCTAATCAACTCCATGGGTAACATTAAATAACAATATATTGAAAGTAAATCCAAACTTAGTTGGTCACAATTTTGATATAATTCAGCATCTTATGGCCAAAAACTTTGGAACAGGCCAAAAACTTGATGTACAGTTTCCTAGTATCTCCACTAATGTTTCAAGATGGTACAAGTTGGGGAAGGGATTACAGCTAAACAAAAGCAATTTTGTGGTTCTGAATATGATCAGACCAGCCCAAGCATTGTATTCTCAGAAAGGAAATGTGTTGTCAAGCCTTAATGAAGAGGTAAGTGCTCTTTCGTGAATCTGCTTGGTGGCCCAAGGATCTGAGGGATTACCACCTGGATTTGATGAGTCAGACTCTAAATATTACAACGTTAGCACCGGCCATGTCTGTTGCTCAGATCTCCCCTTTTGTGGCACCCTGGCTAGAGGCTCAAACGATTTGGGAAGCTCGGATCCCAGGCTCAGATCCCGTCTGCCAGTCCTTTTCTTTAAGGATCATCCAATGCATGGGAGGGTGACACTGCCCTAAAAAGAAAGTCAGAGAAATCTGCCAATGCATGTGGTGTGGGAAGAAGCTATCAGAGGCTGGTGTCACTGACTCTGTGGGTAAGCCCCCTGCCTGAATTTTCTTTAGCTCCCCTCCAGATCCCTGCCCCACCCCTTTCTTTCCTGCGCCCCATCAGGAGGCAGGCTGCCATGGGATGCGCCAACAGGCCCTCTTGCCCTCTGACTTCCGGCTGGACCTAGCTGATGGGAGAAATTGGCAGGAGCTGGGAGGCCGGGAGGAGAGGAAATGGTGTACTTTTCCTCACTCTTCCTAGTCAGGCCTCAGGGTGGGCAGTAGCGGGGTTCCTCTCCCCAGGGCTGGGCTGCTCTCCAGGGACCTTTTCTACACTGGTTGGTCTTGCTGGGTGAGTATCCACTCCCTTCCCTTGTTCCTTCAGGCCTAGGAGAGGGTACAGAACTTGCTGCTATGGCCACCCCAGGGTGCTTCACTGCCCCTTGTTAGTTTCTCTTAGCTCTGCCCCTCCTTTGTAAGTAGTCCCTTCATGAAACCTGCTTCCATCACCCCTTTTGTGAGTGCCGTCTGTTTCCTGCCAAGCTCCAAGCAGTTACTTGGAGCAACCATTGGTGAGTAAAATTGGGAAGCACTGGAAAGGGATTTGATATTTTATTTTATTTTATCCTGCTCTCAATTTTTTTTTAATATTTAAAAATGAGCAAGTGTTACTTTGGGGATGAAAAACAGCCCACAAATGTATACACACACTCAAAAAAATCAAAACTAACCTAAAAGTTAATAAATAATATTACACGTAATAGAATGCATGTAGGATATGTACCTATTTCTTTCACTGTGAGGAGTTCAGACAAAGATATAGTAGGTGTGTCCTACATGACATAAAGATTTGACTGTAAGAGTATGTGCTTGTGTCATATTGATGAAAACCTTCTCTTAAGTCTCTAAAAATGGAATTCATCACCAAGTATGGACTCAAGAACAAAAAGAAAACTTTAAAGTAGATATTAGAAAACAAAGAATTTAAGATTGCATTAAAATTATATAACATTAGGCCAGGCATGGTGGCTCACACCCATAATCCCAACACTTTGGGAGGTCGAGGCTGGCAGACCACTTGAGGCCAGGAGTTCGAGACCAGTCTGGCCAACATGGTGAAACTTCATCTCTACTAAAAATACAAAAACTAGCCAGGCGTGGTGGCTCACATCTATAATCCCAGGACTTTGGGAGGCCGAGGCGGGCAGATCATTTGAGGCCAGGAGTTTGACACAAGCCTGGCCAACATGGTGAAATCCTTTCTCTACAAAAAATACGAAAATTATCAGAGTGCAGCGGCAGGCCCCTGTAATCCCAGCTGCTTGGGAGGTGGAGGCAGGAGAATCGCTTGAACCCAGGAGACGGAGGCTGCAGTGAGCCAACATCGCACCACTGCACTCCAGTCTGGGTGACACAGTGAGACTCTGTCTCAAAATATATATATAAAATACTACTTAATCTAAAAAGATTATTCCCAAAAAATGCATTTGCTAGGGATTTAGTGATGCTTCAGCATTCAGATGCATCTATATGATATATTCTCCCCAAAACCACGTTTGTTTAAAACATATGCTTATTTTGAAAGTAATGTAGCAACATTTTCCTAATTAATGTTCTCATACATAATTTTAAAACATTTATTCATGACTAAATATAATATTAGATCTGTGACTTTACATAGCTAAGCATTTTTAAAATAAGCCTTACTTACAATAAAATGCATACTTACAATAGAAAATATTTGACTTAATAGATGAGAGTATTATTGAATACTGATTCTCTAACAAAAAATAGAAACAATCTAAATGCCCATTTGTATTCAAATGGCCAAATAAAATACATTTCCACAATGTAATGCTATAGAGCAGTCACAAGGAAAGAACTAGATCTGTTTGTAGTATAGTGAATATATCTCAAAACACATGTTGAATGAAAGCAGCAAATTCCATGATAGCATAATGTGCCTTTGTGAGAAACAAACTCCACAAATAATAAGTTCTTTGCTTTTTGTTTCTTAAGAAACATGACATAGTATTTGTTATGAGCCAGGCACTCTCTCAGCACTTGACAGATATTAACTCATAATTTTCAGAGCAGCCCTGCCAGGAAGCCTATAATGTTGTAGATTTCCTAGAGATGGGAAACTGAGGCTCAGAAAGGGGAAGTTACTTGCCCAAGGCCACAGAGCTTCTAGAAGGAGGCACTTGGATCCAAACCAAGGTGGGCAGACTCCATAGTCTGTGCTCCTGACTACTGCCTCTTGTGAGGCTGGGAAAGATGGACGTTGGCTGTGGGATTCAGGGAATGCCTGAGCAAAATGCTGCTGGAATTAGCCACACTCTACTTCCCCATCTCTGGGGCATCTACTCATAAGCCATTCATCACTCTCTTCCCTTACCCAGTCCCAGGTGTTCTGGGAGTAAATAGTTAATGTCTTCTTCCTTCTGAAAAGAGCAGCGGGACAGTTGGCAACCTCTTACATCCTGGAAGAAATAATGTCATCCATTGTACGTTTCCATTCATATGGTTAGTAACTTTGGAAGGCTGTGAGGACCCAGGCTTTTGTTCTCTTACACGTACTGTCCCAGAAAGAACACTGAACGTGGAGTCGGAAAAGCTAAGTTTGGGTCCTGGTTCCAGCACTTAAAAGTGGGAAAGTCAGTAGAGTCAGAGATAAAGATGTTTGGCTGACTACGTCTTCCCCAAACTTCAGTAGAGAAGAGGATGATGTGCTCCTTTATCAGTCAGGGGAGCGAGGTTTTTGCTGTTGTTATTGTTGTTGTTTGTTTAAATGGGAGTCTTCCATTATCACTCACCAAACAAATGTTTAACGAGTGTCCAGCTAGGCTGAAAAAAGGAATTTACAGTGTAGGTGGGAGACATGAGACCTACATACCTGAAATAAAAGCCAAAATTTAAAATAATGATATGGCCTTAACTGTGTGGAAGAGAGTATTGTTACTTTGGAGTTTTTTGTTTGTTTTGTTGTTTTGTTTTTGAGATAGGGTCTCACTCTGTCACCAGGCTGGAGTGCAGTGGCACAATCTCAGCTCACTGCAGCCTCAATCTCCTGGGCTCAAGTGATCCTCCCACCTCAGCCTCCCGAGTAGCTAGGACCACAGGAGTCCGCAACCACCCCCGGTTAATTTTTAAATTTTTTTTGTAGGAACAGTGTCTCACTGTGTTGCCCAGGCTGGTTTCGAACCTCTGGGCTCAAGTGATCCTCCTACCTTAGACTCCCAAAGTGCTGGGATTACAGGTGTGAGCCACTGCACCCAGCCCAGTATCATTACCGTGAAATTTCAGCGCAAAAAACAGGGAGGACTAAAGTAGCCAGAACAAGAAACATTTGCTGGGTCCTGTGGTCTGAATGTTTGTGTCCCCCCAGAATTCACATGTTGAATTCCTAGCTTCCAATGCAATAGCATTGGGAGGTGGGGCTTTTGGGAGGTGATTAGGTCATGGGGGCAGAGCCCCTTATAAATGGGATTAGTGCCCTTATAAAAGAGACTCTAGAAAAATCCCTCACTCCTTCCACCATGTGAGGACAGAGTGAGAAGGCTTTCTGGACTATAAACTAAGGAGAGGGGCCTCATCAGACACTGAATCTGCCAGCACCTTGCTCTTGGACTTCCCAGCCTCCAGAACCGTGAGAAGTAATTGTCTGTTGTTCATGTCTGGGATTCTGTTATGGCAGCCTAAATGAACAGAGACATTGGACCCTGAGGGATATGAATAGCAGTATGGAAATGGCAAGATATTTTGCTTGAAGGAAATACAGGAAGTAGTAACACAGTTTGCAGCTGGGTTGATGAGGAGATGAGCTTGTAGTGTTGGAGCTCAATCTCCCTGCATGGTATCTTTATGACCTGTACATAGACCCACCCACACACAAGCACCTGGCAAGGTATAGGCCTTAGCTAACATGTTCTGAAATGTGACTCAAACCCAGGAATTCCATTGGCGCTATACCACAGAAGGTCTTGGAAGCCAGGTAGAGGAATTTGGACCTGATTATTCAGAAAATAGATAAATAAATGTGTTGACTGGGGACAGATGATGTTCTATGACTACAAAGTGGTCTTTAGGGGTGACTCAGTCCACCAGACAGACCAGGGACAGGAGAGTCTCAGGCACGTGTCATTATAAAAGGAACTGGCTCTGGGCCGGGCACTGTGGCTCATGCCTGTAATCCCAGCAGTTTGGGAGGCCGAAGCGGGCGGATCATGAGGTCAGGAGATCGAGACCATCCTGGCTAACATGGTGAAAACCCATCTCTACTAAAAATACAAAAAATTAGCCGGGCATGTTGGCAGGCGCCTGTAGTCCCCTCTACTTGTAGTCCCAGCTACTCCGGAGGCTGATTCAGGAGAATGGCGTGAACCCGGGAGGCGGAGCTTGCAGTGAGCCGAGATCGCGCCACTGTACTCCAGCCTGGGCGACAGAGCCAGACTCCGTCTCAAAAAAAAAAAAAAAAAAAAGGAACTGGCTCTGAAGAGACCTCCTGTGGATTATATGCAAGTGGAAGGCGGCAATAAATCCACCCTATACAGTGGCCACAATACCAAACACAAAAATTGCTGTACACATTCATTGTAAAATCCTCAAGCCAGTGTTTCTCCTACTGGAATGGGCAGAAACAAATTGCTGTCCATGTTCGGAGAATTACTGAAATGTTCAACTAATATGGATCTTCCCTTGGAGGAAATAACTGATTATTTAGAACATATAAATCCTCATTTATTATAGAAATACTCTACATTTTCTGATCATTTTGGTGCTCAGATTATTGACTTCAATATAGCTGTACACCAATTCACCTGCCCTTAATGTGATCATTATAATAACAACCTTATATAGAACTTAAATAAATTTATTTAATGTTTTCTGACCTTGCCATCTAATGTTTTTTTTTTTAGAGACAGGGTCTGGCTCTCTTGCAGATGCTGGAGTGCGATGGTGTGATCAGAGTTCACTGAAGACTCAGACTCCTGGGCTCAAGTGATCCTCCCACCTCAGTCTCCTGAGTCCCTGGGATTACAGGTGTGAGCTACTGTGCCCCACACTATCCAATTTTTGTATCATTTACAATACAGAGAAAATGTTCCCCCTAGAAACCGCTTTTTGTAGCATTTCCCAATCGACACATTTGCAAAACTACCATTAGCTCCTGTGAGTGAGTCTAAGATAGCACCAGATTCCTATGACTTGGGAACCAGGTGGCAACCTCACCTCTCCCGATGGAGGAAGCTCTTCCAGCATCTCTTTCCCCCACGAGATTTGAACATGAAGCCTGTGAGAGCTCCTTGTCGTTATGTTTACATTGCCCAGGCACCTTTCTAACACAAAGCACCTTATCAGTCAACCACCTCAGTACAGATCCATTACACGGCAATTTTTCACAGGGCTCCCTCAAAGCCCGTAACTTGAGAGAACAAGTGGTAGAGGCTGGTTTACCCTTAGGCAGAACAAGCTCACCTGCCCGAGGATTTCAAAAACATAAAATTGCTTTACTGTTGCTTTGCTTTGTCTAACTAACGATTCTTGCTTTAACCAAAAGCACAGGAGTAAACCCACTTTCAGGCCTCAGGTTTCAGTTAAAAGCTTCACTTGAAATCACTGTAAATCTGGACCTACTTAATTGGATTTGAACACCATTTATGAAATAAATTTAATTCTGAGGACCTTAGGCTCCTGCCCTGTGCTTGGTTGGAGGCCAGTCTGCACTCCTCTCTGATGACCCTATGACCTTGAACCGACCTGTTCCTTCCTTTTGAGTCCCCAGCTGACAGCAACTCTTTCCACAATTTCCTTCCTTTCATTAGTATTTTACTACCTTCTCAATTTCCATTTTTTCTTTACATTTTGCTCTGTGAGTTCAGTTTTTCCTCAGCAAAAATACTTCTTCCCAACATTCATGAGGGAGTTTTAAGTGTGATTCCAAAGTTAGACCCCAAAAAGGCAAAAATTGATCAAATCTAACGTCAGAAATATTGGCTGAGTTGTCCTGAATCAAGACAGTTCTTCATATACCACAGTCACAGTAACATCACACACACACACACGCACACATACACACCTCTGTTCACAAACACTGGTGTGCAATACACTTAATGTAAAGCAGATACAATCCCCATCATAGGAGTATATGGTCTAATTAGAGGAGCAAAAATAAAGTGTTCTACACATTTGTAGCAGGACTACATCTCTGTATGCTTTTATCTTGCACACTGGGATATGTACAAAATACAGCTTTATTTTTCTTTAACTCAATTGTTTTATCTTTCAAGCCACCATTACACCGTCACCATTACATCAGAGTGATAGAAATGACATCTCATTCTGCCTTTTTTTCCCCCCCAAGAAGGAGTTTCGCTCTTGTCACCCAGGCTGGAGTGCAATGGCATGATCTCAGCTCACCGCAACCTCTGCCTCCTGGGTTGAAGCAACTGTCTTGCCTCAGCCTCCAGAGTAGCTGGGATTACAAGCACACACCACCATGCCTAGCTAATTGTGTATTTTTGGTAGAGACAGGGTTTCACCATGTTGGTCAGGCTGGTCTCGAACTCCTGACTTCAGGTGATCCACCCGCCTCGGCCTCCCAAAGTGC